>NC_000023.11:95587542-96212542 GCF_000001405.40 Homo sapiens
GCCTGGTGAAAAGTCGGGTTCCATAGGCTTATTAGGTCTTGTGAGCATGAACATCATTCCAAACCTGTAACTACTGCTGCTGTTCAGAGAAGGCATTGCCACTGCCCATCTCTGGCCTTCTTTTACATGAGAGAGAAATAAAGTTCTCTCCTGTTTAAATCACTTTGTAAGAGCACCACTTAATCCTAATTGATATGTATGTATTTTAGAAAATATCAAAAATGTAAAAAAATGTATAAAGTAGAAGATTCTTGAGATTTGTAATCTTGCAAAAGAAACTGATGTAGATTATAATGTAGTCCTTCTACCTTAAATTGAAGAGAAAAATAAAGTCTTAAATTCAGAAAAAAAGAGAAAGTCATAAGAAAGATAAATATATTTACTATTCATTAAGTGGAAGTGGATCGTCATAAAGGTCTTCATCCTCATCGTCTTCACCTTGAGTAGGCTGAGGAGGAGGCAGAAGAGAAAGGGTTGGTCTTGCTGGTCTCAGGGTGGTAGAGGTGGAAGAAAATTCATGTATAAATGGACCTGCCCAGTTCAAGCCTATGTTATTCAATTTTTCTCTTCCACCCACTGCTGTAAGATTCTTAAAAAGTAGACAAAATAAATGATATAAATCTTTTTTGTAGACAATTAATGAGCAAAACATCAGATCTTTTGGTTCTAAAATGTTAGTTCTCTTAATAATTTGTTTTAAATATAAGTAGAAGGTTAAATTCTCCACAAAGTAAAATTGGATATAATTAATTTTATAGGTTAATTCAACCTTAACTAATTTAAGTTTGAATGATTGGAAAGTCTTTAGTTTTTTGAGATTCTTTTTTGAAAAGTGCCCTCATTTGAAATTATTTCTAAAGTTTTGTTTTAATTCCTCTGATCCTCTATTATAATATCTCTATATCTTTTGTCTTATATCCTCAGATTTTCTCAGCCAACCATTCCAAAATGATATATTTGAAAGCCATTATTAGTTTTCCTGCTTGATCACACGATTATTGCCATTATTAATTTCAGCAATATAAAATTTAGCAGAAGAAATTGAGAACTAATCAAGAGGAAATGTTTCAGATTCTGGCACATTGAAAACCTTGAGTATATATTCATTTGGACATTACAGATTTAAGGTGTGCAACTTTCATTAATATTTGGTAATGCCTTTTCTTATATCCCAGGTATTGAAGTTGACACCCATAACACAGAGTGATCAAGCCGAGCATCAAAAAGCATAAGACAATTTAATTTACACACCAAGAGTTTTACTGTGTTTACCAGGTAAATAATCAGGTTTGGTGTGTGACAAAGAGTTGGCAGTTGAAACTTTTTTTATGTATTAACATGCAAAAATGTTATCTACTGTCCGAACTATTCCACAACATACCAAATATAATGGTAATCAGGCAGAACAACTAGTTTTACCTATCTATATTCAATGCAACTTTGGTCAGAAATGTAATGGAAGCCAGAGGAATTATTTTAATGATGCTTGCCCAATGCCTTGAATTTCAATAACACCCTTTTTGTGAGAAGTGTAAGGCTCCATTTGTCTTTAAAGAATTCAAATATGTGCAGCATGGGGTGAGTCTTAAAGGACTTAGAAAATTTGGAATGTTAAAGAAGTGTTTATTGGAACATAGGAAAGCTAAATTCCAAGCCATGACCTCCTTTTTCATTTCCTTGTCCCTACTAGCACTACTGAGAAGCACAGCTGGCCCTACATAGGAAGAAAAAAAAATGTGACTTAGATGCTATGGACATTTTTTTAAAAGTGTCTCCATCTTTATCTGCATTGGATATCACCCATATATCTTTTATATCCATGCTTCACCCTGCTGTATATTCTAGGGACTGAATTATGTGAATCATTTAAAAGTACCTCCATGTCCTCTGGCTTTGGATAGGTTTTGATTAATGGGGAGTGCTGGTAGGAAATCAGTAGGAGTGGGGATAATGAGGATAGCATATATATTCTCTTGGCCTTCTCCCTGCAGACTTCCTGGGCTGGCTATGTCCTTTGACTAAATAAAGGTCATAGTTTCTATTAGGATACTGTCCCCACACAGATCCTATTCTTCCTCCTATTTCTATCATCCATTCCTTCCCTTTGCCCATTCAGTTCTAAGGAAGTAACCTACTCTGTCACTCTCAACCCCATGTTACTAACCCCAGATTCTTGTATTATTCATTGCGGTTTTGCTACTATATGCCTGCTACTTTGTAAATAGCCCATTTACTAAACTCTCTTCAAATAATTTAATTTGAGTTAATCAGCTGCTTTCTGCTATCACTCTGATATATTGTCCTGTATTAATGTCTGATACTCTGTCATGAGAGATTTATTCTTTTGGCTTTCATTTTATCACAAGAGTCATACTGTTAGAAACTTCAAATCCATTATCAACCATTTACATATCCATATAAAACCTATTTTTTTCTGATTTAACAACTCACCATGTCTGGTGTCATTCAAGGAAGAGCTATAAAATAATTTATCAACAAATATTGACATAGAACATATGTTATTCACTTTTATATTTTGTTATTGGAGACAGTATATTGTAGTGGTTAAAAGTCAGATCATCTGGATTTTAATCCTGGCTCTATTGCTTATTACTCATGTAACTTTAGATAATTATCTTACCATCCTGAATTTTAGTTGCATTATCTGGGAAATAAGAGTAATAACAGTACTTATCTACTGGGGTTCCTATAATGAGTAAATAACTTATTTAACATAGTGCCTGGTAATTTCAATACATGATAACTATTATTAACACTTAGCATATTTATAGCATATTAATTTGTCTCTGAATCCATTCTTATATCCACCCATTCAATATATCTTCGTTCTTATCATGTATTGGGAACTGTATTTTGCCTTTATGCCTGAGATAAAATGTTGAAGTAAACCACAAAAGATTTGTATCTACAGGTAACATAAGATCTAGATATAGAGGCAAAAATACATGGACAAAATAAATGGAATCACAAATTACAGTCACAAATAAATGTAAAACTGGGATAAACACTCTGCAGGAAAAGGGCCTAGTATCATACTATCAAATAATAGGGACATTCTATCTCTGAAGGAAAAGTGGAAGCCAACATTCAATAGTTACTAGAGAGGTACTGACAATCCATATTTTGTATGGGGATAGATAATGATCTTTATGGATTTCTTCCAAATCTTTGGTTTAATCATGGTTTCATCACTAACTGACTATGTGTTCTGTTGCAAGACATTTACCTTTCTTGAGCTTTGGGTCTATCAACTGCAAAATAAGAGGCTGAATTAGTTGATCTACAAAAATAAAGTTCCAGCACTCTCTAAAATGACTTGATTTTACAAAAGTTAATAAGCAAGCCAGAGACAAAAGCCAATTGTAATAGCTTTATATTCTAATTATACAACTCTACTTCCTTTTATTCTCTAAATGTATTCTACTTCCTCTTTATATTCTAATCATGCAATCCTACTTCCTCTTATTCTCTAAAAGTTAATTGCTATTAAATATTTCAAATTAAGAACAAAGTATAATAGAAACTGGAGTATGATAATCAGACATATTAAAACCAATTACTTTATTAATATAAATAAAATAGGTGGCAATTGTAGATCAAACTTCGGGAGACTAAAGTTGTCTGCTTTGTGTGTTGCTTTTTTTTTTAGCAGCAATCATTCTAATCAACTAATTATTCCAAATTTCCATTTCACTTTTCTTATTTCAAATACTGTCATAACTATTATTATTGGTGTTACTATATCTATAGTTTTATTATTCCCAAAAATGAGTTGAGGAAACTAACAATAAAATGTATCTTGGTTCAATATAATTTCTAAAATGAAAGAAAATACATGTAGTAAGTATGGAGGAAAGGGTAGCACAAGTTTCAAACAGTTCCTTAAGTGAATACAATTACTGTGAGTAAACATTAAGCTTCAATGAATTTCTTTTTTTTTAATTTAAAAACCATTTAATACACAAAGTGAAAAACTGTTAGAATATAAAAGCATTTCACATTTTTTAAGACAAATAATATCGTCTAAATTACTTAACAGATGATAGAGGTCCACAGTCCTTTATCTGAAACCCTTGGGGCAAGATGTTTCAGAATTATGAAATTTTAGATTTTAGAAAAGTAATTTTGTGCATATACCATACTACATTAACCAGCCCTCACCAGAGTCTGTGGCACACAACAGAAAAATGTGAGCAGTTAGATAATATTCATTGTCTGATCAAAGGAAACATGGCTGCATTCTAGGAACAAATTTTCTCTCCTGGACTCAATTCTAAAAGGAATGAATGGCATAGCTTCTTAGACTGGGGACACTGAAAAACACCATATTATTTTTCTGTATTTCTAGCAAATAAATATGCCCAAACATTAGAAAACAGTGGAGCTATGGTGGGTGATGAAAAGCAAGAAAATAGACATTATTGGGTACCCACTAGGTGTGCCGTACTATGTTTTTTATATTTATCATTATATTTTATCTTCACCAATTTCCTATGAGATAGATATTATTTCCACTTTAAATATGGGAATCCTGAGGCTTGCAGATACTAAGTGTCCATAGCCAGCATTACAGGTATTTACAATCTTTGGTGTGTTAAGCATCAGATTTGAAAGTGTTTATTCATATTGATTTCTAGAGATTACTGTTCATGGTGCTAGTTTCATGCTTCTTGCAGGTCTTAGACTTTATCAATTGGACTTGTGTTGCCTCAAAGCCACACTTGTGACACAAGAATATGGGAGAGGTTCTGTCCTAGGTTCCAGCTTCTCTAGTTGTACCATGCATCTGTAGGGGCCAAGGGAAAACTTCCCATGTGCCCTCTGAAACTTTACTGAAAAATCAACTGGCAAAAGGTAGTTTAATAGGAATAATTGCATACAAACTTATTAGCATGCACAGGGGCAAATCACAGAGTGATTACCAAATATCCCCATGACGTATAGAGTTGTATATACCCTACTTCTTGGGGGAAAGGGAAATAGGAAAGTGTGGGTGATTTTAGGTGGTAGTAAATGATTTCGGAGGAAATGTAATGGGCTTGAAGTACATACAGTGGCCTGGGACAAAGTCTGTTGAACCTGCAGAACACACAACGGTTTGTCACAAAAGTCTCTCTGAGTGTGTTGACAGACTTTAGTCTTTCTTCCTGTGATATGAGTTCAGTTAATAAAAACTCAGAGAAGAACCAGAGATTATTTTTTCTTTTGTGGCAGGTCCAGACATTAGGCAGATAAAGGAACTTCAGAGAACAAGGTCATCCTGTGCTTTGAGAGAGACAGAGTATTGGGGGATGGAGGGAAGGTCAGAAAGATCCTGAGGCTTTTTCTTCAGTTCAGCATGTCAAAGTGCCATATTTTGAGGTAACAGTTACCAAGCCTCAACACATCCAACCCATGTGAGTTGCTATGATCTCCTGAGGGTGTTGCCACCATTTTGTACATAGGTTTCATGGATACCTACTGAACCCCCATTCTGATTCTAGTCGCTGGGAATTTTTCTTCTTCTCCTCTATTTGACCTTATGTGTCACTTTTCTCTTTCAGCTGTCCCTCAGGAACAAGGAGATTATTTATTTTTTGTGTTTAGGCTTTTACAAAGGATTCTGCTTCCTACATTGCAAAAAATCTGGTCTCCTGATTGAAATGGAGTGGAGGAAAGCCCAAAATGTACATTTATCTCGAGAAATATCCTACAATACTAGTAAATTGCTGGTGAAAAGCCAGAAAGAAAACTTAGTTATATATATAAAAAAGTATGTATATTATACCAGTATTGCACAGAGCTTCAATGCATGGCCTCACAAGTTAAACAGAAATGGCTTTGAATTCTGGTTCTTCCACTTAATAAGTTTCTGACCTTGGGTAAGCTATCTACCCTTTCTGCACTTCTTCTTATCTTTTTTCCAAAATAGAGATATACATTGTTTGCATAACTAGATAATTTCTAGGATTAGAGATCAAAGACATAATGTGCTGAGGGCAAGGTCCAGTACATAGTGTTTGAGCATTAGAATATTCCAAAGTAACTTTTCGAATTAAAGTGCATGAGAGGTAAACCATACACAAAAATTAGTTCAAAATGAATCAAAGAGCTAAACATAAGCACTAAAATCATAAAACTGTTAGAAGAAAACATAGGAAAAAAGCTTTATGACATCAGAGTTGGCAATGATTTATTATATATGGCACCAAAAACATAGGCAACAAAAGAAAAAATAGATAAATTGGGTTGAGCACCATGGCTCACACCTGTAATCCCAGCACTTTAGGAGGCTGAGGTGCAACGATCACTTGAGCCAAGGAGTTTGAGACCAGCCTGGGCAACATGATAACTCATCTCTACAAATAATTTAAAAATCAGCGGCCGGGCATGGTGGCTCATGCCTGTAATCCCAGGACTTTGGGAGGCCGAGGCGGGCAGATCATGAGGTCAGGAGATCGAGACCATCCTGGCTAACACGGTGAAACTCCGTCTCTATGAAAAATACAAAAAAAAAAAAAAAATTAGCTGGGCGTGGTGGCGGGTGCCTGTAGTCCCAGCTACTCAGGAGGCTGAGGCAGGAGAATGGCATGAACCCGGGAGGTGGAGCTTGCAGTGAGCCGAGATGGCACCACTGCACTCCAGCCTGGGTGACAGAGCGAGACTCCGTCTAAAAAAAAAAAAAAAAAATTAGCTGGGTGTGTTGGCATGCACCTGGGGTCTCAGCTTCTCAGGAGGCTGAGGCGTGAGGATCCCTTGAGTCCAGGAGGTGGAGGTTGCAATGAGCTGTGATAATGCCACTGCACTCCAACCAGGGTGACAGAGCAAGACTCTGTCTCAAAAATAAATAAATGAATTGGACTTTATCAAAATTAAAAACTTTGGCACAACAAAGGACATTATCAAGAGAGTAAAAATATGACCCACAGAATGAAAAAAATTGTAAATCAAATACCTGATAAAGGATTAATATTCAGAATATATAAGAAACTCCTAAAACTCAGCGGCAAAATAATGAATAGCCTAATTTTAAAATAGGCCAAATATTTGAATAAACATTTCTCCAACGAAGATATACATATGTCCAATAAACACATGAAAGATGCTTACCATCACTAGTCGCTAGGAAAATGCAAGTCAAAACCACACTGAAATATTAACTCATACTCATTATGGTGGCCACTATTTAAAAAGAGAAAATAACAAAATAACAAGTGTTGGTGAGAAGGTAAAGAAACTGGAACTTTATGCATTGCTGGTGGAAATGTAAAATAATACAGCCACTGTGGAAAACTATGGTGGTTCATCAGTTAAACACAGAATAAGCATCTAATGCAACAATTTCACTTCTAGATATATAGCCAAAATACTTAAAACTGGGAAACCAAAGAGGTGTTTGTACAGTCATATTCATAGCATCATTACTGATAATAGCCAAAAGGTAGAAACAACCCAAGTGTCCTTCAACTAATAAATGAACAAACAAAATGCAGGATATACAGACAATGGAATATTATTTAGCACTAAAAGAGGATGAAGTTCTGACGCATGCTACAACATGAATTAATATTGATGCCATTGAGTTAAATGAAATAAGCCAGTCACAAAAATAAAGATATTTTATTATTCCACTTATATCTGGTACCTAGAAGCATCAAATTCATACAGACATAAAGTGGAATGGTTGTTTCCAGAGGCTAAGGAGAGAACGAAATGGGGAGTTATTGTTTAATGGTACAGAGATTCAGTTTTGGGAAGATGAAAACATTTTGAAGATGGATGGTGGTGATGATTGCACAACAATGTGAATGAATTTAATGCCACAGAGCTGTACATTTACAAATGGTTGAAATTGTTAATGTTATATTATGCTCATTTAGTCACAGTAAAGAAAAATAGAGTGCTTAGTAACTCTCAAGAACCATAGACAGAAATATTGTCTCCACTAAGAGAACAGCAAGTTCAATTTAAAAGACAACTCAAGATGCATTAACAGTAACTGCAAAATGACCTGCAAAAATAACTCTAATACATGCTACAAATTCAAGTATGTGTTCATATGAGTTAAGGTTAGATTTATGATCAGTTAGGAAATTCCCATCTTACTTTTGTTGTCACTTCTCAATTTCAGCCTTTTATTGTGACGGAGAACACATTTATTTCCTGGAATATTTTGGCCTTTAACTGTTCTTTCTGCTTATGTCATAGATCATCTGGTAAACCTGGGAATTATCGAATCTATACCTTATTTTTAACACATGTACATTTAAGATTAGCCTTAGGCAAGATTGTTAAGTAGGAAAGGTTTTCCTCTAATCTACTTTTTAAAATTTTTTCCCTGTCAGCAGAGACCTAACTTACAACTGTTGAGCCAGGATATAGGATTTTCTTGATTACACTTCTCCTATCAATACAGATTTACCTCCTGTCACATTTTAAAAAACAAAACACATGCAAGGATTCAAAGTAATTTAATTTTTGGTAATTGTTTCTAATATTTTCCATACTTGATATGGTTTGCATTTTGACATGAACTTACACTGTTTCGTCCCAAACAGATTATATGACAATTTCAAGAAAACTATGAGGGGTAAATGGAAGATAAACTTTTTGCTGTGCACTTCAAATTACATGAAGGCTGCTCTGTACTACATATCAATGTGAATCTGACATTATATAAAATACTGTTTGGTTTTTTTTCTCAGAAACTCTATGGGGATGTGAATGTGGAGCAAGATGGTGGAGTAGAAAGCTCCACTGATTGTCTCCGCCAGAAGGACACCAAATTAGCAACTATCTACAGAGATAAAACACCTTCATAATAACACCTTCCTAAAAGATAAAACACCTTCATAATAACCAAAAATAAAGAACTAGCATGGCCACGGCAGGGTAGATCACCAAATGGGTTCTTGGGGTCCCTGAATCTAGGACTTGACTCTTCGACGGCATTTCTGGACCTCCCCTGGGCCAGAGGGGAGCCCACTGCCCTGAAGGGTGAGTCTCAGGCAAGGCGACATTCATTAAAAGCTGATATAAGAGACCTTGGGCCTTAAGGGAACAATGGTGGTAGTCTGGCAGTATACCTCATGGCTGGGGTGGAGGTGGGTACTGGGTAAGGTTCCTCTACCTTTGGAAAGGGGAGAGAAGAGTGGGAAGAACTATGTCTTATGGTTTGAATGTCAGCCCAACCACAATACAATAGAACACCCAGTAGACTTCTAAGGATTTTGACTCTAGACCCTGACTCTGGATGATACATCTGAACCCACTCAGGGCCTGGAGAACTCATTATTCTGAAAGGAAGGACACAGGCCTGGCTGGTTTTGCCACTGCTGATTGTAGAGCCCCAGGGACTTGAGCAAACATAGGTAGTAGCCAGGGAGTAATTACAGCAAACCTTGGAGAAGACCCAGCACTGTGCTGGCTTAATCTCTGACTTAGCATAATCATAGTGGTGGTGGCCACAGGGATGCTTATGTCACTCCACACCCAGCGTTAAGTGGCTCAGACAGTGAGACTGTATTTTTGGGAGAAATTAAGCAAAGAGAACAAGAGTCCTTGTCTAGTAATCTAGAGAATATTCCTGGATCTTGTCCAAGACCATCAAGGCAGTACTTCCAGAAGTCTGCAAGAACCACAGTGTTACTCGACTGGGGTACCTCCTAAAGCAGATACAGCGTAGAACACAACGCCCAGTCCTTTCAAATACTTGGAAAGCCTTCCCAAGAAGGGCAGGTAAAAACAAGCCTAGACAGTAAATACTACAATAAACATCTAGCTCTTCAATGTCTAGACACAGAAAAAACATTTACTAGCATCAATACCATACAGCAAAACATTACCTTACAAAATGAACTAAATAAGGCACCAGGGACCAATCCTGGAGACAGATATGTAACCTTTCAGACAGGGAATTCAAAATAGCTGTGTTAAGGAAACAAACAAACAAACAAAAAAATTAGGAGAATACAGAGAAGGAATTCAGAATTCTAACAGATAATTTTTTTTAAAAAAAGAGATTGAAATAATTAAAAGGAATCAATAAAATTTCTGGGGCTGAAAAATGCAATTGACGTACTAATAAATGCACCAGAGTCCTTTAATAGCAGAATGGATCAAGCAGAAGAAAGAATTAGTGAGCTTGAAGACACGCTATTTGAAAATACACAGAAGAGACAAAAGAAAAAAATAATTTTAAAACAATGCAGCACACCTTCAGGATCTGGAAAATAGCTTCCAGAAAATAGCTTCAAAAGGGCAAATCTAAGAGTTATTGGCCTTAAAATTTAGGAACAGAAAGAGATGGGGAAGAAAGTTTATTCACAGGGACAATAACAAAGAACTTCCCAAACCTAAAGAAAGATATCAACATCCAAGTACAAGAAGGTTATAGAACACCAAGCAGATATAACCCAAAGAAGACTACCTCAATGCATTGAATACTCAAATTCCGAACAGTCAAGATTAAAGAAAGGATCTTAAAAGTAGCAAGATAAAAGAAACAAATAACAGACAATGAAACTCCAGTAAGTCTGAAAGCAGACTTTACATCAGAAACTTACAGGCCAGGAGAGAACACATGACATAAACCACTGAAGGAAAAAAAACTTTTACTCTAGAATAGTATATCTGGCAAAAATATCTTTCAAACATGAAGGAGAAAAGAAGACTTTCCCAGCAAACAAAAGCTGAGGGATTTCGTCAATACCAGACCTGTCTTACAAGAAATGCCAAAGGTTGTACCTCAATCAGAAAGAAAAAGACATTAGCAAGCATAAATAATCACCTGCAGTTACAAAACTCACTGGTTATAGTAAGTACACAGAAAAACACAGTATAGTATAACACTGTAACTGTGGTGTGTAAAATACTCATCATAATTAGAAAGACTAAATAGTTAATGAAAAAATAATAACTACATCTACTTTTCAAGACATAGTACAATCAGATATAAATAGAAACAACACAAAGTTTAAAAGCAGGGCTATGAAGTTTAGGTGTAGAGCCTTCATTAGTTCTCATTTTGTTTGTTTCTGTAAAGAGTTTTAAGTTGCTATCAGATTAAAATAATGGATTATAAAATAATATTTGCTAGCCTCATTGCAGCATCAAACCAAAAACTTACAATAGATACACACATACACAAAAAAAGTAAGAAACTAAATCATATCATCAGAGAAAATCATCTTTACTAGAAGAAGGCAGGAAAAAAAGAAACAAGAAAGAGAAGACCAAGAAACAACCAGAAAACAAATAACGAAATGGCAGGAGTAAGTCCTTACTTATCAATAATAATTAATGTAAATGAACTAAATTATCCAATCAAAAGACAGACTGACTGAATGGATGAAAAACAAGACCAATTTGTTTGGTGCCAATAAGAAACACACTTCACCTATAAAGATACATACAGGCTGAAAATAAAGATATAGAAAAAATATTCCATGCCAATGGAAACCTAAAAAGAGCAGGGGTCACTATATTTGTATCAGACAAAATAGATTTCAAGACAAAAACTATAAGAAGAGACAAAGAAGGTCACTATATAATGATAAAGGGGTCAATTCAGCAAAAGGATATAACAATTTTAAATATGTATGCACCCAATATGGGAGCATTAAGATATATGACACAAATATTATTAGAGCTAAAGAGAGAGCTAGGTCCCAATACAGTAATAGCTGGACACTTCAACACCCCACTTTCAGCTTTGGACAGATTTTCCAGACAGCAAATCAGCAAAGAAACATGCGACTTAATCTGCACTGTAGACCAAATGGATCCAATAGATATTTACAGAACATTTTATCCAAGAGATGCACATTCTTTTCCTCAGCACATGGATACTTCTCAAAGACAGATCATATGTTAGGTCACAAGACAAGTATTAAAAGATTCATAAAAATGAAATAACATTATGTATCTTCTCTGCCCACAACAAAATAACATTACAAATTAATAATCTAAGGAATTTTGGAAACTATACAATTACATGGAAATTAAACAATATGCTCCTGAATGACCAGTAGGTCAATGAAGAAATTAAGAAGGAAATTGAAAAAGTTTTTGAAACCAAAAGTTTTGTAATGGGAATACAACATACTAAAACCTATTGGATACAAGAAAGCAGTACTAAGAGCTAAGTTTATAGGTATAGGTGCCTACATCCAAAAAGAGGAAAAATTTCAAATTATCTAATGACGCATGTAAAAGAACCAGAAAAGCAAGAGCATACTAAACCCAAAATTAGTAGAAGAAAACAAATAATAAATATCAGAGTAGAAGCAAATATAAATGAAATAAAGAAAACACAACGAAAGATCAATGAAACAAAAAATTGGGTTTTTTTGAAAAGTTGAACAAAACTTATGAACCTTTAGCCAGACAAACTAAGAAGAAAACAGAGGAGATCCAAATAAATAAAATCAGGAATGAAAACGGAGACATTATAACTGATGCTGCAGAAATGTAAAGGATTATTAGATGCTACTATAAGCCACTATATGCCAATAAATTGGATTTTCTAGAAGAAATGGACAAATTCCTAGATACATACAATCTACTAAGATTGAACCAGGAAAAAATGCAAAACATTAACAGACCAATAACAAGTAACATAATCAAAGCCATAATAAAAAGACTTTTAGTAAAGAAAAGCCTGGGACCTGATGGCTTCACTGCTGAATTCTACCAAACATTTAAAGAAGAACTAGTTCCAATCCTACTCAAACCATTTCAAAAAATAGAGGAGGAGGGACTACTTCCAAATTCATTCTATGCCAGTATTACCCTGATACCAAAACCAGACAAAGACACATCAGGAAAAGAAAACTACAAGCAAATATCTCTGATCAATATTGATGCAAAAGTCCTCAACAAAATACCAGCAAACCGAATTCAACAATACCTTAGAAAGATTATTCATCATGGCCAAATGGGATTTATCCCTGGGATGCAAGGATGGCTCATCATATGCACATTAATTAATGTGATTCATCATACATATTAACAGAAAGAAGGATGAAATGATTGCCATTCTAACTGGTGTGAGATGATATCTCATAGTGGTTTTGATTTGCATTTCTCTGATGGCCAGTGATGATGAGCATTTCTTCATGTGTTTTTTGGCTGCATAAATGTCTTCTTTTGAGAAGTGTCTGTTCATGTCCTTCGCCCACTTTTTGATGGGGTTGTTTGTTTTTTTCTTGTAAATTTGTTTGAGTTCATTGTAGATTCTGGATATTAGCCCTTTGTCAGATGAGTAGGATGCGAAAATTTTCTCCCATGTTGTAGGTTGCCTGTTCACTCTGATGGTAGTTTCTTTTGCTGTGCAGAAGCTCTTTAGTTTAATTAGATCCCATTTGTCAATTTTGTCTTTTGTTGCCATTGCTTTTGGTGTTTTGGACATGAAGTCCTTGCCCACGCCTATGTCCTGAATGGTAATGCCTAGGTTTTCTTCTAGGGTTTTTATGGTTTTAGGTTTAACGTTTAAATCTTTAATCCATCTTGAATTGATTTTTGTATAAGGTGTAAGGAAGGGATCCAGTTTCAGCTTTCTACATATGGCTAGCCAGTTTTCCCAGCACCATTTATTAAATAGGGAATCCTTTCCCCATTGCTTGTTTTTCTCAGGTTTGTCAAAGATCAGATAGTTGTAGATATGCGGCATTATTTCTGAGGGCTCTGTTCTGTTCCATTGATCTATATCTCTGTTTTGGTATCAGTACCATGCTGTTTTGGTTACTGTAGCCTTGTAGTATAGTTTGAAGTCAGGTAGTGTGATGCCTCCAGCTTTGTTCTTTTGGCTTAGGATTGACTTGGCAATGCGGGCTCTTTTTTGGTTCCATATGAACTTTAAAGTAGTTTTTTCCAATTCTGTGAAGAAAGTCATTGGTAGCTTGATGGGGATGGCATTGAATCTGTAAATTACCTTGGAGAGGATGCGGAGAAATAGGAACACTTTTACACTGTTGGTGGGACTGTAAACTAGTTCAACCATTGTGGAAGTCAGTGTGGCGATTCCTCAGGGATCTAGAACTAGAAATACCATTTGACCCAGCCATCCCATTACTGGGTATATACCCAAATGAGTATAAATCATGCTGCTATAAAGACACATGCACACGTATGTTTATTGCAGCACTATTCACAATAGCAAAGACTTGGAACCAACCCAAATGTCCAACAATGATAGACTGGATTAAGAAAATGTGGCACATATACACCATGGAATACTATGCAGCCATAAAAAATGATGAGTTCATATCCTTTGTAGGGACATGGATGAAATTGGAAACCATCATTCTCAGTAAACTATCGCAAGAACAAAAAACCAAACACCGCATATTCTCACTCATAGGTGGGAATTGAACAATGAGATCACATGGACACAGGAAGGGGAATATCACACTCTGGGGACTGTGGTGGGGTTGGGGGAGGGGGGAGGGATAGTATTGGGAGATATACCTAATGCTAGATGACACATTAGTGGGTGCAGCGCACCAGCATGGCACATGTATACATATGTAACTAACCTGCACAATGTGCACATGTACCCTAAAACTTAGAGTATAATAAAAAAAATAAAATAAAATAAAAAAAAAATAAATGAAAAAAAAAATATTTTTCTGATCATTAAATAGCAAGAAATAAAATAAGAAAAAAACGTATTCAGATCCCAAAAAAAAAAAAAAAAAAAAAAAAAAAGAAAGAAGGATGAAAGCTATATGAGCATTTCAATTGATGCTGAAAAAGCATTTGATGAAATTCAACATCCCTTCAGGATAAAACCCTCAAAAAACTGAGGATAGAATGAACATACTTCAACATAATGAAAACTATATATGACAGACCTACAGCTATTATACTGAATGGGGAGAAACTCAAAGCTCTTCTTCTAAAATCTGGAACATGACAGGGATGCTCCCTGTTACCACTGTGATTCAACATAGTACTGGAAGTCTTAGCTACAGTTGTCAGATGAGAAGAAGATATAAAAGGCATTCAAATTGGAAAAGCTTGCAGATGATAGGATCTTATATTTGGAAAAACCTAAAGACTCCACAAGAAACCCTTTACAACTGATAAACAAAATCAGTAAAGTTACAGGATATAAAATCAACATATAAAAGTCAGTAGCATTTCTATATGCCAACAGGGAGCAATGTGAAAAAAAATTTAAAAAGTAAACTCATTTACAATTGCCACACACAAAATTAAATACATAGGAATTATCTTAACCAAAGTAGTAAAGATCACTATAATGATAACTATAAAACACAGGTGAAAGAAATTGAATAAGACATGAAAAAATGGAAAAATCTTTCATGTTTGTGGATTGGAAGAATCAATATTGTTAAAAATGTCCATACTACCCAAGGCAATCTGCAGATTCAATGCAATCCCTATCAAAATACTAATGACATTCTTTACAGAAATAGAAAAAATAATCCTAAAACTTATATGGTACTACAAAAGACACAGAAGAGCCAAAGCTATCCTAAGCAAAAAGAACTAACCTGGAGGAATCACATTACCTGACTTCAAATTATATTACAGAGATATAGTAACCAGAACAGCATAGTATTGGCATAAAAACAGACAATGAAACAGAATAGAGAACCAATGAAACAGAATAGAGAACCCAGAAACAAATCCACACACCTACAGTGAACTCATTTTTTTGACAAAGTTGCTAACAATATACACTGTGGAAAAGACAGTCTCTTCAATAAATGCTGCAAGAAAAACTGGATATCTATATGCAGAAGAATGAAACTAAGCCCCCATCTATAGCCATATATGAAAATCAAATAAAAATAGATTAAATACTTAAATCTAAGACCTCGCACCGTGAAACTACTACAATAAAACATTGTAGAAAAGCTCCAGGACATTGATCTGAGCAAAGATTTCTTGAGCAATATCCCACAAGCACTGCCAACCTAAGCAAAAATTGTAAAATGGGATCACATGACATTAAAAATTCTTCTGCATAGCAAAGGATACAATCATCGAAGTGAAGAGACAATCCACAGAATCGGAGAAAATATTTGCAAACTACTCATCTGAGAAAGAATTCATAACCAGAATATATAAAGAGGTCAAACAACTCTACAGAAAAAATTCAACAATCTGATTAAAAAATGGGCAAAATATCTGAATAGACATTTCTTTAAAGATGACATAAAACGGCAAACAGGCATATGAAAAGGTACTCAACATCATAGATCATCAGAGAAATGCACATCAAAAGTACAATGAGATATTGTCTCATCTCAATTAAAATGGCTTATATCCAAAACACTGGCAACAACAAATGCTGGAGATCATGTGGAGAAAAGGGAGCTCTCATACACTGTTAGTGAGAATTAGTACAACCATTATGGAGAACAGTTTGGAGGTTCCTCAGAGAAGTAAAAATTGAGCTACCATATGATTCAACAATTCCACTGCTTGATATATACCCCCCAAAAAGAAAATTAGTATATTGAAGTGATATGTTGCAGTCCCGTGTTTGTTGCAGCATTGTTCACAGTAACTAAGATTTGGAAGCAACCTAAGTGTCCATCAATGGATGAATGGATAAAGAACATGTACATAAACACAATGGAGTACTATTTAGCCATAAAAAAGAATGAGATCCAGTCATTTGCAACAACATGGATGAAAATGAAAATTATTATGTTACATAAAATAATCCAGGCAGAGAAAGACAAACATCACATGTTCTCACTTATTTTGGGGTTCAAAAAATTAAAACAATTGAACTCATGGACATAGTAGAAGGATGGTTACCAGAAGCTAGGAAGTGTAGTAGTACCAAGTTGCATGGAAGGCACGGATGCTTAATGCATACAAAAAAAATAGAAAGAATGTATAGGACCTATTATTTGATAGCACAATAGGGTGACTATAATCAATAATAACTTAATTGTACATTTTAAGATAACTTAAAGAGTGTAATTGGATTATTTGTAACTCAAAGGATAAATGCTTCAGTGGAAGGATTTTTAAAAAAAGCTGTGGAAAGGCAGGAGTAAAAAATTAACCAGTTTTTTATTTTTTTGATATAGTTATTGATCACCCATCTGACATAGTTAATTCTGAGTATTTTTAATGGTTGCTCAAGAACTACCCCCTCCCTCAGTATACACACACGCACACACACATACACACACACACACACACACAGACACATTTCCCTTTCCCCTTTAATCAGGCAAATGATAAAATAGAATGCTAATCAGTGGCCTACGGGAAAAAACAACAACAACAACAAAAAAAAAAACAGCAAACATGGCATTTCAGGAGGAAAAAATACATGGTTTCTACAAGAGTAAGTGAAGGGTGATGGTATTTCTAGGTAGCATCACAGGAGACTCATTTCACAATTTAAATAGGGGTAACTACCAGGCTAAAAAAGAGATTGGCCCTGATCTGAAGGCATAGCACAGAGTACAGAAACAGGTACTGGAATATTAGCATCCCGTTGTGCTCATAATTTTTTTTTTAATTTACTTTCAGCTGTGCAGCTTTCTCTAATGCTTCTCCTGTGGCCATGCTGTTTTTTAACTTTGGCATGTTTTATTAAAAAGAAGAACACAGCAGTAATTGAATTCCAGAGAACTAAACATCCCCAACTTAGATGTCTTTAACAAAACAAGAGATTTTGTGTTGCTTTAGGGACAACAGAAATAGAAGTTACAATTTTGATAAAACTCTAAAGAAATAAAGGTCACTAAGGGACGATTGTTTCCTGGTCACAATATCATGTTTTATGTCCTCAAAAAGCAACAAATTCTATACCTGTAACCTCAGTAACTGAACAGCAGAGAAGCATTCCTATATTGTTGAAAAGAGAAGTTTTTGTTAATTACCTTGTTTTCATGTTCTTTCATTTCTTCTCTTAGTTATTTCTCAATGTCTACTAGTCTCTGCTGGTTTTAATTTCAGCTCATTTCCTACTCCAACTACTAGATCTACTCCTTTCAAAATTTGTTTTCCTTAACATCTCTTTAATTCAGTAAGTGGATTCATTTGAAAAGACATAAAAATGGCACCGATATTATAGGATGTGGACCACCACGACAAAGAGAAAATACCTAGCACATCTAATAGGAAAGAGGACTAATATTTGAGTGGGTTATTCTTATCATTTTTTCATTGTAAAAGTCACATAAAATACATTTTTGTGAAATGACAAGATAGCCATGGAAAATGCCATGTATTTTGCACTAAAGGTTTGGACACTGTCACATTTTCCTGTGAAGTATATTTTTGAGGCAATTATTCCTGACTAATTATCTTTATGAGTTAAGTCTTCTCTAGGGCCAAGCAGATTCAACACTTACCTCTAGAAAAAGGATAAATTGTACTGTGAATTTTGATACCTAAAAATTAGTTAGTTATCAAATTATTCTTTTAAAAACCTGATCATTTACTTATAGATTGGCACCTAGTGGTCTTGGGCCAGGGAAAAGGTCATTTCTACCCTAGTTGTTTCATAGTATTTCTGAGGCCATATTCCTTGGTGATCATTCAAGGGTACCTTTGTGAGTAGTATAGCTTTAGAATTCAGTCTGGGGATTTTATAGAGAATGGAGGATTCAGCTTTTCATATTACTTTCCATCATGTTTACTTCCTTTCAGACCTCAATCTTAACCTATAGATGATACTTCATTTTGAGTGAGTTTTTGCCATAACTTGCTTGCATCTTGATTCTCCCTGTACTTTTAAGGCCTAGGAGAGATAATAAGCATGTGCTGTCATTTTGTGCAGAAAATATAGGAAAGATAATTCCAAATCAAGTAGCTAAGGTAAATTCAAGCAATCCATGCAGAAGTAATTGTATAAAAATAAACACTAGATAATAGGGGGAAAAGCAAGATTTTTAACATACACAGTGAAGCTGTATTATGAATCCCTGTTGCTCATGCTAAAAAATTCATTTGAAACGTTGCTACAAATGTGAGTAACTTACAGGAGATACTGATTTTAATAAGATCCATTTGGTGCCTTAATCACCAAATCTCGGACAGGATTAAGTATAGATATCTTTCACATGAATGTTGCAAAATGTCCCAATATTTTAGGATATGCCATATTTTATTGATTTTTTTTACATTTTAGTATCTCTGAAATCAGTACATCCCTTAAAATTGATGGTATGTCAGAGTTTAATAGATAGATTTTTTTCTTTCTTGATGTAAAAATATAGTGCATCTTATAACTGATGGCATCCTAGATGTGATAAAATACAGTGTTATCTTGCTATTGTTCCTGAAGACATGTATATATGCTTTATTTTCTGTGCTTGACTATTTCAGCTTTTAAGAATGAAAGTTTCTGCCTGAAACTGGAAATCATAATTCTATTTTAGTAACTTTCCTTATGAATAGCCACAATTTAGTCTTGTCCCATTTTGGTGTAAACTTTTAACTTTCACATACACTAAATTACTAAAAGGATTGGTATACTACATATATAATCTAAGAGATATTTATTGACTAGACTAGATAAACAGAAGGATCAATATTTGTTTCAATTTTTATAATCAAATAATTCCTCTATTGTCTATTATAGTGAAAATTGTTAGTATCACAGCAATAATAGTATATTAATTTTCTAATGTCAAGCAAATTCAAATTAAGTTACTACAATCATTTTAACTTTGGCCCAAAATTTTATTTTGGTGGTGACAAGAAAAAATGTATAAATGCAATAAAATGACAATGATAAAAATACAGTTTTAATGTACTTCAGTTGTCATCAAAATGTCATACAGCAATATGAATTAACATTTACGATAAAAATGCAGAAAATATTTTAAATTGTCTATTAGTTAATATTTTTCTTTTGAAGCATATATGAGTTTAGAATGTACTATACCTGATACCACATTATAATTTGTAATATAAAACACAATTTCTAATAATTCATTGTCTCTGTCTTACTTGAACTTCAGAATATTTAAGTTGCTTATTTGCTGTGGGCAAAGCTGTTACAATCAATACAGTCTAAAGAATTAAAGTGGAATCTCTGAAAGCAAATAAACAAAGATTTTAACTAATTTTATGGTAAATTATCATAAGAGAGTGTTTTCTGTGGGCTTGCATTATCTACATTTGCATCCTACACTAAGTGAATTTATCATTGGGTGATTATTCAAACAATGTGTTCTACGGTAAGCTCCTAGAAGTCTAATGCCAGTTTTTATGACTCTCTATTTCGTCAGCACCTAACAAAATGCTTTGAATTCAATAGAGTCTCAGTAATAGTCTGTGGAATAAACTGCACAACTATGAAAACATATTGCCAAGCTCCAAATGTGGGGTTATATGTTCTTTTCTTTCCACTGTACAATAGAATAATTGCAGACTCAAACATAGTAATTCCTCAACTGAGAAGCATTTTCAGTAATACCCTACTACTTTTGGATTACTAGCTATGATATAGATTAAAAACTTACCTCTCAAAGTCTCAGTACTATCATCCATGAAATCAGGAGAAGAGACCGTGGAGTTCACATGTGGACAGAAATATTTCATGAAATAAAAAATAGTATACAACAATAAGTTAGTATATATTTTCAAAAAGTTAGAATATTAGGAAAGTTTCCAACACAAATAAATGATAAATAGTTGTGATGGATATCCCAATTATCTTTATTTGATCATAACACATTATATACATGTATCAAAATAGCATATGTACCCCATAAATAAATATATACAATTCTTATATATTAATAAAAATATCATAAAAATTTAAGTTTTTAAAAATAAATTCAGGACTGCCAACTTGCATGACATTGGGGAGCAACATCCATATCTGTAATGTAGGGGTTGACTTCATTTTTGAGGTTTCACTGCTGACAGATTTCAAGTTCCAACACTTCACCTTCCCATTCTGCCCCATATCTTGGCAAACTGATAAGAAGGCTCAGGTGATCCCTCCTTTTTGATGTCAGCAGAAGTTAAACCACACAGACTCCAGCCTGTGTGCAAGAATCCTAACCCTGGCCCTAACCACATAAACACCCCAAGCCATTTCTTTTCCCTAATCTATCAAGGCATTTTCAGACCAACTTGGGAGCCATCTTGCTATTCCTTGAAAGCTTCGCTATCTAGTAATAAACCTTTTCATGCCTTCTTGGTGTGTATGTGTGTGTGTTTGTGTGTGTGTGTGCACATGTTGTGTCATCAGTCTTGCCATCAAAACGACATTCTGAGTGTGGAGAAATCCACCCCACTTATGCAGAGTAGCCACAACAATTTCCATTAGTCAATGTAAATGTATTTCCTTTTAGTTTTACAGTGTATAGTCAGTACTGCTGTACACAATGGCTCTGGATAGTTTCATCTATTTTTCAGTATCAGAAATACCACCAGTTTTGTTTTGAATAATGGACTTATATTTCTGGAAAGAGGTCAACTATTTTCAACATACATTTCTCATCCCTAGGACCTCTTTACAAATAAAGAAAGAAGACGACTGAAAAATTAAATAATTCATGCAGGGTCCCCCATTAGAAACCAAGTTTTTCAGTTCCCAGTTCAGTGGTATTTGCACTACATTGCTTTGCTTTTATGGCCTATCCACCAATTCCAAAGAGATCTTGCCTTGGGATGTGTCTGGGTGTGGCTTTCTATTTACATATAAAAAGTCATTCTGGAAGTAGCACAAATTTCATAGCCTCCCAAGCAGCCATGTCTGCTGACCCAACTCTTCCCTGGAACTATAGACGATCTCCTGAAAGTCTAATAAAACTTCCTAAAAGGATTTCTTGGTAATTATGAATCTCTGAGTATAATGTCTCAAATTAGTCTTCAATTCTAACATATTTGTATTACGGTACTTCTTCACTCAAAGCATCAATTTAATAAAGACATCAGTAATGTGGATCAATTATTATTTATTGAAAAGCTTAATTTCAGAATGCTCTTGGATAATCCATGGGATTAGATTACTACCTGATAATGTAACCTATATATTTTATAGTGAAGGAATACTCACTAGGATGTTATCCAAACAGATTTTACAGCAATTAAACTGCAAACTTCTAGGGACCAATGTATTTAAATATAACATACCAGGCATCAGTTCAAAAGTTGCATTAAATCATTGATCCAATGTGTTTCAGCATTAAAATACATAATTTACTACTGTATAACATAGCAATAACTGCAGAGATAGGGACACAGAGGAAGATACAGAAATAGAGAATAAGCCAACAGGAAAATTAAAAATTAATTTCACATTTAAAAAAATAGCTATTCTGTATCTGAGGAAAAAGAAAACTCTCCCTGAAAAATGTAAATGTAACATTGAGGTTTACTAAGTGAAAGCAGGCCCCTCTCATTTTATTTTTAATAAAGTAATTCATTACCAGTAATTGGCATAAAATTTCTCCCTAAATGAGACCTTTTGTTATTGAGAGAAAAAATAATAATGCTCAATCAGGAAATCTCCTTTTGTGTACTCCCAAACAATTGGCTGCCAGTTTCTATTTTTGCTGGTACATGTCAGTTCTATAAAGTTAATAAACCTATTATTCAGATCCTTGTTATCTAAGGCAGCATCTTTTATAATTTTGAATGTCTAAGATGTTTTTAAATAACTTAAATCTTTAAAAATGAGAATGTAATCTGTGACCTTATAGGTCAAAAACTAACTGCAATTATGTTTATCAAATTTCTGTAAGTAAGATCTCTAGGTTCTACTTCCCTATAGTTGTGGCCTTCTGAAGATAAAATTTATTTAATTATGATATACAAATAACTTGAAAATGGAGACAGTTATAATAAGCTGTGTAATTTTTTTCTAAAACCAGAACAAAACGGAAACTGCACTTAACATAGCAATGCATTATTACACACGTTCTGCCTGCATTTAAACCACTCACTGCATTATTCCTATGTCACCACGTCCCTGTTTTGTCACCTCCCCCACCAATTTCCATGTTCCACCTCTGTCAGTTGAGTTTTAGCCAAGCTATTCACCAACATTGCCAACACCTGCTTTGATACTATGGCTGCCATCGGCTTTTCCGTAAGAAAACTCGATGAAACAGAACAATTTCCTGAAGGGTTCAGAATTGCAGCCAGCAAGACTTAGCAGGATACCAGGAAGATGTTCATTGGGGGACTATCCCATAATTTCGTAAGCCAGCTCTTCTCTAATACTTGTCTCAATTTGGCAAGATCTTACACTTCACGATTAAAACCTTCTCAGACACTGAGCTATTCAGGGGGTTTGGATTTGTACTTTTCAAAGATAGTGACACTGTTGAAAAGGTGCTCCAAGTGAAACAGCACAAATCAGATGACAAGAAAATAGATTGTAAAAGGGCTAACACAATGCAACCTAGATTCCCCCCTAAAAAGGTTTTTGTGGGTGGGGTGAACCCTCGTCTGTCTTATAAGCTTTCTTATCAGAAACATATCTTACTTTTCCTTATACCCTTTGCATATAGAATTATTTATTTTATATCTAGTAGTTTTAATCACATATATTAATGTTAACTCTTAGTAACCCTTATATTTAGTGAAAAACTTAGGAAGTGGGCAATTTTAATTAGGTACTAGATGCAGGGTCCAGGACAAAGGACAGAGCTGTGAAGACAATGCCTGGAGGATCTAACCCCTCCCAGCATGGCCAAGAAACACAGGTGGGCTAGGAATGATGGGCCCTGAGTATTGTCCTGAGGTCTCACTGGAGTCACTTGTCTAGGTCTCAGAATCTAAACACTTAGAATTAAGAAAATATCATGGTAAGATGTAGGTAAGGCTTTGGAGAATCCTAGCAGTCAGCCCTAACAGCTTTAACTCACAGATAAATTAAGCAAGTACCAAAAGTACTACAGAATCAACAGTTTTATGACTTTAAAACGCTAGTGGAGACAACATAAACCTGTCTGAAAAATAGATGCAGGCAAAAATGTCTAAATTAAATTCTAAAGACATTCCTATTTTATTTTACAAACAATTTAAAAACTATCTGTATTTACCAAAAATCACTAAAGTCATGTTAATGTGAAAAGTGTTTGGACTTCTTTACTTAATTTATGACTACTTATTTATTTATGAGTCAGTTTCATACCTATGTAGACAGTATACAGACAGACAAGTACACATGTGCATATAAAGACACAGACAGACACAAAAACTTTATAGTTTTGACTTTACAATTTTATCTATAAGACCAGTAAAACTCTAGTTTAAAAGAATAGTTGGATTAAAACTATGCCTTTATAAATGGAACAGGCTAAAGATTATTTGTCCCACAGGGTCCAAGCCCTTACTGAGTTTCAAAGAAAGCATGGTAGCAATTTATATCTCAAAGGACAGAGGAAGACAGAATTTTTGCTTTCTCAAGAAGAAGTTTCGGTGTGGTAGAGGAAGATTAAAAATGGATGCCAAGGTAACACCAAGAGGGATTTACTATAGAATTATATAAGGAGATCAATTTCATTTAGATAGGTAGCTTTTAATTTAGTCTGTTTTTCAACTGGACAACTGAGTGCAAGGCAGAGCCCATGAAACAAGAGGGCCAACAAAGCTTTTGCAGTTTGTAGGGCCTAATAATTTAAATATGTGAAAAGCAGGTGCAGTTGGAAGGTAGAGTCTTTAGACCTTTAAAGGTAAAAAATTCCAATTTTACATTGGATCCTGGCTCCCCAAATAAAGGGAAATGCATGCAACATTTTCACAGTGTACTTTACTAAAAAGACATTTTTGTAAGTGTTCAAACTGTGTGCTTCTTATCTAAATGTGCAGGGAAAGGAGTAGCCCCCTTGTAGTAATAAAAATTTACTGTAAACAACTGCCCTCAACCACCTCCAAAGCTGCTGTTCTCAACAATCATCACACACACCAAAGTCAAGTCCTCTCTCGCAGTACAAAGTAATCTCTGGTACCCTCAAAAGCCAAAGAGATCAGGTAATGCAATACAAAAAGAGAGTAGAGTTTTAGACTGAGAGGAATCTGTTCACAACTCTCAGTCTTCACCACAGGAAGACAGAAGACTCCAAAAAGAGGACGGTGCTGACTTTTTTTGTGTTTCTTAAGGTTTCTGAGTTCAGAAACCTTAACTCAGCATAGGAAAAGAAACTATCATCAGAGTAAACAGGCAACCTACAGAATGGGAGAAAATTTTTGCCAACTATCCCTCTGACAAAGGGCTAATATCCAGAATCCACAAGGAACTTAAACACGTTTACAAGAAAAAAACAAACAACCCCTTCAAAAAGTGGGCAAAGAATACGAACATTTAAGGCTTTAATCCATCTCAAGTTAATTTCTGTATAAGATGTAAGGAAGGGGTCCAGTTTCAGTCTAAGGTGTTCACCGTTAGATACTTTTATGTAGCATTGAAGACAGCAAAGAGGAATAGAGTAGTAGATATAAATGGAAGAATATTTATTTATTTATTTTTATTATACTTTAACTTCTGGGATACATGTGCAGGATGTGCAGGTTTGTTACATAGGTATACACATGCCATGGTGGTTTGCTGCACCCATCAGGTACTTCTCCTAATGCTATCCCTCCCCTTTCCCCCAACCCCTCAACAGGCGCCATTGTGTGATGTTACCCTCCCTATATCCATGTGTTCTCATTGTTCAACTCTCACTTGAGTGAGAACATGCACTGTTTGGTTTTCTGTTCCTGTGTTAGTTTGCTGAGAATGATGGTTTCCAGCTTCATCCATGTCCCTGCAAAGGACATGAACTCATCTTTTTATGGCTGCATAGTATACCATGGTATATGTGTGTCACATTTTCTTTATCCAGTCTATAATTGATGGGCATTTGGATTGGTTCCAAGCCTTTGATATTGTGAATTGTGCTGCAATAAACATACATGTGCTTGTGTTTTTATAGTAGAATGATTTATAATCCTTTGGGTGTATACCCAGTTATGGGATTGCTGGGTGAAATGGTATTTGTAGTTCTAGATCCTTGAGGAATCACCACACTGTCTTCCACAATGGTTGAACTAATTTACACTCCCACCAACAGTGTAAAAGCATTCCCATTTCTCCACATCCTCACCAGCATCTGTTGTTTCCTGACTTATTAATGATCACCATTCTAACTGGCATGAGATGGTATTTCATTGTGATTTTGATTTGCATTTCTCTAATAACCAGCGATGATGAGCTTTTTTCATATGTTCGTTGGCTGCATAAATGTTTTCTTTTGAGAAGTATCTGTTCGTATTCTTTGCCCACTTTTTGAAGGGTTTTTTTTTTTTCTTGTAAATGTGTCTAAGTTCCTTGTAGATTCTGGATATTAGCCTTTTGTCAGAGGGATAGTTGGCAAAAATTTTCTCCCATTATGTAGGTTGCCTGTTTACTCTGATGATAGTTTCTTTTCCTATGCAGAAGCTCTTTAGTTTAATTACATTCCATTTGTGAATTTTGGCTTTTGTTGCCATTGCTTTTGGTGTTTTAGTCATGAAGTCTTTGCCCATGCCTATGTCCTGAATGGTATTGCCTAGGTTTTCTTCTAGGGTTTTTATGGTTTTAGGTCTAACATTTAAGTCTTTAACCCATCTCAAGTTAATTTATACATGTAAGGAAGGGGTCCAGTTTCAGTTGCCTGCATATGGCTAGCCAGTTTTCCCAATACCATTTATTAAATAGGGAATCCTTTCCCCATTGCTTGTTTTTGTTAGGTTTGTCAAAAATCAGATGGTTATAGATGTGTGGCGTTATTTCTGAGGCCTCTGTTCCATTCTATTGGTCTATATATCTGTTTTGATACCAGTACCATGCTGTTTTGATGACTGTAGCCTTGTAGTATATTTTGAAGTCAGGTAGCGTGATGCCTCCAGCTTTCTTCTTTTTGCTTAGGATTGTCTGGCTATATGGGCTCTTTTTTGGTTCCATGTGAAATTTAAAGTAGTTTTTTCTAATTCTGTGAAGAAAGTCAATGGTAGCTTAATGGCGATAGCATTGAATCTATTAATTACTTTGGGCACTATGGCCATTTTCACGAAATTGATTCTTCCTATCCATGAGCATGGAATGTTTTTCCATTTGTTTGTGTCCTCTCTTATTTCCTTGAGAAGTGGTTTGCAGTTCTCCTTGAAGAGGTCCTTCATCTCCCTTGTAAGTTGTATTCATAGGTATTTTATTCTCTTTGTAGCAATTGTGAATGGGATTTCACTCATGATTTGGCTCTTTGTTTGTCTATTATTGGTGTATAGGAATGCTTGTGATTTTTGCACATTGATTTTGTATCCTGAGACTTTGCTGAAGTTGCTTATCAGCTTAAGGAGATTTTGGGCTGAGACGATGGGGTTTTCCAAATATACAATCATGTCATCTGCAAACGGAGACAATTTGACTTCCTCTTTTCCTATTTGAATACATTTTATTTATTTCTCTTGCCTGATTACCCTGGCCAGAACTTTGAACAGCAGTTGTGAGAGAGGACATCCTTGTCTTGTGCCGGTTTTCAAAGGGAGTGCTTCCAGCTTTTGCCCCTTCAGTATGATATTTGCTGTGGGTTTGTCATAAATAGTTATTATTATTTTGAGATACATTCAATCAATGCGTAGTTTATTGAGAGTTTTTAGCATAAAGGGCTGTTGAAATTTATCAAAGGCCTTTTCTGCATCTATTGAGATAATCATGTGTTTTTTGTCATTGGTTCTGTTTATGTGATGGATTACGTTTATTGATTTGCATATGTTGAACCAGCCTTGCATCACAGGGATGAAGCTGACTTGATCGTGGTGCAAAAGCTTTTTGATGTGCTGCTGGATTCTGTTTGGCAGTATTTTATTGAGGTTTTTCACATCGATGTTCATCAGGAATATTGGCCTGAAATTTTCTTTTTTTGTTGTGTCACTGCCAGGTTTTGGTATCAGAATGATGCTGGCCTCATAAAATGAGTTAGGGAGGAGTTTCTCTTTTTCTATTGTTTGGAAGACTTTCAGAAGGAATGGTACCAGCTCTTCTTTGTACCTCTGGTAGAATTTGGCTGTGAATCCGTCTGGTCCTGGGTTTTTTCTGGTTGGTAGGCTATTCATTACTGCCTCAATTTCAGAACTTATTATTGGTCTACTCAGGTATTTGACTTCTTCCTGGTTTAGTCTTGGGAGGGGTATATGTGTCTAGGAATATATCCATTTCTTCTAGATTTTCTAGTTTCTTTGCATAGAGGTGTTTATGGTATTCTCTGATGGTAGTTTGTATTTCTGTAGTATCAGTGGTGATCTGCCCTTTATCATTTTTATTATGTCTATTTGATTCTTTTCTCTTTCTTCTTTATTCTTCTGGCTAGTGGTCTATCTATTTTGTTAATCTTTTCAAAAAACTAGCTCCTGGATTTGTTGATTTTTTTGAAGGGTTTTTCATGTTTCTATCTCCTTCAGTTCTGCTCTGATCTTAGTTATTTCTTGTTTTCTGCTAGCTTTTGGATTTGTTTGCTCCTTCTTCTCTAGCTCTTTTAATTGTGATGTTAGGGTGTCGATTTTAGATGTTTCCCACTTTCTCCTGTGGGCATTTAGTGCTATAAATTTCCCACTAAACACTGCCTTATCTGTGTCTCAGAGATTCTGGTACATTGTGTCTTTGTTCTTATTGGTTTAAAAGAACTAATTTATTTCTACCTTAATTTCTTTATTTACCCAGTAGTCATTCAGGAGCAGGTTGTTCAGTTTCTATGTAGTTGTGTGGTTTTGAGTAAGTTTCTTAATCCTGAGTTCTAATTTGATTGCACTGTGGTCTGAGAGACTGTTTGTTATGATTTTCATTCTTTTCCTTTGGCTGAGGAGTATTTTACTTCCAATTATGTGGTCAATTTTAGAATAAGTGCGATGTGGTGCTGAGAAGAATGTATATTCTTTTGATTTGGGGTGGAGAGTTCTGTAGATGTCTATTAGGTCCTCTTTGTCCAGAGGTGAATTCAAATCCTGAATATCCTTGTTAACTTTCTGTCTCACTGATCTGTCTAATATTGACAGTGGGGTGTTAAAGTCTCCCATTATTATCGTGTGGGAGTCTAAGTCTCTTTGTAGGTCTCTAAGGACTTGCTTCATGAATTTGGGTGCTCCTGTATCAGGTGCATATATATTTAGTATAGTTAGCTCTTCTAGATTCCTTTACCATTATGTAATGCCCTTCTTTGTCTTTTTTGATCTTTGTTGATTTAAAGTCTGTTTTATCAGAGACTAGGGTTGCAACTCCTGCTTTTTTTTTTCCCTTCTATTTGCGTGGTAAATCTTCCTCCATCTCTTTATTTTGAGCCTATGTGTGTCTTTGCACGTGAGATGAGTCTCCTGAATACAGCACACCAATGGGTCTTGAATCTTTGCCAGTCTATGTCTTTTAACTGGGGCACTTAGCCGGTTTACCTTTAAGGTTAGTATCGTTATGTGTGAATTTGATCCTGTCTTTATGATTCTAGCTGGCTATTTTGCCCATTCGTTCATGCAGTTTCTTCATAGTATCGACGGTCTTTACAATTTGGTATGTTCTTGCAGCGGCTAGTACAAGGTTTTCTTTTCCATATTTAGTGCTCTCCTCAGGAGCTCTTGTAAGGCAGGCCTGGTGGTGACAAAATCTCTCAACATTTGCTTGTATGTAAAGGATTTTATTTCTCCTTTGGTTATGAAGTTTAGTTTGGCTGGATATGAAATTCTGGGTTGAAAATTCTTTTCTTTAAGAATGTTGAATTTTGGCCCCCACTCTCTTCTGGCTTGTAGGGTTTCTGCAGAGAGTTCCGCTGTTAGTCTGATGGGCTTCTCTTTGTGGGTAACCCAACCTATCTCTCTGGCTGCCCTTAACATTTTTTCCTTCATTTCAACCTTGGTGAATCTGACAATTATGTGTTTTGGGGTTGCACTTCTCAAGGAGTATCTTTGCGGTGTTCTCTGTATTTCCTGAATTTGAATGTTGGCCTGTCTTGCTAGGCTGGGGAAGTTCTCCTGAATAGTATCTTGAAAAGTGGTTTCCAACTTGGTTCCATTCTCTCCGTCGCTTTCAGGTGCACCAATCAAATGTAGGTTTGGTCTTTTCACATAGTCCCATATTCTTGGAGGCTTTGTTCGTTCCTTTTCATTCTTTTTTCTCTCGTCTTCACGCTTTACTTCATGAATTTGATCTTCAATCTCTGATATCCTTTCTTCCACTTGATTGATTTGGCTATTCATACTTGTGCATGCTTCACAAAGTTATCATGCTCTGTTTTTTAGCTCCATATGGTCATTTATGTTCTTCTCTAAACTGGTTATTCTAGTTAGCAATTCCGCTAACGTTTTTTCAAGGTTCTTAGCTTCCTTGCATTGGGTTAGGACATGCTCCTTTAGCTCGGAGGAGTTTGTTATTGCCCACCTTCTGAAGTCTACTTGTGTCAATATGTCAAACTCATTCTCCATCTAGTTTTCTTCCCTTGCTGGTGAGGAGTTGTGATCCTTTGGAGTAAATGAGGCATTCTGGTTTTGGGAATTTTCAGTCATTTTGCGCTGTTTTTTCCTCATCTTCATGGATTTATCTACCTTTGGTATTTGATGTTGGTGACCTTCAGATTGGGGATTCTGTGTGGACGTCCTTTTTGTTGTTGTTAATGCTATTCCTTTCTGTTTGTTAGTTTTCCTTCTAACAGTCAGGCCCCTCTGCTGCAGGTCTGCTGGAGTTTGCTGGAGGTCCACGCCACACCCTTTTTGCCTGGGAATCACCAGCGGAGGCTGCAGAACAGCAAAGATTGCTGCCTGTTCCTTCCTCTGGAAGCTTCGTCCCAGATGGACACCTGCCAGATGCCAGCCAGAGCTCTCCTGTATGAGGTGTCTGTCAACCCCTGCTAGGAAGTGTCTCCCAGTCAGGAGGCACAGGGATCAGGGACCCCCTTGGGGGGGGCAGTGTGTCCCTTAGCAGAGCTTGAGCACTGTGCTGGGAGATCTGCTGCTCTCTTTAGGCCCGGCAGGCAGGAATATTTAAGTCTGCTGAAGCTACACCCACAGCCGCTTCTTCCCCCAGGTGCTCTGTCTCAGGGAGATGGGAGTTTTATCTATAAGCCCCTGACTGGGGCTGCTGCCTTTCTTTCAGAGATACCCTGCCCAGAGAGGAGGAATCTAGAGAGGAAATCTGGATACAGCGGCTTTGCTGCGCTGTGGTGGGCTCCACTCAGTTCGAACTTCCTGGTGGCTTTGTTTACACTGTGAGGGGAAAACCACCTACTCAAGCCTCAGTAATGGCAGTCATCCCTCCCCTCACCAAGCTTGAGTGTCCCAGGTTGACTTCAGACTGCTGTGCTGGCAGCGAGGATTTCAAGCCAGTGGATCTTAGCTTACTGCGCTCCATGGGGGTGGGATCTGCTGAGCTAGACCACTGGGCTGCCTGACTTCAGCCCCCTTTCCAGGGGAGTGAACGGTTCTGTCTCACTGGTGTTCCAGGTGCCAATGTGTTATGAAAAAAAAAAAAAAAAAAACTCCTCCAGCTAGCTCGGTATGTCTGCCCAAACAGCCACCTAGTGTTGTGCTTGCAACCCATGGCCCTGCTGGTGTAGGCACTTGAGGGAATCTCCTAGTCTGTGGGTCATGAAGACTGTGGGAAAAGCATAGTATCTGGACTGGAATGCACCATTCCTTATGGCACAGTCCCTCACGGCTTCCCTTGGCTAGAGGAGGGAGTCCCCTGACCCCTTGTGCTTCCCAGGTGAGATGATACCCCATCCTGCTTTGGCTTGCCCTCCGTGGCCTGCACCCACTGTATAACCAGTCCCAATGAGATGAGCCAGGTAATGAGATGAGCCAGGTGCCTCAGTTGGAAATGCAGAAATCACCCACCTTCAGCGTTGATCTCGCTGGGAGGTGCAGACTGGAACTATTCCTATTTGGCCATCTCACCAGCCACTTCCCGAACAATTTTTAAGAAAGTAAGAAAGGAAGTGAACAGAGAAACCAAGCACATAATTTTAAAAGGATTTTACTGCACTGGAAAAAAAATCTCCAAAACAGGACCCAAAGACAAAAAGCAGGAAGACCTTATATACATGTAAGCTTATATATGCTGTGTGTGTGCATGTGTGTATATCTCATTTGGTACTTAAGCATATATTAATGTGCTTATATGAAATATATATACGAGATATATATATAGAGATAATATTCAAGATATATGTGTATCTTTAATATTAGCTTTTAATTAAGCCAACTTCTGACTATATAGCTCTTTACAAAGTTCCTTCAAATCTCTTATTATCAGATTTTAGGGAGGATGAACAGCTGATATTTCTAGTTTCTGATTTTTTTTAATCAAACGTACCCTCCCAAGTGACAAAGCAATATCCTAAAAAGTGAAGTCACACAAATGTCAAACCAAAAGTAAACAGTTCTCTTACCAGGAATTAAACTCAGGCCATGGCAATGAAAGCATCAAATCCTAGACACTAGATAACAAGGTGGAGTGCTTTTCTTGCTTGCTTTTTAAAATCAGTCTTGCAGGACATCCAAAGCAGGCAATTTGGGCTTTTATAGGAATTTAACTAGTTTCAGATCTGATCTCAGCTAGAATGTTGCTTAGCTAATTCCCTCCATGTTAGCATTTCAACATCAGGGTCAGCCATTAGGCCTGATTTAGGAAAAATTTGTTGAATCTGCATTTATGATGCTGTGGCTTTAGTTTTATTCATTTCCCTCTTTTAAAGACTATTAATCTCTTAATTATCTGTTTTATTGCACTACACAATTGTCAGCTAGGCACCAACTGTATCTTTTGGATACCCCTCACTGCAGCCTCGACCTCCTGGGTTCAAGCCATCCTTCCACCTTAGCCTCCCGAGTAGCTGGGACTACAGGCATGCACTACCACGCCTGGCTAATTTTTGTATTTCTTTTGTAGAGATAGGGTTTATAGTTGCCTAGGCTGCTCTGGAACTCCTGGCTCAAGCAGTCTGCCCACTTCAGCCTCCCAAAGTGCTGGGATTACAGGAGTCAGCCACCATGCCTGGGAATCACCAGACCTGGGTGGTCTTTTTAGTTAAGCAAAAAATGTTTCAAGAATCAGGCAGCCCCCAGAAACAGAAGGGAATCATAGAGACTCTGGGACTGCCACAATAGGAGTATCAGGGAAGGGGTCAAAGACCTAGGGAATTTCCTTAGGTGGTGATGATAGATATATTTTGTTTACCTCCTGAATGAAGGCAATTTTCTCAGAATTTCTTTTAGAAACTTTTCGGTTGCCATTGGAAGTAATTCTCCTATTTAACGTGTCTGGTTCTAAAACCAGCTTTTACCAATTGTGCATGCAAATAAATTATTTTAGGTATTTCAAAAGATCCCCATTTTCTTTTGGTCATTTTTGTTTATGACCATCCCCAATTAGGTGGGTCCACTTTCCTAGATATCTGTAAGAGGATACCCCATAAGTGTTGTACATAAACCAGCTGGGTTTAACTAATAGAAGTTGGTCACAAATGAAAAATCAAGACCAGATTTCAAAAATAGAAAGACAGCTGCAATTTTTAAAAAACCATTCCATATAAAACAAGACCACTGGTGCCTAACTGCCAATTCTTTGGCCCACACCTCTGCTATGAGACAGTAGCAGAAAAACATTGATCCAAATCCCATCTTGAGAAGCAGAAAAAAGGCAGTTCTCTCCAGAGCTCTTTACCAAATCTCCTGTCCAAAGACAGAGACTGAAGCCCCCACTCTTAAATGAAAGAGAAGTTTTGAAAAACAACTGAAATAAAGTCTAGACCTTTAATGATAAAGTAGGAGTTCCAAACTTAGGAGAATCCACCCAAACACGAAACATCCAATGGAACTTCTGAAGATATACTGATCATGCTGGTACCAAGTGCTTCTTTCAGAGAGAAACACAAGGTAGGTGGGGGAAGTCACTCTGAATCCTGCCAACTATGCCAGATATGTCAACCTAAAAGGAAGAAGCTGAGGCAAAATTAATATAAGTAGAGTGTTAGAGCCAAGCTTGAGGATTACAACCTGAAAGCATAGATTCAACTCGCTCTGAATATACACCCTGATTAACGGCAGTTAAAAGTGGATTTTTAAAGGCAAACATGAAGGGCAGGAAGTGGGCTATGACAAAGTTGTCAGGAATTCTCACTGGTTTACAGAAAGAACATTGATTAGTGATTGGCTATATATTGTTAAGCTATAGGGTGTGGGTTATAGTGTTAGGTGTGGTGTCATTAAGTTAATTTATAGCTACTAGTGGCAATAGCAAACAGTTTCAAGAGAGGAATACATTAGCTTAAAGGAGGGAGTAGGACATGATTGTGGTCTCATTTTCACATCTCTCTGGGCCTGATAATTAAAAGAACTTGCATTCATTAGATAAAAGTTCTTTTGTTTTCTCAAAAGTTATATAGCTTTAGTAAGAATCTAGTCATTTCTAAAATAAGCAACATGTGTTTCTTTCTCAAGAATATGAAAAAGTAATTGGAGAGGATGGAATGGGCCTGTTCTATGACAGTGAGAAGAAGAAAGTTGCAGACATTTTGGAAAAAAAAAAAAGTTGAGAAACAATATCCTAGATTCTAGAAAGCTATTTGTCCTTAGTTCCATTAAGAGTCAAAAACCATATAAATATCAAAACCTTTTAGATCCCAAAATGCTACAGGCAAATGAAATAGGAAGAGTTACAGGACAACTAAGTCTACTCACACACGGCATTTTCCATTTTTTTAAATGCTTATGGGGAACAGTTTACAATTCCCTTTAAGAAAAACAAAACATTCCGAAAAGGAATATTGAACTCTCAAAGGACAAACTTTATCATCCTGAGTCAACAGTAAACGCACAAGAATAGAAGAGATCAGCTGAAAGTAAGAATGGATGACCTTCCTGAAACACAGTGTCATTCCAAAGGCCACCTATGACTCACTTTCCCTTGTGCTTTAGTGCATTGCATTGAGGCGTAAGACACAAGAGAGCCACTTGTAATCTCATTCATAAATGACAGAAAGCCCGAGAAAAAAATTATTAAAGGACTGAGCAATTTACTTTTTTCTCACTGAAGATCGTTACAGGAAAAGCAAAGCAGAGTGGCTTTACAACCCATGGAAAGCAGAATTGTCATTGGTAAATCTATCATGTATTCCGAAAAAGTCTTTTTCTACTCTCTTCTAAAAAACTCTAAACAAGGGAACATGTAAAACTTTCCAAATTAACTAAGTATTATTTGAAACAGTACTATACCAATCCAAAATGCTCCATAAGTTACCTCAACCTCAATTTGCCTGATGCCTATTAAAATTACTTACACAAAACTGAGTGTGGTGGCTCGTGCCTATAAACCCAGCACTTTGGGAGGCTGAGGCAGGTGGATTGCTTGAGCTCAGGAGTTTGAGACAGTCTGGGCAACATGGCAAAACCTCATCTCTGCAAATAAAAAATAAATAAATAAATTAGTCAGGCATGATGATGTGCACCTGTAATTCCAGCTACTCGGGAGGCTGAGGTGGGAGGGTCACTCGAGCCCAGGGAAGTCAAGGCAGCAGTAAGCCGAGATCGCGCCACTGCACTCCAGCCTGGGCGACAGAGTGAGACCCTATCTCAAAAAAAAAAAAAAAAAAAAAAAAAACTTACACAATACTTTTTCCTACAATTCATAAACTCTTTTGTAATGAATCTCTTGCTAATAAAAAGTAATACATCAGTTATATTTTTGGTCTTTTGTTATCCTAAATCAGCATGCAATTTAACTTGGCCAGAGTTACATCAATCTTTAGTTTTCATAGAGTACCTCTTGGCCGCCTTGGGCAATGCAAATAACGAAATCTAAAGAAAGACACACTGAGATAGAGCATACAGAAAGAGCTTTGAAAATGACACTTGAATTCCAAGACAAACACCATGGGATTACTGTGGATCCTCTTCAAGCCAATGGCAATCTCAAATTCACCCACACAAGAGTTAGAAACTATTTTAAAGCTACTAATTGATAGCTGTTACAGACCTTATATCTGGCCCAGATTGTCCATTTACCTTTTTTTCACTTTCCTCATATTTTCAGCAAGAATGCCTGCCCCCTCCAGAAAAGGTCTGGAAGACCACTCTTATCTCTGGGTTTTCAAGTTAGCTTTGTATTCTGGGCAGATGAATGATTATTTAGTTCTGAAAGATGTTGGGGGAAATGTACTGCCTTAAACAATTTTGAGCTTCAGTAATGGCTAGTCACTACTTCTCATTGTTATGATGATTAGAACTACACACTGACATACAAGGACAGTTTTCATCCTCCACTAAACTGGATCAACAGTCACAATTACCAAAGTTATTCAGGCCAAAAATATGCTTTTGCCTGAATTACCAAGGCAATCACACCTACCCCTAGAGAGGCTACTGATTGAAAAGTATAAGAGCCTGATTGCAATAAATCTCCAGATTTCTCTGTCTTCATTTTCTTCCAGGATGGGTGTTCTCAGTTTTAATAAGACCAAGAAAATGTAAGATTCCAGAACTTCTAGTATTGTGAGAACAACAGAGTTCATTTAAAACTAGGAACAACATAGAGCTGTAAGGTAAACAGGGGAGAGGAGAGTAACAACAACTTGGAAGAATTTTTATCCTACTTTAACCCCTAGGAAATTGTGTGGCATTATCCTCTACTATGAAATCTACTGCTCCATTGGGGGAAAAATAGATAATCCACAGGGAAGAGAGGAGGGGGAATGGTTTGTATTATTAACAGTTTAAATGCATTATGGTCTCTCTTTAAATACGATCTTGATGAATTGTTCTTAAAAATGGTATTGATCTGGGTGATCAATCTTGGATCTTTTGTCAAAAAGGATTTTTTCACCTAAACTACAATATCGATTACTTGCATCGGAACAGAGTTTTAAAAAGGAGAAACACATTCAAGTCAAAGCTATTGCTGATGCCCTGAAAATACCTGAGTTGCACATCAACCCCCATTTTTTTTAAAAAAGCAAAACTGATTTCAGGAGCAGTCACTAGTGGGTCTTTGCTTCATCACCTATCTGTTCTGTGACAACTATTCTTAATCTTGTAGTCTCCTGCTACCTACCCCTTACTTTAACAGGCCAAGCAGCAATAACTGAGCTCTAGCCTTGCAAAACAAAGGCAAGAACAACTGACTTCCAAAGGTAGTTAACGGTTAAAATAAAGGTCTCATTAGCCAGCCCCTGAATCAATAAAGATAAACTGGCAATCTGAGTGAAGTCTTGAAGTTTGAAAATCTGAGTGATTCCAAGAGTAGCATAAACCCCGAGAAAAGCAGAGAAAATGCTTAAATATTGTACACTATATTCAGTAATTTGAAAGATTTATTTGGTATGTTAAGGAAGAATTTAGCAATCCTGGTGGGCTTGCATTTTTATGACAATGCATTGAAAAGCCCCTGAATATATGCCTTGGAATGAGCACAATAATGCAAGCACCAGCAGTAAAGGGATTATTGATATTGTTGGGGCTCAGAAAACAATAACCTAAAATGAAGGCCTCATAAGCAAAAGTTTTTTCTCTGACCTTCTGACTTTCTGTTTCTCAGTCCCATTGTACCCTGAGGCTAGCCATAGAAATTAGACTCCATCTTTCCTAAGGCACATCATAGAAACCAGAACTCCTTTTTCCCAAAGCCAGACATAAAACATAAAAATATTACTCTAGCTTTCCTTCTACCTTTTCATGTAAAAACTGGTCATTAAGAAAAATCTGACCTACCTTGTTTGACTGTAGGTCATAAGGCCCTATTCCAGACAGGGTCCTTCCTTCACATGAAGAAAGGAATTCATGCTCTGAGAGGTCAAGAAGAATCTAAATACTCAGGCATTGCTGGGTTTCCCTATTCCAACTCTTACCATTAGATCACACCATTTTTGTCCAATCACATTTCTACGTGACTGGTTTATACTTTGTTGAACCTAAGCGTAAAAATGGACAATTTCCCCTGTATCAGATGGTCTTCATTCTGAAGGTTCCTGTGTATATACATTACATACATTTGTATGTCTTTTTTCCTATTAATCTGTCTTTTGCAAGTTGATTTTTCAGGGAACCTTTATAGGGTCCCCCTTGGCCTCTACACTATTTATATTGTTAAGTCAACTCACTGCCCTAACATTAACTCGGAGAAGTACATCTAGGTGCTCGGGCCATGGTGGAGATGCCAGGAAAAGGGGCTTGATTTAGATAATCCTACTCAGCCACCTGGAAGAAGGAGTTATACAGACAAGAGACCTGATATTCTAGTGGGGATCATCTTCCAGTCCTGTGTTATACAACAGGAGCAGCAACAGTATTATCATTCAATGCCTTCTTTAGGCCCAAAGAGTATATCATAGACCCAGGAATAGTAGCCCAAATACAAAGTGCAGGAATAGTGACTTTAAAGAATGAGTAAGTTTATAACCATCACTTGCTATATCATGAATAGAAACAATCAAATGATGCATAAACATTCATGCTGAGGATTAATAAGGTCAGAATTCTATTTGACATTTTAAAGTAAAGAGAGAAGCAATATTGAACTACATACACAAAACAAATGAGTAAATGGTTAAATATTTTTGGCTAGATAAGAAAAAGATGTTATTCTTAGAAGAAAAGGAGGATGAAATAATATGTCATTCTAGAACCATTTCATCGTGAACATACTTTAACCTAACTAACCCATGAAAGAGTAGAATATGGAATGAGAGAAAAAATAACTTTACATTTGAGAAACCTGGCAACTACTAACTTGACCAGGTGAACAAGGTTATCGTCAGTAAAAAGTCACGCTGATTACATGTCCCCTTTCTCTGATGTGTGATGAGAATGGCACTTCATCTATGTTGTTTTCCTCCCACGAACCCCAAACCCCAGTCTAACCCTGAAAAAACATTATGAAAAGAAAACAAATTGAGGGATGTTCCACAAAATACCTGAGAAGCATTCCTCAAAACTTTCAAGATCATCAAAAAAAAGGAAAGTCTGAGAAACTGTCATAGCCCAGAGAAGGCTAAGAAGACATAACAAATAAATTTAACAGAAAAAGACTAAAAAAACTAGTGAAGCCTAAATAAATAAGCCTATGGAGTTTAATTAGAAGTAATGTACAGACTTTGGTTCCTAACTTGTGATAATTGTACCATAGTACTAATGAAACTGCCTTTGCAAAAAATCATAACTGAGAAAATTATTACAGTGAAAGAGAACTGACCTAACTTACTCCATCTTGCTTTGAACCTGCAAGCTGTCCTTGTTCATTCCTGTGTGTAGGCTGAACTAACTTTGGGAGGATGTTAGTTTCTAGTTTCACTTTGAAAGAAAGATGATAGCAGATCTTTCCCAAAACAAAACTCTTTTCTGCCTAGGGACTAGACAGCCTTTGGAGGACTAATAAATTATCTACAAGATTAGAAATTATGCAAGATTCTAAGCCTCCCCAAATTATTCCTGGGGATGACGTCACTATTGTAAAACCTAAGATCAGTGCTTGAGAGATTTTGCAGACTCCACTCAATGGATCAGCTGGCACCACCCAGATTGATAAACTGACTCATCTGATTTTTTGCCCCCCACCCAGAAAATGACCCAGCACAAGAGGACAGCTTCAACTCTCTATGATTTCATTTCAGACCCAACCAATGAGAACTCCTGACTCACTTGCCCCCAACCCACCAAATTATCCTTAAAAAGTACCATCCCCGAATTCTTGGGGAAACTGATTTGAGTAATAATAAAACTTCAGTCTCCCACACACCCAGCTCTGCGTGAATTACTCTTTCTGCATTGCAATTTCTCTGTATTGATAAATTGGCTCTGTTTAGGCCATGAACAAGGTGAACCAATTAGGCAGTTACAAATTTGGGGGCTCATTTGGGACCACCCTTGTGGCTACCTTCCTGTTGCTCAATAGATCCTCTCTGGTGACATATCCAGAAGCCAGCCCAAGTGGCTGCCTAGTTCTCTTCGATGGGGGGCTGATTCTGGCACTGTCTCTACCAGTGGGGCACTGCTGAACCATGATTCATGGATTTAATTGCAATAGAGAAATAGTTCCTGGAAAGAAGTCTTTAAATTGGCCAGGTGGTTATTCTAGCCACTACTAACACTTCCTTCTCCTGATTGATATGGCTCCCTTAGGGTCTTGGTTTGGGTCCTTCAGGGTTCTCAGTTTGGATTCTTCAGGGTCTCGGTTCAGCTCCTTCAGGGTCTCCGTCGACCCTCCTTAAATAGGAGGTTAGTTTGTAAGGAATACTCTTGGAATTATTGGGTAGGGCTCATGGTTTGAAAGGCCTTCTGTCAACCTTGTCTTTGTTGTATGTGCATTTGTACATGTGGAAGGGATCTTGGAAGGAATTGCTGATGGAAGTCCAGCAGGCCTAAACCTGAGAACCCTCCTTAAGGGTGGTCACATTCAGTGAGCCTTAAAGGAATTGTTAGCAGAAGCTCAAGAGGCCTGACTTAAGGTGACTGTTTGTTCTTTATCTTACCCAGAGACCACCTACTGAGTTCCTGGTCAGGAGGTCATCCCTTCCCACCTGGAGTAGATGAAAGATGACAGGGACCAGCAGGAGAAACTTTGAGCTTTGCCAGATTGATATTGGGTGCTAAATTAGGTGACTAGTGTTTGTTTTGTGTATTTTGCTTTGGCTTGGATGGGAAATGTTAATTCGGTTCCCCATGTACCCCATTAGGCAGCATCTTGAAAAACTGAGAGGCTTTTGTCTATGGCTCCATAAAACAGAAAATGATACTTTTCTTTTATAATGTGGCTTGCCCCCACAGCTATGGCAGTGAGCAGGGTCATCAAAAGCTGCTCCATTCTTCCGGAAGCTGCCCAAAAAGGGGAACTCAGAAATGCCAGCAAAAAGGACAAGGATTTGTTACCATCCAGATTTCTGCCCCCCCGCCCTCCATGTGTGTGTGTCTGTGTGTGTGTGTGTGTGTGTGTGTTTGTGTGTGAATAGTAAACATCACTGTCTCCTCTGCAAGGGTTTGTTTAATAGAAAAAAAGGATTTGTGAGACTAGTCTCAGGCTGTAGCGAATCTGGTGTACTTTGTGCTATCAATTTGTCTTTCTGTGTCATTCTGTAATGGAGAGAGGGGTATCACAGAATTGAACATGGGCTTCAGACTCCTATAAGCCTGTTCTTCAAGCCAGCCTGTCTGACTGATCAGTTACAAACTTTGCTGCAGGTCCCCAAAACTAATACCAGATGAGATATTCCTCTCATCTTGTTTTAGGTCCTAGAAAGCTTGACTTTGGGACCATGTGGGGGTAACTTCTCATGGCCTCCACCATCCAGAGAACATGAATTCTGGGATTCATGTCAGGTGACCAGTCTGAAAGGACACATGATAGTGTCATGTCTGGCCTTAAGAATTCTCTTGAGCAGTTAAGTCATTTGCAAGTTCAAAAATGACTGTCCTAGACCCCTTCTAGGAAGAGCAACAGTAGCTACTCTGTGCTTTAGCTCAATAGCTAAAGCTCTGTTCTTTCACAACATGTCCTGGGTTTAATTCCTAGCTAAGGGAATGAGTCATTTCTGCTTTATTATTTGCGTAACTTTTTGCCAGTTATTGATTCTTTCTCCCCCATGGACAGCTTCTGATTTCCTGTCTTGAATTTTCCTGTCTCTGAACTGCTTTTGGGGAGATTCTAAATCTTCTAAAACACAAAACAAAACAAAAAACTGCTTACCATCCCTTTGAGACATCTTATGCATCCATGGTTAAGTTATAAACTTAGTTAAGACTTATTAATTTCACATGGGAGATTACCTGTGGTAAAATTCAAAATCCAGAAATATTGACTGTCTGTCCTTGCTAGAGTCTAGTAATAAGAGTTTTTAAATAAATAGTAGCTCTGTGTTAAAATCAGCTTAATTAAAAGTGGATGCCCAAGGTATGTATATATTTAAAAGGCCTTTATGCTTTTTCTCTTCTTGAAAAAAAATTTTTTTGAAAAAAAAAATTTATTTGTTTATTTTTCTTCTCAGTTGACTGGAGTATTTCCCCAGTCTGTCTTCTTGCCATTCTTCATGCCCAAAGAAGAACTCCTAAGATAATTTCTGATAGCCTGGAATTCCTTGGGAAAAACAGAGAAGATTTTTCCCAAGAAAACGAACTCATTTTGGGAGAAATCTCTGTTTTTATCATGGAACCCCAGGAACTGCAAGCAGACAGGTCCTTCTCAAAATGTAAGGCTCTGCTCTGTTTTGCATTAGATTACCTGATCTTTGTGCATTTTAGGGGCATCAGAAATTACTTTAGTAAGGAAGAGAGATATAAAGAAAGTTACAGATATGAAGATATACTTATGGTAAGGAAGAAATTTTATATTATAAAGGATCTTTTACGGTAAATTATTGTCCTAAAGTAGAATGACTAATTATTTAGGAAAGAGGGAAATATAAGACAAGTTAGAAAGTCCAAGCATGTCATAGAGGGTCTGTGTAAGTTGTGATCGGGTTCATAAAATAGGAAAGAAAAATTTACAGCTGCTAGATCTTCTTTTGTCTGTGTATTTACAAGTGTTTTTTGTGTGTGATGTTTATATAAAGAATTTCTAATTAATCAGCTTAAAGAAAATGAAAGCACTTAAATATTTTGACAGAAAAAATCTCTAATGCTGTTTAGTTTATGTGACTTTAGTAATTTTTTTGTAAATAAAATGTTAAAGATTATTGGTAAAATAAAAATATCTTCAAAATATAGACATTTGGTCTAAATTAAGTCAGAGAATAAATTTGCTAAATGCTTTAATGTCATAAACTGCTTCTTTGACTTTTGAAAATTGTTCAATTTATCTGCTTTGGAACCATTAGTTTCTAGGTTGGGCCTGGGTACGTGTGGAGTTATCCATGCCTCCTAGCTATGCTGGAAAGAGTCAGAATTATCTGCAATTCTGTCCTGTATCCTAGACTCTGAACCTGGTACATAATTTAAATAGCTTACACTAAAAGGAAAAATTGTGTTTTTTTGATAAAAAGGCATGGTAATATTATTTTTTTTAAAAACTAATTTTGTCTAATTTAGAAAGTTTAAGAATTATTTTTAGTTGAAAAATAAAATACAAATGAAAGTTTAAGCAAGTTATAGAAGGTTGGTGAACAATTAACTTTGTAACGAATTCTGTATGTCAGCAAGTTGACTAAAATTAAAAGGATATTATTTAGTTCTTCCATAATGTAAATATTAAAACAGTTCAAGACCAGCCTGGGTAACATAGTGAAACCCCATCTCTACCAAAAATACAAAAAATTAGCCAGGCGTGGTAGCATGCACCTGTAGTCCCAGCTACTCGGGAGTCTGAAGTAGGAGGATTGCTTGAACCTGGGAGGCAGAGGTTGCAGTGAGCCGAGATCATACTACCTAACTCAAGCCTGGGTGACAGAGTGAGACCCTGTCTAAAAATAAAATAAAATAAAATAAAATAAAACAAACAAAAGCACACTGATACAGGGCCAGAATCTGGTCCCATATGTCAATAAAACAGAGTTTTATTTTTGGAGCATTGATTATTCTTTAACAAGAAAAAATTATAAAGATTTATAAAAAGTTTATGAAAATCTTACCTTGTGTTAAAACTAATTAAAACTGGACAGATTTATAAAATTTTATTAAAAACTAACTTTAGCATTTAAAATGCACTAATGCCAAAATAAAATTTGAATTTTTCTTTTGAAAAAGATTTTTATATAATATTGAGAGACAGTAAAAAATTTTTGTTGGTTTGCCTTTTAAGTAAACTGCAAAAAAAGGAGAAGAGAGAGAGAAGCAATAGATTCAGTTGGCCTCATGCTATCTTCATTGAGTCTTGCTGTTTGGAAAGCTGAGTCTCCTCTCTGATAGAGAGGAGAAAAATTTTAAAAATTGTCTTTTCCCTTTTAAAATTTTTGAGTTATCATTTTGAATAAATGAATGACTTATGGTGACCTGGGATTCTATTTTGTGATGTCAATGGTTTTAAACCATTGATACTTGACAAACTTTCCAAGATAGAATTCTGAGTTAAGTTGTAAAAAAAAATTAGATCCTCTAAAGTCCAAAAGAGACATATTATGCTTACTTGATGTATTAAAATCACACAGAAAGCATTGTCAAATATAATACAGTTTTTAACTTAGTTTGGGTTATATTCATATAAAATTAATTTCTTCAGAATTTAGAAAATATCTTATTTCTCCAGAATTTAGAAACTATTTGTTAGTATTCTCAACTTACATCAGTGTAGTTATTTGCATAAGTGCAATAAGAATCTGTATTCTTTTGTAACATGCTATTAATGTGTTATAAAATTGCATAGTATTTCTATAATTCTGTTTTGTCTCAGCATATGTTACCAGTAATAATTATAACTTTTATGTTAAATTGCTGTGTGTCAAAGAGATGACAAGATTTCCTTATTTAATGCATTTTTAACTATGGCTGTCCTGAGAATTTTGTCACCCACAGACAATTGTTGTCTTGTTTTAATCCTTTTCAAAAGGTGATTTATAGTTATAGAGCTCTGACCAGGTACTCTTGAATGCAGATCTCTGATAACTTTAAAATTGTACCATTAGAATAGAGAAAAAAACAAATTTCTAAGACTTTCATGGAGAGGTGATATATTAAACATTAGTAATCCTTTTATTTTCAGAGTCAAGAGAACTTTTTTTTTCTTTTGAGCTATTCACAATTTATAGCAATTGAGTAAATTATACTCCTGTAAGCATAATTTAGAGCATGTTGTTTTCTTACTACCTGATTTCTCTAGAATTTAGAAACTATTGGTGAGTATTCTCAACTTATGGCAGTGTAGTTATTTGCATAAGTGCAATACGAATCTGCTTTCTCTTGTAACATAACAAAATTGGAGATGCTGATTATTTTACCAAGGCTTTGACTAGAATGGCATAATTTCAAATATAAATAGACTATTTTAAAAAATTAAAGTTGACTTATAAAGCCAATAAATTCCCCTTGGAAAAACTGGCCTCCTACCTTGTCTTCACAGTCCCTGTACAGCAGGGATCCTTTATACTTTCAGTTCATTCATATGTGGTCACAAAGATACAAGAAGGATATTATTACAATATATCATATTCTACAGGGGAAATCAACTAAATGTGGTGATTTTTGTCTGTAATCATTCTCTGAGTCTTCAAAAACAATGTATTTTCTAAAGCTTTCTAAAGCCAAATAGATTCATCTTTAAATTGTCATAAGCTCCATAGACTGTTAAAAGCTACCTGGTATCTTAAATGCTAGAGCATCTCAGGGCTTTCCTCCTGAGATGCTGACTTTCTTGGCTTCTCACCCTCTTCTCTTTCTTTGGAACATTTTACGCTTTCCCACCTCTAAGCTGTGATTTTTTTTACCTCCCTCTCCCCACTTCCAAAACAATCTCTATTTACATGTGTGACTGTATTTATATAAGAATATAATGGAGCTCATGTTTACCATCCTACTGTAAATTCACGAAAATGTTTTATTCATCTTTGCATTTGCAAATCCTACTGCAGTGCCCAACACATGGAAGGGCTCAGAAATGTTTGTTGCATACACAAAAAGGACTGAAATTTTCAATCTCTTCTCCTACCATATGTTGCCATGTAAACAATACTCTAGCTAACCCATTGCTCACCTTAGAACATATGTAGAAATTTGTGCATGCTATTTTCTCCACCTGAAACACTGTTATCCCTCTTTTCTCTCTAATGCTCATTACCTTTTGGCCAAATGCATGAATACACTGAATTTAGAGAAGTTTTACATTGTTCCTTAAGGTCAGTCTCTGACAATATTGGGAATGGATATTAAGGCTAAATTAGGTGATGTATTACAAAACAATATCTACAAAAAGAAGGCACAAATAATTCAGATTTTAAATTGTCAGAAAAAATGAAACCCTAATCACTGGATATTGAAACAAAACAAATCTATGTAGTTGATTGCACACAGAAGTGTGTGCAATTGGTGAAGGAATGAACTGGATATGGACAGATTTTTAAAAATGAACTGCCAAATAAGAATTATTGCTCCCTACATCCAAAAAAGTACTGGGAACTTTATTGTTTGGAATTCTAAAGCCTTCTATTTGCACGAACATATCAACAACAACAACACAAAGCAAAGAGCAACTGAATGGGCATAAATCTGTAGTATTTGTATTGTTTACCCAATGTCACTTAATGCAGGTAATACTTCCAGATAGAAGCAAATCATTGTCCAGAGAAACAGTGAAAAGCCTAAAACTAGTTTACAACTGGGTACTGATTCACTGTATATTTTTCATTAAAAGATACTTGGTGTTTATCTTCATATTTCTCTTTAGGTCAAAAAGGCATACTTTTAAGTTTGTATTTATTTTCTTATCCCTGATTCCTCCAATTATAGATGTACCTGAAATCTTTCTTGTATTCCTATCTGACTCAAGTGTTTCACTGAAGCCACATTAACCTTCCTGTGTCCATCTCTGTCAGATTATTCTCAATACCACTTCAGTTGGTATTGATTGTATTCTTAAATCCTTTCTGCATGCCTTATGTACTTTGCACAAACCTCTGCAATTCTCTGACTCCGCAACTGTGCTTTCTGTGATTAGCCTTAATTTTATGTGTTGGTTGGAATTGGAAGGAGATCAGACATGGGTGTAAAAGCATGTTCTCCCTTATAAAATCTGGAACTACATACTCATAAAATAATCACAACTGTAAATTATTAGTCAGCATATTTTTCCCTAACATAGATATGTGAAAATTGTTTATGAGTTAAAAAAAGTACTATAGAATAAAATCTATACTTGCTACTTTTATTTCTTAGGCTGAAGATACAAAGTTTATGAATATTGAAATATATACTTTTTTGACCCAGCAAAAATAACTAGGAAGAAGTTAGCATTAAATAGTATATGAATAAAGTAATCAGACAGTCTTTAGAAGCCTTCTATAAGCATTATATGCACAGACTTCTCTATAATGTATACATTGACTTCACATATATATTCATATCTATGTTTGGATAACAATAATATCTAACTCTATATTTGCATGGTTCATGTGCAAGCATGGTTATTTTTATGACTTTTACAATTCAAGTATGAGCAATACAGATTTCATTAATTCAAGAAAAATCCAACCAATGCCCATCCTGCAAATAACTGTTACAAAGGAAAAAGGAAGTGGCATGTAAAGATTTTTTTCCTTTACCAAAAAAGTTAAAGTCACAAAAATAATAATTAAGTGATGCAAAACATCAAGAAAGGCTGCAATGTTTATGAAGTTTAATTCAACTCAACAGGTGTAGAGAATTCTGATCTTCATACACAAAAACCCAAAAACTAACAAAAACCCCTCAAAAGCCCAATTTTGGAATTTGTCTTTTTATCTGTTCATCCATAGAGTACTCCCAACTCTTCACATGACACTGGCTAATAAGGGGGTAAAGAAAGAAAATGAGAAACACAAGGTCACACACTGTTCCAATATTCTCCAGGTTATGCATAAGTGCTTGGAAAATGCATTCCTGGTCTATGGTAGATCCTAACCAAAACAGCGCCCAGGCAGCTTATGAAGTACACCATAACAGTTCTCTTAAGGAGGACTGTGAGACAGAGAAAGCATCATAGTAGAACTTCCCTTACTGTACACTGCATATTGTTCTTTGCACTGTAAGGGAGGAGACAGAGGCTCCCTTTCTACCAATTCTTCTTTTTTAAAAAAACTTTTAAATAGTCTTTGAGATGACCATAATTCTACTGCCTGTTTTAAGCAGTATTCCCAAGAGAAAAGCATGCTTGAATACCTACACATGTCTTGTGAAGCAGTCTTGAAACTGCAAAATTTATGTTGTCTTCCTACAACTCTACAACCAGACACATTTGCCTCCTTTACAGATGACAAAGAGGGGTTTTAAAATGAATCTCACCTAGGCAGAACTCCTACAGCTGGATTCAGCCGTTAATAACTTTTGATGTCAAATTAATTTTTAGTCTCTGTGCAATGTACTACATTCAGCCAGACTACTGTTTGGATACATTCAAAGTTGGTAGAGAATAGTATTTGCTAAAAGATCATTTTTCATACTATTTCTTAGCACCAATTTAAGTAATGGGCACTGGCAGTTACTGTGGAAAATGAAGAGGAAAAAGAGTAAGGAAAATCTCATTTTATCAAACAACCAACTAGACCAAGTATGTCAAACACATGCATTTTCATTTCACTAAAGAGAACAGGTTCAACAGAGCATTAAAGAACATATTACCACAGAGACAGCTCTATGGCAGCATAACAAATCAGGATACATCCAGGTTACTTTTCTGATTTATGGGTCCCACAGCATCCTTCTACCAAGATTGAGTCCCATGATAAGAGAGACAGATTAATTCTAAAGGCATATGTCATCCTTCATCTTATTCCCCATTCTCCAACAATTATGAATGAGATACCAATGTCTGAGGGACTATCAAATTAAGAGCTATAAGTATTTCAGGGATGGTCTAGATCTCAGTAAAAGAAATCCAAATAAGGTATCCCATATTCCCTAAAATAGAAAAATTATGATATTCTGCACGTACTGTAGCACTTGGTCTCCCTAACCCCAGCAACAGGAAATTCTTATTTTATATCCCCAGCTTCTGTGTCTTTTGTTATTTAATTTACAGTGTTTGTTTTTACAGGCATTCCACATTTGTAAAATAACTTTGGTAACTGGGTGCCTAACATTCACTCATTCATTTCTCAAGGAATAAATCTCCAGTTGTTTCAATTCAAACCTCCAATATATGTGTTTTGAGTTAATGTGTAATAAGAATAAATTACAAGTCAATATTTTTGTTATTGTACTACTCCATAAGAAAAATTAACATTAGGAATCTGATGACAATATTTCAACACCTAAAATATATAAAGTTGTAAGGCAAAACTTCCATAGAAAACGAAAGCTAAATCTCACAGATTCTAATTTCTTCAGACATTACAGAGGAAAGGAGTTATTTTAAAACATTTTAGACAGCTAAAGGTCATGGAGCATGTGTGTGGGAGGAGAGAACCTGAGTAAGCATACTTATTTTCACTAGGGGACCAAGAGTAGACACAATCTTTACAAAATGCTCCTTTTCACTGCCTCAAAAGTAATTACACAATAATGGGTTGTCTTTCATGTGGCAAGATGACATTATTGCCCCAAGATTAGTAGGTTAAATGCTTTGAATTGTATATCCAGAAGTGAGGATAGTTTTTTTCACTGATTCACTGACATGCTCAGATCCAGTAGCTCCTTGTTCCCAGGAGCAAACATTTAAAAGGCCTAGGCCTAGGACTAGGGTAAGGGGCTCACCCTGTAGCCATATAATTGAATAAATCCAACCAGGCCACACGGGAGTCAAAATTATGTTGTCAGCCATGACCTAGTTAGGTAAATAGCAATAGGTAAATAACTAGCCAGCAAGGTGCTTCATTAGTTTAGAAAAACACAGACAGTATAATTCCCCTAAGATTTTCATTCTAATAAAAGCTGGAGCTGAATAGAGCACTGGCTACTTTGTGGTTATCTCAGTTGGTTTACAAATAATCAAGAAATAAGAAAATTTCAAACTTGCAGCCCCTTTTATAAGTTTATATTAACTCTAGAAAGGTAGGCCAGTTCCCCCAAATTGTAGCAGATCAGCATGCAGGAGATAATGCACAACTGACATCCTCTCAGAGGCAGTTAGACTAAGAATCTTAAAAAAATGTGGCCCTCAGAACTCCACTGTTTAGTTTATTTCAACAAGCATTTAGTGAGTTCCTTTCCTTAAATGTGCCAGTTATAATATGTATTATACTATGAGCTGAGACCTTTAAGTTAAGAATGGCCCAGTACAGATCCCACAAGCTTGCTAACCGGTGGGGAAGACAGACACATATATAAACACCTTGATAAAGATGTATACAAAGAATGTTATAGGCTTACAGAGGAGAGGCTCTCAGAGGAGGCTATAAGAGTTAGCCAGATGGAAGGGGGGACTGGATGAGGAGGAAACAAAGGCATTTGGTGAATAATGTTCAGAACAAACAAACGTACACGTGTGTGGAATAGCATCTAAAATGTGGGGACAGATGGGGCTTCAAATAGTTTATAACTAAAGTGTGAACAAGGGATTTTTTGCTAAAGGTTTTAGTTTTACCTTTGTTTGTGAAATAACTCATTTTCCCTATGGTTTAATTTCATTGAGGGTACTTTAAAAAATATAGCTCCTTTCTCTTGTCTCCAAATTACGCATTGGCATTTTGCTTTCCCTGTAGCATTATATTTCACTTCTGCCTCTGCTACCTCCTTTCCCATTTCTGCCCCCAAATACTTCAAGGGAATATGAAAATCACCCAAAGGATGCAAGGAGCAAGCAGCTGTTTAAATATGCAAGGCACTATCCGGAAAGAGAAAAAGGGCTTTAACAAAACTTGAAGGAGATACAACCTGAAGAGACGGTACAAGACTAGGAGTTGCTGTCCCATGTGGCAAACTTTGCCTTTTGTGGCCTATTGTCATAGGGACCCAAAAACCAGCCTGGAAAGAAACCTACTTCTGTGGAAGCAAGATTCTTATTGTAAAACCGGGTACCCTCCTCAGCTCCCATTTTAAAATTCAAACCACTCACTGCCTTATTCCTACATCACCACGTCCCTCCCCCACCAATTCTGTCACCTCCCCCACCAATTCCCAATTTTGTCACCTCCCCAAGCAATTCCCACATCCCTCCCCCACCAGTTTTGTCATCTCCCCCACCAATTCCCACGTTCCGCCTCTGTCAGTTGAGGCTTAGCCACACCATTCGCCAACATTGCCAACACCTGCCTGGATACTATGGATGCTGTCGGCTTTTCCGTAAGAAAACTCGATGAAACAGAACAATTTCCTGAAGGGTTCAGAACTGAGGCCAGCAAGACTCAGCAGGATACCAGGAAGATGTTCACTGGAAGACTATCCCGTGATTTTGTAAGCCAGCTCTTCTCGAATACTTGTCTCAATTTGGCAAGATCTTAGACTTCACAATTAAAACCTTCTCAGACACTGGGCTATTCAAGGGGTTTGGATTTGTGCTTTTCAAAGATAGTGCCACGGTTGAAAAGGTGCTCCAAATGAAAGAGCACAAATTGGATGACAAGAAAATAGATCTTAAAAGGGCTAACGCAATGCAATCTAGATTCCCCTCAAAAAATGGTTTTTGTGGGTTGGGTGAACCCTCATCTGTCTAAAGGAAAGATCAGACAGTGCTTTGGGACATTTGGAGAGATTAAGAAAATTGAGTTTCCAGTGTGTCCAAAAACAAGTAAAAGAAGAGTTTTCTGTTTCATCACATGTACTGATTAAAAATTAGTGAAGAAGCTGTTAGAAACCAGATACCATCGGATTAGCTCAGGGTGAGGTGAAGTTAAAATTGCCCTCCCGAAAGAAAATATGAAGCCAACACACAAGTGGAGAATTATGTTCCATTTGCTAGGTCAGGCAACCTCTGGAGAGAGAAGGAGGCTTCTGTGCAAACCCAAATGCTTGTGGAGAAAACTGAGATGCTTGCCGCTGGGCAAACCAAGATGTCTGCGGAGCAAACAGAGATGTTTATTGGGCCTTTGGAGGTGGTGGAGACCTTTCTTCTGTGCTTGTTGAGGTTCCCTTCTCAGTCTTCAGTGAAGGATTTAGTTCATCTGACCAAGTATAAGGTAATTTCCATAATGCCTACAGCTATCAACAGCTATTAGCCCATTTTTAATGATTGTGGTGGAAACTATTATTATTATTATTATTATTATTATTATTATTATTATTATTATTATTTGAGACTCTATCTCATTCTTGTTGCCCAGGCTGGAGTGCGACGGCATGATCTCGGCTCACTGCAACCTCCGCCTCCTGGGTTGAAGGGATTCTCCTGCCACAGCCTCCAGAGTATCTGGGATTACAGGCGCCTGCCACCACGCGGGGCTAATTTTTTGTATTTTTAGTAGGGAAGGGGGTTTCACATGTTGGCCAGGCTGATCTTGAACTCCTGACCTCACTCAGGTGATCCACCTGCCTTGGCCTCCCAAAGTGCTGGGATTATAGGCGTGAGCCACCGTGCCTGGTGGGAAATAATTTTTTTGGATATAACTATGGGGCCCATGACTTACGACCTGCATTTACTTACTACTACATGCAAATAAACCAGGTCGCTCCCTTTGATAGTGGTAACCAGATTTTTTCTTTTCTTTTTTTTTTGAGATGGAGTCTCGCTCTGTGGTCCAGGCTGGAGTGCAGTGGCTTGATGTCTGCTCACTTATCAACCATTCTGAAGACAAAAGGTGAAGCCTACACTGTGGAACAACCATCCTCAAATGAAAAGTTTCATTACTCTTATTAAATGCCTGAATGACTATATTATAACAGATTGTTACTATTTCTTCTTCAACTATTTCCAGCTGTTTTTATTTTTCTGTGACCTTTTGACATTGGAGCTAGGACACAAGAACACAAGGATTTGAGACTCTTTTGTTTTGTTTTATGGAAGTTAAATGTTTTCTAAAAAATAAATGTTTACTAGCATTATAAGAAGCTACTTCTGTAGTGGTTTCTAATTTTGAGCTAGTGTTTTTATTTGTTTGTTTGTTTGTTTTTTGGTGAGAGGAGTGGGGAATTTTTAGCCCGGTATGTACTTTTGTTTGTTTATTTTTTAAAGGTGGTGTGTTCAGGTTCCAGCTACACAGATCCAGGGAAGGAGATCATAGAGTTTTACTCTAGATTTTCTAAATATTCAGCCAGTTCCTTGCACTCATTTAACATTTACAGAGGGTTATTCTAAGGCAGAAACTCTTCAACTGATAAAATTCAGAGAGAATCAGTTCCCATCTTAAAAGAGACAGAAGGAAACCAAGAAATGTAATACAATGTGGTTAAGTACTACATTGCAAAGGATAATGTGGTATTGCAGACACAGGCATCTAAAACAGGTGTTGGGAGTGGGTTGTCAGAAGAGTCGTGCAGTGGGTAGGCCTTTGCCAATGGGCTGTGCTAAAAGGAGAGAGCCTGCCAAGCAAACATGCAAAGGTATTGAATAAAGAATTTAGTATGAACTTTGGAAGAGAGCAAAGAGTTATTCTTAAAAGGGAAACAGGGTGCTTGTGGAAAATAAGGAAAGGGTCGGGGCAGGAGCTTGAGTATCTCTTGCCAACAAAAATATAATGAGTCATCAATGTGATCCACTCATGTAATTCTAAATTTTCTAGTAACTACTTTTTCAGAAAGCAAAAAAAAAAAAAAAGTTTATTTAAATAACAAGTTGTATTTAATTTAATATAACCAACATATCATTTCAACATATACTACTGATAAAAAAAGATTAATGAGACATTTTACAGCATTGTTTTCACACAAAGTTATCAAAATCCGGTATGTATTTCCCTTTTATAGCCATCTGAATTAGTCTGTTTTCATGCTACTGACAAAGACATACTGAGAAATTTACAAAAGAAGGTTTATTGGACTTACAGTTCCACATGGCTGGGGAGGCTTCACAATCATGGCAGAAGGCAAGGAGGAACAAGTCACATCTTACGTGGATGGCAGCAGGAAAGGAGAGAGCTTGTGCAGAGAAACTCCCATTTTTAAAACCATCAGATCTTGTGAGACTCATTCACGGTCATGAGAACAGCACAGGAAAGACCCACCCCTATAATTCAATCACTTCCCACTGGGTTCCTCCCGTGACATGTGGGAATTGTTGGACTTACAATTGGAGATGAGATTTGGGTGGGGACACAACCAAACCATACCATTCCATCCCTGGCCCCTATAAAATCTCATGTCCTCCCATTTCAAAACTAATGCCTTCCCAACAGTCCCCCAAAGTCTTAACTCATTTCAGCATTAACTCAAAAATCCACAGTCCAACATCTCATCTGAGACAAGGCAGGTCCCTTCTGCCTATGAGCCTGTAAAATCAAAAGCAAGTTAGTTACTTCCTAGATACAATGGGGGAATAGGCATTGAGTAAATGCAGCCATTCCAAATGGGAGAAATTGGCCAAAACAAAGGGGCTACACAGCCCCACGGAAGTCCAAAGTCCAGCAGTGCAGTCCAACCTTAAACTGCCAAAATGATTGCCTTTGACTCCATGTCTCACATCCAGGTCACACTGATGCAAGAGGTGGGGTCCCATGGTCTTGGGCAGCTCCACCCCTGTGGCTTTGCAGGGTATAGCCTCCCTCCCAGCTGCTTTCATGGGCTGGCACTGAGTGTCTTCAGCTTTTCCAGGTGCACGGTGCAAGTTGTCAGTGGATCTACCATTCTGGGTTCTGGAGGATGGTGGCCCTCTTTTAACAGCTCCACTATGTGATGCCCCAATAGGGACTCTGTGTGGGGGCTCTCACCCCACATTTCTCCTACACACTGCAGAGGTTCTCCATGAGAGCCCTGTCCCTGCAGCAAACTTCAGCTTGGACATCCAGGCGTTTCCATCCATCCACTGAAATCTAGGCAGCGGTTTCCAAACCCCAGTTCTTGACTTACGTGCACTGACAAGCTCAACATCACATGGAAGCTGCCAAGGCTTGAGGTTTGCACCCTTTGAAGCCACAGCCTGAGCTCTATGTTGACCCCTTTCAGCAATGATTGGAGCAGCTGGGACACAAGGCACCAAGTCCCTAAGCTGCACACAGCAGGGGGACCCTGGGCCCAACCCAGGAAACCATGGTTTTCATGCTAGGCCTCCAGGCCTGTGATGGGAGGCTCTGCCATGAAGACCCCTGACATGCCCTGGAGACATTTTCCCCATTGTCTTGAGGATTAACATTCAGCTCCTCCTTACTTATACAAATGTTTTCAGCCAGCTTGGATTTCTCCTCAGAAAATGGGATTTTCTTTTCTATTGCATTGTCAGGCTTCACATTTTCTGAACTTTTATGCTCTGCTGCCCTTATAAAATTGAATGCCTTCAGAAGCACCCGAGTCACCTCTTGAATGCTTTGCTGCTTAGAAATTTCTTCCACAAATATGCTAAATCATCTTTCTCAAGTTCAAAGTTCCACAAATGTCTAGGCAAGGGGCAAAATGCCACCACTCTCTTGCAAAAACATAACAGAGTCACCTTTGCTCCAGTTCCCAACAAGTTTCTCATCTCCATCTGAGATCACCTCAGCCTGGAGTTTATTGTCCATATCGCTATCAACATTTTGGGCAAAGCCATTCAACTGGTCCCTAGGAAGTTCCAAACTCTCCCACATTTTCCATTCTTCTTCTGAGCCCTCCAAACTGTTCCAAACCCTGCCTGTTACCCAGTTCCAAAGTTGCTTCCACATTTTCGGGTATCTTTTCAGCAGCACCCCACTCTCGATTTAAATATATCTAGAAAACCCCATTGTCTCAGCCCAAAATCTCCTTAAGCTGATAAGCAACTTCAGCAAAGTCTCAGGATACAAAATCAATGTACAAAAATCACAAGCATTCTTATACACCGACAATAGACAAACAGAGAGCCAAATCATGAGTAAACTCCTCCCATTCACAATTGCTTCAAAGAGAATAAAATACCTAGGAATCCAACTTACAGGGGATGTGAAGGACCTCTTCAAGGAGAACTACAAACCACTGCTCAAGGAAATAAAAGAGGATACAAACAAATGGAAGAACATTCCATGCTCATGGGTAGGAAGAATCAATATCGTGAAAATGGCCATACTGCCCAAGGTAATTTACAGATTCAATGCCATCCCCATCAAGCTACCAATGCCTTTCTTCACAGAATTGGAAAAAACTACTTTAAAGTTCATATGGAACCAAAAAAGAGCCCGCATCGCCAAGTCAATCCTGAGCCAAAAGAACAAAGCTGGAGGTATCACACTACCTGACTTCAAACTATACTACAAGGCTACAGTAACCAAAACAGCATGGTGTTTGTTTTTTTTTAATTCAATAGAAAAAAGTAGAGTTGGTTCAAATTTCAGAATGTTACATACATTCAGCACATAAGCGTAAATTCATTATTTCTCTTTGGCAGGGACTCATGATTTGTTCAACATTCTTCTTGTGACTATAGATTTTAATTATTAAAAATAGGTTATGCAATTTTGTCAGTTATGTCAAATAAACTATTTGTGATCACAATGGTTCAATTAAGCCTCAGGTAGTTATGCATATGTGTATGTATATGTATGTGTTTAGATGCTATCTAAAATAATATGTGAAAGTCCATGTTTAAAGGATTTGTTATTCTACTTAAGAAAATAATGACAAGGCCATATTTTCATTTATATTCTCATAAGATCTGGATTGACAGTAGAAATGCATATGTAGTAATAATTATATGCCCCAATAGCCCACCGAAATTTAAACAGCCAAATTTAATTTGCTGACATTTGAAATGGCTCTTCTAGTAAGACTTGTTACTAGTCAACTTTATACCTCTCAGACTTCTCCTGCTATTGGTATCTACATCTTCATATTTGGGTTATTTTAGAGAAAAAAAATGCCAAGTTAAATATAATCCTTAAACATCATGAATACCTGATAAAAAAAGAAAGCAAGGCTGGATGTCATTGTTTCTAAGGTGAATCAAGGTAGGGCCTATAATCTTGTGTTGCTGGAAAAATACATTTAAAATTATGTCATGGCAGAGTAACTAGTCTCTAATACACATTATGTATGGACCTGCTGAAATCCCCACTTTTGAATATACTTAGAGATAAAAACTCTCCCACATTTGGTCGGCTTTGGTCTACAGCCATCCTCAAACCTGGCTTGTCATATGAATCCCTTGAAAGGCACTGGGAAAAAAGTCCTGTACTCCAACACTCCTGGAAAATTTGATTCAGTAGGTCTAGTTTGGGACCAGGCATCTGTTTTTTAAAACTCATCAGGGCGACTCTACTGGTGAGGCAGCTATGAGAACCACGGAGATAACTAAATGGGAACCTTTTAATCTGCAGATTCTTAATTCTGTAACCAGTGTTACAGGGAGAGCTCATGAAACCCTATGGTTTTATGATTATTGTAAAGAGTATATGTACATGAACCAGTCAGTTTTTACTTCATAATATCCCAAAGATCATCAAGATAGTATATAAGATAGTATCTGTAAAGATATTTTTAAGATAGTATAAGATAGTATATATAAAGGTATTTTTATAGTTTTCTTTAAAGCACATTTTTATTGAATTTAAGTTATATGAAAGAAGATCAAACACTTGTTTTCAAAGAAGCACAGGAGACACCCCCACTGTATAGACCAGCAGTGTTCCTGCTAGTTAATACACTATGACACATTAGTATAGTAGGGGATGTAACATTGTTTTCAATGGTGGACTTCGAGATGAAATTGAAATTAGAAAATAGTAAAACTCCTAATTTATGGAATAAATTACATTTTCTCTAAATTACTTTTTTTATTTTCCTCAAATCCATTAGATTTCTCACTTGCTAATCCCACAATCTGTATTCTTACCAATAATGTGGCAAATCTTACCAATCGTCTGTTGCGAAACTAGCCCTGAAGGGCTGGTAGAATTTTATAATTTATATTAATGATTGCTTAGAATACTTTTTAGTCATACATAACTTTCAAGCATTCCTTCTATAGCCAAGAGTCTGAGTACAAGTCATGAATAAATGTTTGCCACCACTAGAAATACATCCTGGCCTAAAGTCCAAGCTCCTACTGTGGAAGGGGTCTCTGATGTGATGATGGTTGAGATGGACCTAGTTGGTTGCCTGAGATAAGAAAAGTCCCTTAATATCTATATATTCAGTATGATGCTTTGCGATCATTGTTGACATTAAAGACAATAACGTATAAGTTTTAATTTCCCTCTATTTATACTTTTTCATAATCTGCAACATTCTTTCTCATATGCAGAAATGTGTAAAAGGGGACTTTTGTAAATAATAGTTGTCAGTTTTACCAGGTATAGTCCTTGCTATAAAACTACATAATTCATTGGTCTGTAGAAGAGCTATGATATAAGATATATTAAAGGATCTATATAAATGCAAATACAATAAAAAATACAATTGATTTTTATGGATTTGAAGTCTTAAATGTAAGTAAAAGCTCCGTAGACTACTAGACACAGTCTGATAAAATGTCAAAATGGTTCCCTAAGGGAAATCAGGATGATGTTCCAGAATACCATTTTTAACAACCCCCGCTGTTCTTTGATACTCCCTGATTTGCTTGGGGGAAAGGTTGTCACAGAATGCTAAAAAGGCTCCTAAAAATAAAACCATAAGAAGAGATCACTTAAAGGGAAAAGATACATGGTAGTTGTCTCTAAAATCCTTCTGCTAAAATTCACTCTTTAAATTCCATTTATACATTCACACAAACACACAGGACTTCTAATGAATCAGTTAAAATCCTATAATAAAAGCTTTCATGGGAAGAAATAAATAACAACCACCACCCAGTATTTATAGATTACTATAAGGTCAACATGTTTGAAGAAAACTCATCAGCTAATAGCCATCCCTACTCTCTAGGCACATGATTTATTTCTGCTATATGGAGAGAAAGATAAAGGTTTGAGAAATTTTCCCAGCCTTTGGAGGCAATCAGTGACAATATTGAAATCTGCCTGCAATCTCCTTATATGAAGTGGTAGAGAAGATCAATTATTTTGCCCTAGTCTCACAATCTAAAATTTTTAAAAACACAATAATAATAAAAATAATAGTAATTATCGTATTGTGAATACCACCTATTTTCCCTGGTGTTTTATGTGTGTTATCTTATTTAGTTTAACCCTTACAATGACTGTTTGAAGAAATTGATAATTGTTTATATCACATAAATAAGGAAGGCATGGTTAACTTATTTGTGCATAGAAACACAGCTAGCCAGTGACAGACCCAGGTTGTGAATGCAGCTCTTTCAACCTCCCTGGGGCCTGTTTACTTTTTACTGTATGACACCACATCCTTTAGCATAGCACCATGTGCAGACTAAGTCAGACTAACACTTTCATGATCTTCGAAGAAAAATGTATTCCAGTAAAGATAAGAACAAATTTCAGAAACATGTAGACTAAACATTACGTGATTAGAACATGAGCTGAGGTAGTAGTGGTAAAAATAGTAAAAATAAATGGAGAAAAAAAGACTACTTTGAAATGCAGATAAAAGTTATATTTTCCACCAGGCGTGGTGGCTCACACCTATAATCCCAGCACTTTGGGAGGCTGAAGTGGGCGGATCACCTGAGGTCAGGAGTTCAAGACCAGCCTGGCCAACTTGGTGAAACCCTGTCTCTACTAAAAATACAAAAATTAGCCAGGCATGGTGGCGGGTGCCTGTAATCCCAGCTACTTAGGAGGCTGAGGCAGAAGAATCGCTTGAACAGAGGCAGAGGTTGCAGTGGGCCGAGATTGCGCCAGTGCACTCCAGCCTGGACAACAGAGAGAGACTCTGTCTAAAAAAAAAAGTTATATTTTCAAATGATAGCACTGCCATGGCACCCAGTTTTCTATGAAAAAAGAAATTAAACTTCAAATAAGAAAGATGATATAATACTTATAATGTTTTGTCCTCAATGCTCAATCGACCCAAAATATACTATAAAGTGTATTCGTACACAGGAAAAAACAAGGGACATACACCAAAATTAGTTTTAATGATACTAAAGTATTCCTTTTGCCTTCTGATAATAGGAAGCTTCATTTTTAAGCTTTGCCAAATACTGTTTTCCAATTTTCCCAAATATAAATGGAAAATGAGACAGTAAGTTTGTGAAAAGTTGGGAGTGAGAGAGAAGAGAAATAGAGAGAGACAGAAAGAAAAGCAAATTGAACTCATTTCCAGATATTTCATTTAGGCAACATTCGTAATTTTGATATGTTAACCCCTTTATCCATTTATTAAATTGCCTTTTCATTTTTACTATATCTTAATATAGTGATTTAAAAACTGCTTAGAAGAATGAATCACCAACTACACCAGCTTATATGTTACTCCTAACTGGTATACTCACCTATTTATAAAGAGGTGACTCTTATGCCACACCAATCTGTGGATCACCAAGCTGGACCCAAAGCTAGGATTTGGGAGTTTTTGCCAGTGATTTATTTTAATACAGTTCCCCCATTTGTGTGTGTATGTGTATATGTGTGTATAGAAACCTTTACTGCAAGCCTGAAGGTTGCAACAGAAATTGGATAAGGTGAAGTTTCTTCAGTAATCTATGGAACACCCAAAAAATGTCAGCAGAGGCAAGTTTTAGAAGCTTGAGACAGTGAGTTAAAATCTCTGAACTTAGAAGTCTCTTATGACAACAAATACCAACAACTAATGTCTTTAGAAGACACCTTCCCCCACATACTGTGCTAGGATAGAAGAGAGGAGATATAACAAAAAAGGGATTTATTGAAACTGAAATACTCCTTATGTCACTGAGTCACCTTGGAAATAATGAATGAAACAGTTGGTGGGGAAAAAGAACCATATCTCTGTAGAGCCTATGTGAACAGATATATGACAGGGCATAGAAAAAATGTGTGTTTATATACACATATCCACAAACACAAATTTTCCTAAAGAACTTCTGACGTCTCAAAAGCCCATGCAAGTAATTTCAACCATATAGGAAAAACTCATAATCTTGAAAATTACCTGAAAAACAAGACTTACTTTTAATCCACCAACAATGTGCTGTCTCTGAAGTGAATGTCCTATCTAGACTGTGAGGTTACTAGGGAAAGTATTAGCTGTTTTTGCTGCTTTCAGGAGTATCATGGGAGAAACAAACCAGAGATTCAGGTGGGAAGTGAGGAATCAGAGCAAGTTTTACATTTAAAAATATATATATTGGAATGGAAGGAGCATTAAACACTATAGCATAGCGAAAGAAGTTGAAACCAAACTTAGCTATGTCGCTTTTCATACACAACACAAGCAAAGGATTAATGTTTGAGATGTTAGGGAAATGTGCCCCATTAATTATATGCTGTAGTTTGGGTCTGTAATGGAGACAGCCTTTGAGGTGTACTTAAAATAAAAATGTTGATTCTGTATATAATCATCCTAAACACTTATCACAAGGATTTATACTGTACTTCCAATATTTCATTTGGTGGTGACTACAACAATCCACATAGGGCACTTACATGATAACTATGGCTTGAAGCTACAAATGTCATTGCCAGCCTCCTCAAACCATTTGGTCATTTATTCAGTCTTGAATGGATGACTTCTGTAAATAGGGCTCTGGATTAGGCGTTTTGTGTGTATATATGTGTGTAGAGAGAAGGCAATTTAATAAGAAGGAAAAGGAAGCATAGTTCTTAGAGTTGGAAAGATCATAATTTAGCTGGAGAGAAAACACAGCCACACAGACACCCCAACAATATGTACAAAATGAATTAGTTGCTGGATTAGAAACCTTAAAAACCTGTTATCATACTAATGATAAATAGACAAATAAATACATAAATACAGAGGTGAAGAATGGGATAGTCCCTGATAAATTTACAGGAATTGATGCAGTTAGAATAAATCATCATTTTGCAGCACCATCATGGTAAATATTGATACTGGTAAAAATCATCAGTGAACACTAAATCTGGAGGGGATGAATTGATCAGGAGTAGGATCTTTTTATGGTATTAAGTAATCCCACAGATTACTTATTACTGTTAAAGCAAAATAAGCAGGAGGCCATTATCCTGGGTTGTTTGTGTACCTGAAACCCAGTTTATGCAAGCAAACTGAAACTTAGAGGCATTCCTTGTAGCTGATTAATTTTGAGGAAAAAAAAACAATTAGCAAACTAAATTTCAGCCAATCAAAAACAGCCAACTAACCATTAGTTATATAACTAAAGTCATTCCCCTGAATTATACCCAAATAAGGCAGATGCCTAGCTGTAGCCAATCAAGTAATTACTTTGCTTCTGCATTCAATCTACAAAAGCCAGCTGCTCATACTGCTAAAGCGGAACTCTCTCAACATATTCTGGTTTTGAGTACTGCCAAATTCATGTGTCCTTAAGTGCTCAAAAAAAAATCTGTTAAATTTATTTTGTCTAAAGTTTTTTCTTTTAACATTACATTCAGGTGAATGATAGTAACTATTCCGGTGAGAAATCAGCAACATTTTTATCTAAATAATAAAAATCAACATCACCAATGAGATGCAGATGTACATCATGTTTAGGGATGTGACACCATAGGGAGGACTTACTTATGTAGTATTCCATCCTGGGTTGCATAACCTAAATCTACCCATCAGGAAACAAGAGACAAATACCAAATGAAGAACACTTTTTTAAAAGCCTACATTCTTCAAAACTGTAATCACCTTAAAAGAGAAAGAAGGGCTGATGAATTGTTCCCAACTAAAAACTTGTGATTAGGTTAACTTAAAAAGTCACAATATGGATGGTAAATTAGGAAGGGACTGTCTTTATTCTTAGAAAACACAGACTGAAGCATTTAGGGATGAAGGGTGAGGAGGTATGATGCTTGCAACTTATCTTCTAGTGGTTCATAAATGCACCTGTGGGTGTGAGGAGCAAGTGAGAAAAACTAGTATGTGACTCTTGTAAAGGTTATCAGATGTGCTTTATACTATTCTTGCAACTTTCATCAATTTTTAAAATTATTTCCAAATAAACATAAAACGAAGAGTGAATTTATTAGTCTTTGTTTTCCCCTTCCCAACACACACACACACACACACACACACACACACACACACACTATGGATTTGGGTATTTTTAAATACTCTATACCTTGTTTTGTTGCAAGTCCATAGCTGCCCAGAAGTCTAAACCAGAAACTTGGAAATCATATGCAAACTTTTCCCTCTATCTCCTACTTTCCTAATTTTATTTCACTTGTCCGTCAGCAGCATCAGCAAATCTATCATCCAGAATCTTGATTGTGCTTCTACAGACAAAGACAATATCATCAAAATATCATTGTTCCTAAATCAATTTGTAAATATTAACCAACATTTTTTTAACTAGACCAGCTAATTCTAGAGTTCATGCAGAAAAATAAGTAAATAATAATACTCCTAAAAATTGAAAAAGAAGAGCAAGCAGGAGAAACCATCCCTGTTAGGTATTAAATTTTAACATAAAGTCCCAAAATAAAATCTGGTAATATTACTGCATGAACTGACAGACAGATCAATACAACAGAATAGAAAATGTAGAAGTTGAGCCAATGTTTAGTGATATGGAAAGACATCACATTAACAAATTAGCAGCTGTTAAATGTGAAATGTGCTATAAGAATTAGGTATATGGGAGCCAGAGGTCGGAGGGGGACTTCTCACATCTACCTGTTCATGCTCACTCAGTTCTGAACTATGTGAATCTATTCACAAAATTAAATAAATTTTAAATTTATTTTATGTGTTTATTAAATTAAACATATTTATTTAAATTTTAAAAATAAAACAAAAACAAGCACAACCTAGAGCCCTCGCATGCATAATTCACAATAGAGTTGGTGCTTCTGTGAGAATCTAATGCCACTGCTGATCTGAGAGACAGGAGGCAGAGTTCATGTGGTAATGCTTCTTTGCCCCCAGCTCACCTCCTGCTGTGCAGCCTGATTCCTCTCAGGCTGGACCTACCAGTAGCAGTCTGTGGCTGGAGACCCCTGCTTTAAGACATCCATGAGATGGCCTGGCATGGTGGCTCACACCTGTAATCCCAGCACGTTGGGAGGCTGAGGTGGGAGGATCACTTGAGGCCAGGAGTTCAAGACCAGTCTGGGCAACATGGCAAGACCCCATCTCTACAAAAATATTTTTTTAAAAAAAGACATCCATGAAAAATTTACATACAGAAAGGCCTAGCAGCTAACAGGCTACTGATTAAAATTGATTATAATTGATATTTCACATATTTTATATACACACACACACATATATATGAAAAAAGTTTGTTACTTTCTCTGATAGTTACTTCTTTACAGGAGACGCTTCAGGCTAAGAGAATAGACAAACTGTATTACAGAAAGCTTAGGAAATGCCAGTTGCAAATATCAGAAGCCTTATATTATATAACCTTAAGTAATTTAGGATTAACTAGAGCCTAATCAATTGCAAAGGTGTCAGCCAACCAATCACTATGACATGGGTGGCTGACATTCTGTATTTCATACCAGAACAGGGAGATTCAATGTTTAGATAACATACTTTCAAGCTTAGTGCTACCTTTCAAATATGCACACTATGTGTTGATAAACAGTAGTAGAAAGGGCCACTGGTTTGCTCACCTCATTCCCTAAAATCTGGAGATCGTGGATGAAATGCATTGGTGTTCCTGAATGGGAAGAACTGGAGGCTGAATAGGTCCTATTACTAGTAGCTATTATTAGTGACCCATCCTCCGATAGACAGTAAAAAAGAAAAATTTTTCTCAGAAATCAAGCATGGTTTTTAGCTCTTACTGTTTTAAATCATGGTCTATATTTTATATAAGTAAATTTTGTTTATCCACACTTAATTACTTATGAAATAAATAAAATCAATAATACAAATAATCAAAAGTGAAACTGTTTTATTCTTACCCACTTGGTCAAACTTTTAGCACTATAAAATTTAAATAGAGTATATTAACATCTTTTCTTTATGTATGATAAAAATATCACCAAAGACAGTATTTGTCATATCAAGGAATTGTATACATTTCTAATGTTTTCATCCAACTACAACTTAGTTGACCTTTTAAATAACAGTGTTTGAAATCCATTTTGAGGAGTTTGAGGAGTCCTCACTCCTTAATCTCTCCATGGTCACACTTTTGCTCAAATTCTTCCTTCTGGTTTTGTTCACTTACCACATTTCCTTCCAAGACAAAGTTGTTGATTAAGATGCTTCTTCATTTACTAATTGTTGTACACAGAATTCTAAGATGTTCCCCAGTGAGTCAAGCCCTTACATAATTTTCTCTTGAGTGCCGGCAAAACCTGTGACTTTCTTCTAGCCAGTAGAATATGGCAAAGGATTCCCTTGATAAGATTATGTTATATGGCAAGGATATTACATTACTTTATATAAGACTGTCTCAGCCAACTGGAGTGAGATATTTTCCTGTTGGCTTTGAAAAAGTAAGTTGCCATGTTGTGAGGGGACCTGGGAAAGGGCAATGTGGCAAGGAACTACAGGGTTCTCTAGGAGCTGAGAGTGGCCCCCCAGCAGATGACCACCAAGAAGGACCACCTCAGCCTTTAACTACAAGCACCAGATTTCTGCTTACAGCCACATGAGCTTGTTTGCTTGTTTCCTACAGAAATGCACTCAACCTGGCCAACATCTAGAGTGCAGTTTTGTGAGATACTGAGATCTCTGATCTCTCTGACCTAGTTAGGGTCATATCAAGATTCCTGAAGCACAAAAACTTATGAGATGATAAAAGTATGTGGTTTGTAAGCCACTAAATTTGCAGTAATTTGTTAGATAGTAATAGAAAACTAATAAAGTCATTCAATTTTCACTTCTAAGAAACTTTCATTCTTCCAATCATTGAAATCTCACATATAAGAATCTTTTGTTAAATAATAGTAAGGTGGGTTAAAAAACTCCCCAAGTCTCTAAGTAGTCAAGACATTGTTCACAAAATCCATTTACTCAAACATAACAATGAAGTGGGATTTTTTTTTTAGCGAGGTTATAAATTACATTTATTTTACAGTCACTTTTCATATATCATTTAGTGAGAATTGGAGCTTTGGAAGCATATCAAAAGAGAAAAATTTTAATGCAGCATTCTTCAAAGTGTTGTCATGGACTATCTGCATTTGTATCACTTTGGTGTTTATTAAAAATGTGGCATCCCAGCCCACTTTCACACCTACTGGATTTGAAGTTCTGAGGCGCAGAAATCTACATTTTAAAAAGCTTCCCCAGAGAATTATTTCTGCAGGTAAAACTTTAGAACGAATGCATTAGCACTGGTTTGCAACCTTGGCTGTCCATTAGATAGACTTAGGGAGCTTTCAAAATATACCCATCCCTAGGCCCCACTCAAATAGTGGAGAATCTCTTGTTTTGGACCCAGACATAGGCAGAACACTCCCCATGTGCTTCTTTTTTCAACTATGGTTGAAAATCACTGCTTTAACAGGAGCATTGGAGCCTATTGCTCAGAATGAAGTTAGGCAATAGTTACATAAATTTGGGGTAGGTTGACTTCTTCTTCACCTAAGGGCTTGTGCTGAGGAAAAAGAGGAAGACTAAGTCCTTGCGAAACAAACTGATGGAGAGAAGGTACCCTCAGGAAAGCTAGAGTTACTGTTTGATTCCTTTGACTCTAACCTTATTGCCCCTCTTTCAAACATCTTTTCCACCTTCTCTCCTCAACTATCCCTTATATAACCTTTTTTATACACTATAGCGACTCCTACTCTCTTTATATACAATAGTTCTTCCTCTCATGTTGTTTACATTATTGTTGTCCATTTTATGCTATAATGTAATCTAATTTATGAAAGGTTTGACTTCATGCATTGTTTCTCTAAGGTGATTTTTACTGGTAAGGGACAGGCTGGGAAATTTAACCAAGGTAATCTGTCTAGAATGAGCCACAGAGTGATATAAGAGTGAGAAATAAGATGTACTTCTATTGGAGAGGTAAAAAAGTTAAATATCTAGTTATAGGGAGTTTGTGATCATTCGTTGATATACCCGTGATGTTTCCACTGTAGTCTTGCAAATGCTTGAGGTCAGTCCTCCAAATCTTGGATAAAACCCTAAGTCTTCACTAATAGCCACATGAACATAGACTTTTACATGATTTTAAAAATGATGATTTTCTTTAAAATTAAACTACACCTTGAATATCTTATCTTTCTTTGCCCTAAAGATTTTGCTCGTAAATGATAGGATTCGTTTTACTCTCCTTCATTTTTGACTTTTTTTCCCTCAAGATCTGTAACAGTTACTTTCACTAGACCAAGAAGAAACTGGAATTCAGTTCATGGCTCAGTATGTACTTCACATATCTGCATAGATATTCCTCAACTTCCCAATCATTTCATTACACCTTGCCATTGCTAAGGTCTCAATCATTTCTGCTTCTGTTTTCTAATAATTTGATCCTAATCTTTTGCTTGAAAAGCAATTCACCTAAGCAAACTCCTTGCTCTGATGGAGGCATGGCTTTGCAAGACAGGAAAATTTCCTTAGCTTTTTATTCTAATTCAGTGTCCTGCACTTGGGCTAGTGTGTTTGTTTTACAGCAATGTTCTAATTCCTAACTTGACATGACTACTTGCTTGAAGCCAAACTATCCCTTATCAGGTCTGTATCCGACATTCTTTGTACCATTTTGGAAATGAATCACTGGCAATTACCATTTGGAGAAAGGGGGCAGTACTTAACCAAGATTTAATATTTGTTAAGTATAAGTGTCTATCACACTAATTCTTCATGGATAATCATGGAATAGCCCATGAGAAATATATATTCTACCTTTTTTCTTATGTTTAATGGAAGTCTTGCTATACTTCCAGTTACCACTGTTTCTTGTTTACCTTATTGTTTTGGTCCATTCTCACACTGCTATAAATACCCGACTTGGTGATTTATAAAGGAAAGAGGTTTAATTGATTCTCAGTTCCACATGGCTGGTGAGGCCTAAGGAAACTTACAATCATGGCAGAAGGGGAAGAAAGGACCTTCTTTACATGGCAGCAGGAGAGAGAAGAACAAGTGGCGAAAATGAGAGGTGTTTATAAAACCATCAGATCTAGTGAGAACTCACTTACTATCACCAAAACACAATGGAGAAACTTCCCCCTGATCCAATCATGTCCCACCAGTTTCCTCTCTCGACATATAGGGATTATAGGGATTACAATTCAAGATGAGATTTGGGTGGGTTCACATCCAAACCATATCATTTGGCCCCTGGCTTCTCTCACATCTCATGTCCTCACATTTCAAAACACAATCATGCCCTCCCAACAGTCCCCCCAAATCTGAATTCAATTAACCAAAAAGTCCAAGTCCAAAGTCTTGTTAGGACATACTATTATGAGAACAGCATGGGGGAAAGCGCCCCCATGATTGATTCAATCACCTCCCACCAGGTCCAGCTCTTGACATACAATCAGATTACAATTCAAGATGAGATTTGGGTGGTGACACAGCCAAACCATGTCATTTATCAATACATATTAGGTGAAAAGTAGTCTCAATTCATGCAGAACAGTTCTGTTGCTTTTTCCACAAACTTAATTTGTAGTCTTGGTTTGTCTATATGTAATACTTTGGTGCCTTTTATGTCCACACCTTAAAAGGTACATGCTTCATTGTCACTGGTTATGCTGAAAACTTGATATGATGATGGTGAAGCAAAAACTGTGAACCTTACTTCATTTCCTTAGGCAATTTAACATTATATTTTGGTGTTTTGCATATTAAAATTAGTGTCCTGAAAAGGAACATCTTTTGATGTTAGTTAATATTTACTTCTCCTGATTCCTATAAAATAGACTATAGGGTCCTTCTGTAGTCTCATGATTGTAGAATCTGAATCTCAATTCCCACTGAATACTAATTTTAACATGAGTTAACCACATAACTGCTATATCAAAAAGTCTATCTTCAATTGGGAACTCTTAAGAGACTTGCTGTAATTTAAATGTTTGTGTGCCCGCTAAATGTGTGTGTTAAAATTCTAACCCTCAAGGTAATGGTATTAAGAGACAGAGGCTTTGGGGTGATTAGGTCATGAGGGCATCGCCATCATGAATAAAATTAGTGCCCTTACAAAAGATACCCCGGAGAGAATCCTTGCTCTTCAACCATGTGAGGACACAGCCAAAAGTTGCCATCTACAAGCCAGAAAGCACGCCCTCACCAAACACTGAATCTGTCTTGATCTTGGATTTCTCAGCCTCCAGAATCATGAGAAATAAAGTTCTGCTGTTTATGAGCTACCTAGTTTATGGTACTTTCTTATAACAGCCTGAATGGACTAAGAGAGGTAAACTCTGTCCACAATAGCAGGGATACAAATTTGTTACATATAAGTGTATTTAGATACCCTGGTGCCATCATATGACTAGGAAAAGGATTAACAAGGATCAATATTCCCACCAAATTCAAGTAGTGTGACTTTCAGCAATCACACACAACTGACCTACACATGCCAGGCCTGAACAATATCACCAGGGACTAAATGAAGTTAACTACTAAAAGAAATGTTACATATTGTCTAGTAAAGGGCAAAATCAGCATTTTTAGTGAGCAGTGCTTGCCTAATCTGGAAGCTGTGCTGCCCAGGTTTGGATTATCATTAGTATTTAGGACATTAATTCAGACAGAATAAAGTATCAAGTCCAGCGTTGGTAAAGTGGGCAAATAATCCTGTGTTTCATCTGACACTATTGAGATTTTGTGTGTGGAATTTAGAAAAATAAGAATTATTTGGGGGTATTTTGAAAATCCAGGTGATAACCATGTATCTGAGAAAGTATAGAAAAAGATTACCCTTATAACAGGATGATTGCCTAGATAATATTTTGAAGCTTCTCTTTATAGTGATGAAGTGGTATTTGGACCTATTAGGGAGCATATAGCACATTCTTTATCCATAAAGGAAGTCCACATACCATTTAATCACTCTGCACTTACAGCAAAGAAGTCCTAGCTGAAGAGGAAGTAAGAGGAAATGGAGCATATAAAAATGGGAGTGCATTTTGGAGAGTTTATTTTTATCCCATGGAAAAATAGGTAATAAGTAAATTGTTTGCTACTTCAATATCACAGCTGATGCTCGATGTTTTTAATCTCACACAAGTAATACAAACATACACATTCTTGGTTTTATTTTTTGTGAGTTATTTATTCTTTAATTCTCTTGAAACAAAGCAAGAACAGTTTTACAGTTAGAGAACTTGCTCTCTCCTGTTTGATATTTATCATCTATATAACCAACTACATTCGGCAGAATGAATTGGTATCTCATCTTAAAAAATGCATTGTGACTTATAAAACAAGATCAGTGAAATGTGGTTTACTGCCACTCATGGAAGTCATAAAATGCCACTTCAATATGGTCTAAGTAGTAAAGCATTTTATAAAAACTTAAACCCCTTTTTCTCATTTTAAGAACAAAAAAAGATTTAGCATGGCAGCAAAGTTTAAAATTTGAAGGTCATAGTTCAAATTTATATTTCTGCCTTTATTCACAGAAAGACATCATCACCTCAATAGTTATTACGCATTCTAATTATTCATATCCACAGACAATGAAACTACACAGAACATAGAATGCTAGTAAAAAGAAATACCTCAACATTCACTGGAATGATATTACTTGGAGGAAGTAGGCAAGTAAAAATCAAAGGCAAAAAGAGAAAAGACAGAAATATAAACTTTACCTCTGGGCTGTGACTAAATGACTTTACTCATGGCATAGTGGATTGGCTTTTTCAATGTCCTTAGCAAAGAAAGGTACAACAATTGATTCTATTAATTCTGAAGGAATTGAGTAAATGAGAGGATTGAAGATACCAGAGTCATAGGAAACTGTCCAATTTAATCTTGAATTATACAACTCATTTCCACTAAAAAATACCCATTTTTCCTTGACTGTTTCTGTTACCTTTTACAATTCAAAGATTATGCCATTAGTCCCTATTAAATTAAAGGACCAAAGAGACTGATGCATTATAGCCAACCTATTTTGGAAGGTGAGCATAAATTTGTTATTTGATTTCTAGTTTCTGTTTTCAGTTTCAGTTACAAGTCTCTGTTTTCAAGATCTTGGTTCTGTTTTAAAGATGACTACCAGTTGGGTGCAGTGGCTCATGCCTGTAATCCCAACACTTTGAGAAGCCAAGGTGGGTGGATCACAAGATCAAGAGATCGAGGCCATCCTGGCCAACATGGTGAAACCCAGTATTTACTAAAAAAAAATACAAAAATTAGCTGGGCGTGGTGGTGTGTGCCTGTAGTCACAGCTACTAGGGAGGCTGAGGCAGGATAATCACTTGAACCTGGGAGGCGGAGGTTGCAGTGAGCTGAGATGGCGCCACTGCACTCCAGCCTGGTGGCAGAATAAGACTCCGTCTCAAAAAAAAAAAAAAAAAATATGACTACCGCATCCTTGATTGCTGTACACTAAGCTAATCAGTCTGCTGTTGCTTCCCTGATGCCAACAGGTGGCCTTAATAGTTTGAAGTAATAGTCAATAATTTTTGGAGGGCCCTTGTTGCAGTTACCTTTAGTAAGCTTACTATATAAAAGCTGCTTTGGGATCTCTGCTGTCATCTATAGTTTATATATATTTAGCCTAATGGGCTGTGTCATGATAAACAAACAACACTATTATTACTTCATATTGCACACACACCTCTATTGTTACATAAGGCTGGGAGAATGACCTCGTCTTCTACCTCTTTCTCTCAATAGTTAATAGGCACTGTAAGATTCTGTAGGAAAAACTAGTATTGCTCTTTCCATCACAATGAAGATGCACGTCTCAGAAGAGATCGCTTATATCAGATATACTATGGATCTGTGGCTGGTTTACATTGTCCTCTGGACCAACCCAAGGCAAAATTAAGAAGTAGAAACTAATTTTATTTTATTTTATTTGGTCTCCCCCTACGCATCTGCCAATATGTTTCCCTCTCCTTTACCTCCCTCTGCCTGACAGCCACACTGAATCCTTTTACTGCCTTCTGTCCCTCACCACTACCTGAATGTCGTGCTATACCAAAGGTGGAGAACCAGCCCATAGCCAAGAAATTCTCCTATTTCCTATAATCTTCAAAATGTAGAGAGCTCTGTGTTCTTTTTATTAGGGTTTTCTCCTTAACAAGTTGAGATCATCTGGATGGATCTATTCTAATTACATGAGTTCTTGAAAGCTGAGAACTTTCTCCAGCTAATTGTAGAAGAGTACAGTAGAAGGGGGAAGTGAGAGACTGGAACCATAAGAAAAAATTTACCTTTTTTGATTTCAAGAAGGAGGGGACTGCCTTAGAAGGACTGTGGGAAGCCTTAAGGAACTAGGAGAGGATCCCAGCTGACAGCCAGCTAGGAAATGGGGACCTCAGTCCTAAAAGTACAAGGAACTGAATTTGACCAACAACCTGAATAAGGTTGATAAGCAGATTCTTCCCTAGAAGCTCCATATAAAAACAGTCCAGCAGACAGCTTGATTTCAGTCTTGTGAGACCCTCAGCAGAGAATCAGTTGAGCTTTGCTGCACTTTGTACCTACATAATTATGAGCTAACAAATTTGTACTGCTTTAAATCACTATATTGGTGGTAATTTGTTACTCATCAGCAGAAAATTAATACAATGGATGAATTAGATAAACTAATCCCCTACTCCCTGCTAATATGTTACCTGGTTAATGTGTGATCTCTCTCAGGAATGGAACACCTAAATGCACTTAAAATTCATATGTTACAAGGAAATATTAATCAAACTCAAAGACAAAGTGTCAAAGATGATGTTATGAATATAATAAAAGTAAAATTTAGGACAAAATGCATTAAAGGAGATAAGGGTCATTTTCTAGTTATAAGAGCTATAATCAGTAATGGAGATATGACATTATTAAAATGTATATGCCTGTAGCAGACCCTTAAAGAATGAGCCTAAGCTTATGATTAGAAACTTTTGGCTGGGATTGGACTTCAAATCACACCGTATGGACATCCAACTCTTCTACCTTTGAATAAGATCAAACTTGCAGATACAAAGTGAGACAGCTCATGACCAGAAAATTAATCAGCAATGAAAAGAGAATGACTACCTGTAAATCAACATGTCCAAGATTGTGGTAAGAGACATGCCACAGTTAATTTGCAACGTATTTCAAATCATCTGCATAGCTCATCTAAAATGGCAGACGCTAGCTAGGAATCCCATGAAAGACTTTCTTCACACCTGGAGACCATAGAGTATCAACTTCTATTGAATTCATTGACAGAAACTTACCTAGCTCTTTAGAAGTGATATACAGCTTTGGCTAACTCCAAGAATCCCAAACTTGGCAAAAATGAAAGCAAAATAAAACAGCCTTGCAAAGAGAAATTGGATTGAAATTACTGGATAGGTAGTCTGAAGTAATATTAAGGGAGGAGACCACCCCTCATATTGTCTTATGCCCAATTTCTGCCTCCAAAGAAAAAAAGAAATAAAAACTAAAAGGCAGAAATGAAATCCACAGGCAGGCAGCCTGGCATCACGCCCTGGGCCTGGTAGTTAAAGATCGACCCCTGACCTAATCGGTTATGTTATCTACAGATAACAGATATTGTATGGAAAAGCACTGTGAAAATCCCTGTCCTGTTCTGTTCCGTTCTAATTACTGTTGCATGCAGCCCCCAGTCACGTATGCTTGCTCAATTGATCACGACCCTCTCACGCGGACCCCCTTAGAGTTGTAAGCCCTTAAGAGGGACAGGAATTGCTCACTCAGGGAGCTCGGTTTTTGAGACGTGAGTCTTGCCTATGCTCCCGGCTGAATAAAGCCCTTCCTTCTTTAACTTGGTGTCTGAAGGATTTTGCCTGTGGTTCATCCTGCTACAATAAAAAATATATATTCTAGTTCTCGTACCTGTGTAAGCTTAAACAAGCTATGTCGAGTTCCCCATCAGTAAAATGAGAAGGTTAGATTAGATAAGACAAAAGCATCCTCTTTACCTGTGACATTTCTTTTCATAAGTGTCCCTGAGGAAGGACAGTGGACCTTAGAAGTCACTGTCCACCACATATGCTTGAGACTTTTTCTCCCACAGATTCATGTTCTCAAAGAACAGTAAAGAATTCATCTGATCAATCTTTCGAGCTACTAAGCAGAATGTTCAACATGGCCAATTTCTTAACATGGAATTCAATGTCCTTTACAATGCCTCAACCTTTATTCCCAGCCTCATTTGTCACCACGTATTACACTAAATTATTTGCTGTTTCTTTAACACATTCCTTGCTTCTGTGCCTTTACTCATGCTCTTTTTCATATCCCAATTAATGACCTAGCAAAATTTTACACATCCTTCAATTTCCAAGTCAAATATCACCTCTTTAGGAAACCTTATTTAACCACTAATACAGAACCACCCAGAAGATTTTCCAACTGAAAGTTTAGGGCCACTTTTCAGAATTTTTAAGGTCCCTTTTATGAATTAAACATTTGTTTATTTAATTATTTATTTATTTATTGGCCAGGTCCTCAGGCAGGAGTGAACTAGCCCCTGTCGGTGGGTACGACCCACTGATATATTTTGTTTGGCCAGCATACTGTTTTCTTAAGAAGCTGAATCTGCCTTCAGGCAGCTATTAAGCTGTCTAGGTTGCAACAAGCCCCACCACTTAACAGCGATCTTACACATACGTGCTATTTTCTCAGGCTCTAAAGACTTTTGGGTTTGCTCTCTCAGCCCATTTAATTTATTCTTTAAGACCGCAGCCAGCCACAGTATTTCTTGGATTTTTCTACTCCCAAGCCTTGTAGTGGAGTAGAATATAGTTCCCATAATTATAAACGCAAGTTCAGAGGCCCCCCTTAAAATGATCTTTACTGCTGTTTATAATAGGGGAGTAGACAGAGGGGTAACAAACTAAGTAACATGGAGATTAACCAGCTTTTCCTTCAAACCATCCTCCTCTCTGGCCTCCTTAGGGTACTTACTGTCTTCCTTGGAGGGGTGGGAATGAGGGTAGGAGTGGGAGTTACTGTTAAACCTGCTTCTGAATCAAGTTTTATTTTAAATGACATTGTTTATAAGAGAGACAATTTACCATCTGCTAGTTTATTATCCATATACACAAAAAAAGAAAACTACATAATAAAGGTAACTGCTAAAATGACTATAAAAATTTTGTTTCCTTTTGAACTAAAACTAAAGAAACTATAACATGTGACTCAACCTTTGACTACTCAGATTCAGCATTTCTTTCATTAAAACTTTAACCCATAACCCCACATTTCTATTTTCTTCCTGAGACTCACTTTCACATCCTGTCGTGACTTCAGGATTTGCACAGCCAGTGGTAATGATCTAAAAGTGTTTCATTTCCTTCTCTGCTGTCCCCCAAAAGGCAAAATATATCATATTAAATAAATTTCAGTAACACAATAGCATCATTTTCTGCTCAAAGGAGTTTAACCTAGTGCAATAAGTGCAGTATTTGAATTCCAGCAAGAAATACTTATGCCACACTTCTTTTTAAGAGATGTTTTTTCTTTTATATGCTCCTTTTTATTGGTGACTTTCCGATAGCTTTTCTAAGAAGTAAAGATTTGTGTTTGCTGAGTTCATTCTAGTCCCCAGGCAATCAGTATCTTTCCCACCACCAAATGTAGAAAAATGCTTGTCTTTTCCCAAGCAGAGCTGTGTATAATTAAAATTTGGCAAAGGCAGAAAAAGTATCACAAGGATTTGCTGAACTTAACACTATGGTGAATAGAAGCTAGTCGTATAAATTTTTTGGCAGAATGATACTTTCTTTTATAAGTCCAGTGCTATAGGTTGTGGTAACATGAAGAAGAGACTTTAGATCCTCAAGAGGATCTCCATAACTAAGATGGCTACAAAGTCCTCCATCCTAGATACAGTGAATAAATGATGTAATGTTTAGTTAACTCCAGAAAAATCTGAGGGAGCCAGCTTGGTGCCATCTCACTTTCCCATTACCAGCCTTCGTGCCTCTCTCTCTCCTTTTCCTCATTCCGAGTTCCTGTAATATAAGATGTTTCTATAATCTAGCTAAAAACTTAATGGTGGGAAATTAAAGCTTGACCTCTCTGATAGAGGATGGAATATTTGCTTTTAAATAGCTAATGCCTGAAGTGTGGTAGACTCTAGAGAGGCCCTGAAGGTGAATAATTTATTTGAGGTTAGCACCTCCTCAAAGCCCATTCCTATTCTATTGACCCTTAAGTCTAATTCTTCTTGTATAAGGAAACATATTAGGGAAAGCAAATGTTCTAATTTGAGGCTAATGCCACATTCAAAATTTCGCTTTCTAGTTTTCATTATTTCAAGCATGATATAATGTTCCATTAATTCCTGCCTAGAACCTACGATAAGAGCCTCCTTAAAAAAAAAAAACATTTGGGAGTTGAACAATGAGAACACATGGACACAGGGAGGGGAACATCATACACTGGGGCCTGTCAGGGGGTGGGGGGCTAGGGGAGGGGCAGCATTAGGAGAAACACATAATGTAGATGACGGGTTGATGAGTGCAGCAAGCCACCATGGCACGTGTATACCTATGTAACAAACCTGCACGTTCTGCACAGGTATCCCAGAACTGAAAGTATAATAATAAAAATAAAAACATTTGGTTTATTTCTGAAACAAAACAGGCTTAACATACCTAATTTACAGATGACTTATATTAGACTTCTTCTAGCATAAAAATATTTTGTAATTAAAATTGAAATTGGTCATATATTCTAAAATACAACAATTGACTGCTAACTCGAATCCATGTTAGTCAAATTCTGCACATCTTAACATATGTAGATTTTTACAAATACTTTTTGATTTTTATTCTTGTCAAACAAAACCTTAAGTAAAAGTCGCAACTAAGTGATACCTTAATTATTCCATATCAGGAAGTGGAAAATGTTACAACACTATGCAATTTACTCTCAGTTTGATGATTAACTATTAGGAAAAGTGGATCATTATAGGAACCCCTCATATTCTTCTCTTGATGTAAGGTTCAAGATGAAACACTAGATTAGCTCAACAAAAGGATGTCTCTTCTTGTCTCCAGAAAAGAGTAACCTTCTGTTCTTGGACTTGAACTCTCAACTGAAAAGTCCCTGGAGAGTGTGCCCCAGGAACAGAACCTCATGTCTCAGGGCTTCTAATAATATACCAATTCTGACCACCACAATGAATACTTTTATAAAACTGTAATTTAAAATTAAATCACTACAGCCCTAATACACCTTCACACAGTCACATGGTTTGTACAGGCATAACTTGCTTTATTGTGCTTCATTTTATTAAACTTGTCAGATACTGTGTTTTTGTGAAAATTGAAGGTTTGTGACAACCCTGCATTGAGAAAGTCTATCAGGCCCATTTTTCCAATAGCATATGCTCACTGTGTATCTGTGCCATATTTTAATAATTCTTGCAATACTTCAAACTTTTTCATTATTATTTAATCTATTATGGCTGTCTGTAATCAGTGATCTTTGATGTTACTATTTTAATTATTGTGAAGTGTCACAAACTGCACCATATGACAGCAAACCTAAGTTATAAATATTGTGTGTGTTGTGACTGCTCCACCAATTGTTCACTCGCTAGACCCTTTCCCTTTCCCAGTTCACTCTATTCCCTGAAACACAAGAATATTGAAATTGGGCCAATTAATAACCCTACAATGACCTTTAAGTGTTCAAGTGAAAAGAAGGGTTGCACATCTCTCACTTTAAGTCGAAAGCTAGAAATGTTTAAGCTTAGTCAGGAGGCACATCAAAAGTAGAGATAGGCCAAAAGCTAGCCTCTCGTGTCTAACAAGAGATCTAAACAAAGGAAAGTGTATTGAAGGAAATTGAAAGTGCTCATACAGTGAACATACGAAAGATAAATTAAGACAACCTTATTTCACACATGGGGAAAATTTTAGTGGCTTGGATAGAAGATCAAACCAGCCACACCATTCTCTTAAGCCAAAACTTAATCCAGAGCACCAGAGCAAGGCCCTAATTCTCTTCAATTCTGTGAAGGTTAAGAGAAGTTGAGGCGAGGTGGGGTAGGGGGGTGAGCCAAGATGGCCAATTAGAAGCAGCTGTATTCTGTGCATCTCTCAGAGAACAAAAACTGTGAGTGAATTCTACATCTTCAACTGAGGTATCCAGATTCTCACATTGGGACTGACTAGGTGGTCAGTGTGACCCACAGAGAGTGAGGAGAAGCTGGGTGGGGCAATAGCCCACCCGGGAGCAGCAGGGAGCCAGTGGAGCCCCTACACCCAGCCAAGGGAGGTGGTGAGTGATTGTGGGACCCCACCCGGGAAACCACGCTTTTCCCACAGATCTTTGCAACATGCTGATCAGGGGATCCCCTCAGTGAGCCCACATCACCAGGGCATTGGATCTGAAGCTCAGAGCTATGTGGACTCTTGGCATCAGCTCAGGCACGCACAGAAACCCAGGAGTTTGGCCTGGCGCAGTGGCTCATGCCTGTAATCCCAGCACTTTGGGAGGCCGAGGCAGGCAGATCACGAGGTCAGGAGATGGAGACCATCCTGGCTAACACGGTGAATCCCCATCTCTACTAAAAATACAAAAAATTAGCCGGGCGTGGTGGCGGGTGCCTATACTCCCAGCTACTCGGGAGGCTGAGGCAGGAGAATGGCGGGAACCCGGGGGGTGGAGCTTGCAGTGAGCCGAGATCGCACCACTGCACTCCAGCCTAGGCGACAGAACGAGACTCCGTCAAAAAAAGAAAAAAAAAGAAACCCAGGAGTTTTTGCATACTGTGGCCCCAGGAATTTTGGTGAGGCAGGAGATCCTTCCATTTCCCAGGAAGGGGGCTGAAGCCAGGGAGCCAAGTGGTATGGTTCAGTGAGACCCACTCCCATGGCACCTTACAAATTAAGACCCACTGGCTTGGAATTCCAGCCAGTCAGTGGCAGCAGCCTGAAGACTGTCTAAGACAACCAAGTTCACAGGGTTGAGAAGGGGTAGCTGCTATCTCTGCTGCTTCAATAGGCCATTCTGGCCTGCTAGCTCCAAGAAACTGGGTGGTCCAGACTGGGAGGAATTCCCCCACAGCATAGCACAGCTGCTGTGGCAAATAATAGCCAGACTGCTTCTTTAAATGGGACCCCACTCCATCCCTCCTCACTGGGTGTGGTCTCCCTGCAGGAATCTCAGCAACTCCAGTCAGGGTTTTGCGGACAGAACTCTGATGCCCTTGGGATGAAGCCCATCAGGGGAAGGGCAGCTGCAATCTCTGTGGTTCAGCTGACTTAGTCTTTCCTGCCTGCCGGCTCTGGAGGGTCTGGGTGCTCTGGATGAGGTGGGTTCCCTTCAGTACAGCACACCCACTCCATCAAAGGGCACCCAGACTGCTTCTTTAAGCAGGTTCTTGATCCCATTTCTCCTGACTGGGTGAGACCTCCCAACAGGGGTCTCCAGATACCTCCTGTAGGAGTGTTTGGGAGGTCAGTACCCCTCTGGGATGGAGCTCCCAGAGGAAGGACCAGGCTGCCATCTTTGCTGTTTCATAGCCTTCACTAGAGATACCTCCAGCTGCAGGAAAGAATGAGGCTACTAAAGTCTGGAGTAGACACCCAGAAAACCACAGCAGCCCTACAGAATAGTGGCCTGATTATTAAAAGAAAAACAGAGAAAGAGAAAACAACAACAACAACATCAACAAAAAAGACCCCACAAAAGCCCAATTCAAAGGTAAGCAACCTCAAAGATTGAAGGTAGATAAGCCTATGAAGACAAGAAAGAATCAACACAAAAATGCTGAAAACTCAAAGAACAGAGTGCCTCTTCTCCAAATGAGAAGGCACAGAACAGGGCTGAGGATGAGATGGCTGAATTGACAGAATTAGGCTTCAGAAGGTAGGTAATAACGAACTTCGCTGAGGAAAAGGAGTATGTTCTAACCCAATGCAAAGAAGCTAAGAATCACAATACAACATTACAGGACCTAATAGCCAGAATAGCCAGTTTAAAGAGGAATATAAATGACCTAATGGAGCTGAAAAAAAGAGCAATGCAGGAACTTCACAATGTAATCACAAGTATCAAGAGTCAAATACACCAAGTGGAGAAAAGAATCTTAGAGCTTGAAGATTATCTTTCTGAAACAAGACAGGCAGACAAGAATAGAGAAAAAAAAGAATGAAAAGGAACGAATAAAACCTCAGAGAAATATGGGATTATGTAAAAAGACTGAACCTAAGACTGATTGGTGATCAGGGAGAATGGAACCAATTTGGGAAACACACTTCAGGATATCATCTAGGAGAAATCTCACAACCTAGAAAGACAGGCCAACATTCAAATTCAGGAAATCCAGAGAACCCTAATAAGATACTCCATGAGAAGATCTGTTTCAAGACAAAAAATCATTAAATTCTCCAACGTTAAAATGAAAGAAAAAATGTTAAGGGCAGCCAGAGAGAAAGGTCAGGTCACCTACAAAGGGAAGACCATTAGACTAACAGCAGACCTCTCAGTGGAAACCTTACAAGATTGGGGGGCAATATTCAACATTCTTAAAGAAAAGTATTTCCAACCCAGAATTTCATATCCAGCCAAACTAAGCTTCATAAGCAAAGAAGAAATAAGATTCTTTTTGGACAAGGTAATGCTGAGGGAATTTGTCACCACCAAGCCTGCCTTGCAAGAGCTTCTGAGGGAAGCACTAAATATGGAAAGGAAAAACCATTACCAGCAACTACAAAAACACACTGAAGTACATAGATGAGTGACACTATGAAGCAACTACATAAACAAGTCTGCAAAATAACAGCTAGCATCATAATGACAGGATCAAATTCACACATAACAACATTAACCTTAAATGTAAATGAGCTAAATGCCCTAATTAAAAGACACAGAATAGCAAGCTGCATAGAGTCAAGACCCATTGGTATGCTGTATTCGAGAGACCCATGTCATGTGCAAAGACACACAAAGGCTCAAAATAAAGGGATGGAGGAAAATTTACCAAGCAAATGGAAAACAGAAAAAATCAGTGGTCACAATCCTAGTTTATGACAAAACAGACTTTATGCCAACAAAGATCAAAAAGACGAAGGGCATTAGATAATGGCAAAGGTTTCAATTCAACAAGAAGAGCTAATTATCCTAAATATATTTCCACATAATACAGGAGCACCCAGATTTATAAAGCAAGTGCTTAGAGACCTATAAAGAGACTTAGATTCCCACACAATAATAGTGGGATGCTTTAACACTTCACTGACAGTATTAGAAAGATCATTAAGACAGAAAATTAATAAAGATATTCAAGACCTGAACTCAGCTCTGGATCAAGCAGACCTGATAGATATCTATAGAACTCTCCACCCCAAAACAACAGAATATACGTTCCTCCAATGGCCACATGACACTTACTCTAAAATTGATAACATAATTGGAAGTGAACCACTCCTCAGCAAATGCAAAATAACTGACATCATTGAAAAAAAGTCTCTCAGACCACAGCACAGTCTCATTAGAATTTAAGATTAGAAAAGTCACTCAAAACTACACAAGTACACAAGTACAAAGAAATTGATCAACTTACTCCTGAATGACTACTGGGTAAATAATGAAATTAAGGCAGAAATTAAGAAGTTATTTGAAACTAATGAGAACAAAGAGACAACATACCAGAATCTGTGGGATGCAGCTAAGGCAGTGTTAAGAGAGAAATTTGTAGCACTAAATGCCTACACCAAACAGGTAGAAAGATCTCAAATTGGTTAACTCATATCACAAGTAAAAGAACTAGAGAACCAAGAGCAAACAAATCCCAAAGCTAGCAGAATATAATAAATAACTAACATCAAACCGGAACTGAAAGTAATAAAGACACAAAAAACACTTCAAAAAATAGCTTCCGGGAGCTATTTTTTGAAAAAAAAAAAAAAGTAAAATAGACCACTAGCTAGGCTAATGAGAAAAAACAGAAGAATCAAATAGAGACAATTGGAAATGATAACGAGGATATCACCACTGACTCCACAGAAGTACAAACAACAATCAGAGAACAGTACAAACACCTCTATGCCTGTAAGCTAGAAAATATAGAAGAAATTGATAAATTCCTGGATGCATACACCTAACCAAGACTGAACCAGGATGAAATTGACTCCCTGAATAGACCAATAATGAGTTTTAAAATCGAGGGAGTAATAAATAGCCCACCAACCAAGAAAAGCCCTAGAACAGATGGGTTCACAACTGAATTCTACCAGAGTTACAAAGAGGAGCTGGTGCCATTTTTTTCTGAAACTATTTCAAACAATTGAAAAGGAGGGACTCCTCCCTAACTCATTTTATGAGGCCAGCATCATCCTGATACCAAACCTGGCAGAGATACAACATAAAAAGAAAACTTCAGGCCAGTCTCCCTGATGAACATCAATGCAAAAATGCTCAATAAAATACTGGCAAACTGAATCCAGCAGCACATCAAAAAGCCACGATCAAGTTGGCTTCATCTCTGGGATGCAAGGTTGGTTCAACCTATGCAAAACAATAAATGTAATTCATCACATAAACAGAAATAAATACAAAAGCTACATGATTATCTCAATAGATGCAGAAAAGGGCTTCAATAAAATTCAACATCCCATTATGTTAAAAACTTTCAACAAACTAGGTATTGAAGGAATATACCTCAAAATAATCACAGCCATATATGACAAACCCATAGCCCTTAGCATACTGAATGGGTAAAAGCTGGAAGCATTCCTCTTGAAAACTGGCACAAGAAAAGGATGCCCTCTCTCACAGCTCCTGTTCAACATAGTACTGGAAGTTCTGGCCAGGAAAATCAGGCATGAGAAATAAATAAATGGTATTCAAATAAGAAGAAAGAAAGTCAAATTATCTTTGTTTGCAAATTACATGATCTTATATCTAGAAAATCCTATTGTCTCAATTCAAAAGCTTCTTAAGCTGACAGTTAACTTCAGCAAAGTCTCAGGATACAAAATAAATGTGCAAAAATCTCTAGCATTCCTATAAACCAAAAGCAGGCAAACAGAAAGCCAAACCTTGAATGAACTCCCATTCACAATTGCTACAAAGGGAATAAAATACCTAGGAATACAACTAACAAGGGAAGTGAAGGGCCCCTTCAAGGAAGACTACAAACCACTGCTCAAGGAAATAAGAGAGGACACAAACAAATGGAAAAACATTCCATCCTCATGAACAGGAAGAATCAATATCATAAAAATGGCCATATTGCCCAAAGTAATTTATAGATTCAATGCTATTCCCATCAAACTACTATTGACATTCTTCACAGAATTAGAAAAAAAAACTACTTTAAAATTCATATGGAATCAAAAAAGAGCCCAAATAGCCAAGACAACCCAAAGCAAAGATGACTAATTTTCATGATATATATAGTCATGTGATAGTTTACAATTAACCTTTACTGGCTCATCATAACTTTATGTATAAGGATGCTTATTGATTCAGCTACTAAGTAAGGAAGAGGAATGTAAGAAGCAATTTTGCTAACCATTTCAGGGTGCCTTATTCAGCAAATGTTGACATTGATAACTCCAAAAATGCTTAAGAATTCCTAGCTCTAATACATTATCCTATTGTTAATTTTCCTTATAAGGCTATATAATTACAGGAATAAATATTTCAATTCCCAGTAAATTAATACAGAAGGCAGTATACACCAGAGTTACAGGGATACTTCAGAGATATTGCAGGTTTTGTTCTAGGTCATCTCAATAAGTGAATATCACAATAGAGTTGTGTGAATTTTTTGGTTTCTCAGTGCATATAAAAGTTATGTTTATACTATAATGTATTCTATTAAATGTGCAATAGCATCATGTCTAAAAATCAATGTATATACCTTAATTTAAAAATTCTTTATTGCTAAAAAAATGCTAATGATCATCTGAGCCTTCAGTGGATTGTAATCTTTTTGCTAGTGGAGGGTCTTGCCTCCATATTGACGGCTGTTGACTGACCAGGATGGTGGTTGCTGAAATTTGGAGTGGCTATGGCAATTTCTTAAAATAAGATAGTAATGAAGTTTGCCACATTGATTGTCTCTCCCTTTCACAAAAGATTTCTCTGTAGCATGCAATGCTGTTTGATGGTATTTTACCCACAGTACAACTTCTTTCAAAATTACCGTCAATCCTTCCAAGTTCTACCACTGCTTTATCATCTAAGTTTATGGAATATTCTAAATCCTTTGTTGTCATTTCAACAATTTTCATAGCACCTTCACCAGGATTAGATTCCACCTCAAGAAACCACTTTCTTTGCTCATCTGTAAGAAACAACTTATTCATCAAATTTTATCATGAGATTGAAGTAATTCAGTCACATCTTCAGGCTCCATTTCTAATTCAAGTTACCTTGCAATTTGCACCACATCTGCAGTGACTTCCTTCACTGAAGTCTTGAACCCCTCAAAGTCACCCATGAGGGTCAGAATAAACTTCATGCAAACTTCCGTTACTCTTGATATTTTCACCTCCTCCCATGAATCATGTGTGTTCTTAATGGCATCTAGAATGGTGAATCCTTTCCAGAAGGTTTTCAATTTACTTGGACCAGATCCATCAGAGGAACCGTTATGCATGGCAGGTATAGCTTAATAAATATACGTACATGTAAATATATAAACATTACTTGTATATGCCTATGTATGGATTATCTTAACATAAAAATCTGAAAGAAACAAGGCTTGACTTGAATTAAATTCTTGTGTTTCGAATGGGATAAATTCCTCACAGTTTTGAAAGTTGGTACCAGATAGCCCAGGGAAAACTGCTATAATTCCTCAAAAAATCAGCAGTTTAGATTTAAAACGAAACTGTTTACTTATCTGGCTTTCTTGCAAAGACCTTCAGGGAGTTCAAATGCATCTTTCCTGTACACATACGTATCTACAGCAAATGTCCAGGACTTGACGGATTTTTAGAAACATATTAGAATATGTATCGTCTTAAATAAAATGAAACTATCAATTTTGTAAGGAATTTCTATTATACTGACAAAAGCCCATTATACCTCACAAATGAATATTACCAGTATTTCCATTAAATGAGAGCACAACTGCCACTTCCAGGTAAAACAATAACAATAACATCAACAATGAAAAACCTGCTGAAGGATGGATATTTGCTCTGTCCTTTCTTTCTTTGACTGAATAGTAAAGAAGTTGAATGCATGGAGCACTATATGAGCTAGAATGAATGAATCTTGATTGGTGTTCAGCCAAACTGAAAATTATATCTAAGCTATTCAATCTCAGTCCAGTCAAATGCAAAGCCAGTTAAATGGTCCTTTGTTTAGGAATGTTAAGTGTCTGGGCAGCGATTGAAGTGAACCTAGATATCAAAGTGTTTTTGAAGTACCTACCATATCGATTTTCTAATCATAATGATTGATAACCCTAAGTATGCTGGCATTTTTACTCATCCTTGAAATATAACTGCTACCTATGATTTTCACATGCTAACTTTTGCTGTTGGCTTCTAATCCAAGTGGTCACAGTAGATTCATCAGGTAGTTTCCTCTGCCTCAATATTAATGAAAATTTCTAAACACTGTTTAGGAATTATGTATTTATTTTGAAATTGACAGAAATACAGAGCAGACTATTGGGAGGTAAAACGTGGTAACACTGTCTATCTGTATTAACATGCCTTAATTGTAGCTTTCATGTTCTGCCATATCTCTAGGATCAACTGTACAACAATAACGAAGCAGGTGATTTATTTTTCACTTGTTTCAGTTAAGCGGAAAGTTGCAATGATCTTGGAAACTGGAGCAGTCTCTGGATCAAATATCATGAGTTAAATATATTCAGTATAAATACTCCCTAGAAGTCCTACATAATAGCTAATAATACATTTTAGAGATAATTTAACTTAAGCCTGAAGGACTGGGAATTTTGGTGTACTTGACCAATTAAGGCAATTAAGGGGAGTTATTCACCATAAAGTATTTCTTATTAATGGCTCACATAGAATTTTACTGACATTGCCTGTTTGGTTGTCTGAACCCCAAATGAATTGTGACATCTCGAGGGGTGGCATGCTGTCCCATTCATCATCATGTCCCAGGTGCCTAGCACCATTCAAATATTTGAATTAAATTATATCTTCAAGATCATGAAGTATTTAACTCCAACAGTGAGAAAGCACCCTTTGCTTATGGGTAACCAGTTGCCTTTTGTGTTTTAAAATTATTATTTAACATTTTAATATAAAAAATAAAATAATTCAACAGGTCCGACCACAGCAGGCATTTGATATAATTTTTAATAAGTAAATATTGCTAACCAGTATTAGAAAAACTTTATTAAAAATGATTTGGTTATTAGTAACTTTGAAGCTCATTTAAAATACATGTGGGTTATTTGTGAGTTACTTTATAAGAGTGACTGTATCTGAGTTGTTTTGTTTGCAGAGATTTTTGTTGAGATATATTAAAGATATAAAACTTGTAAGTCACCCTTAGAAAGCATATTTTTCCACATGCATAATTTCTTTTCTCATTCCCTTGAATCTGTGTCATATTCTGTTTCTGAACTTTATATTGAATTGCAAATATTCATAGCATTCAATTTCTAGCCAAATAGAAAAAAATGAGATGATAATATATTCCAAAAAATGAGGCATATTAATATAATTATATTAAAACAGGCTTTGTCTTTCTGTCCCTTTTTCAGTCTCTGGGACTTCAACTACAAGAGAACACCTTCTCAGGTCTTAAGTAATTCCTTTAAAGACATGTTATGATTCTGTCAAATTAATCAAACCAATTTTGGAGGATTTGGAAATGACATCAATCACTCTGTGCTTATTTTGTTAGTATTCGTTTACTCATTCTTCCATTTTCTGCTTACTTTTATACTCACAATATCCATTCCATGGCCATTTAATATTAAATATCTCACTATAATATATTCAACTTAAAAAATTGTATCTAAAATATGTCACTACTTCTACTATTTGCAAATAGACCACGGCCATTGAGAAATGGTGCCAAAAATGCCATCTTTTCTCAGAGACGTTTTAATAGCAGAGATAACATGTTTAGGCATCTAATGTATCAATTACCTTCTGGATTTTCTTTTTGTTTAGAAAACTTTCAACAATGCTTGTATATCTACTTGTAAACGGGGATACTAGCCTTCTTCTTTCTAGAGAGAAGCCCTGAATTTGACCTCCCCATGCCAAATCAAGCAATCAAACAAAAAATAATTGCCTGTTGTGACTTGCCTAAAAATATCAGGTGCAAGATAGAAGTCCAGGGATGAATATTAGACTATATACCTCTAGAAGCAATTTATTCACTTGGCAGGATTAATGAAGAATGAAAAAAAAAGTTTATTTTTATAAAAAGGAGGCAGAATTACTATGGAAAAAATAAACCAGTTGTTTGTCAATCTGTAGAAGTTAGTAAATGATAGAACAGATATCTTGCCTCATTGCTTCCCTTTCATTATCCTTTGCTATTTCTGAGAGCCTGCTAGTCACAGAAGACTAAGTTTAGAAGTTGTCATCATTATTATCATGTTAATTTTGAACACACACTGTCAAGCCTTAATACTTTCAGGTTGCATCTATTTGAGAATGCATGAAACTCCTCAGTACCAAATGTGAAGCAAATTCCTGCATTAGAAGGATTCAGTACAACATCTATATCTCTAGATGCTGGTTGGACTGGTTTTAAAGTATCATAATAATTCTAGTTTGAAAGCTTTTGCTTCACATTCATTATACATGTGAATGTTGCTGTTTTAGCCTTATGTGATTTTATTCTAGACTCCTGAAAAGTTTTTAATGGGAACCCTGGGGCTAGGGCCTACTTAGAAAACTATTAACAACACATATGACATAGGAGAGTTCAAGGGAAAAAAACTGCAACAGTTCTTAAGTAATTATTCATATTAGAATATGATCAAAAGAGTGTAGTCATCTGCTTGCCCAGCAAAGATTCGCAAGTTTAGTTGCACTTTCCCAACCTCCTCTCCAGGTCACAAATGTATAAACAATCCTTCTATTTGAACTCAAGTATCAATTACAGTTAATCTCTCTGGTCTTTCCATTCAAATTCTTCAGGCTTTGTGTTTTCGACTGATTTACTTGAAGAACTCTTTTATCATGGCATTGCTTTACATAAGAATTTTATGGCCTAGCATATCAAAAACAAAGTCTCCACCTCCTTTTAAAATGACATATAAAATAAATGTATATACACATATATATAAGTAGATACATTATTTGGGCCAAGTTTGAGGGCTGCAATAATCTGGAAGTGTAGATTCAAGTTGCCCTGAATATATATGCTCCTCCCATCCACTTTTGAAGGCACTCTATTCTGTCTTCACAGCTAACTAACCAAAATGTAAACTTGGATGAAACCCAGAAGAGTTTTCAGTCAGGGTTAAGACAATCTGAGAAATCAAACATAGCTATATAAATATAGCTGGGCAGGGATCAGAAGCTGAGACATCTGGGACATCTGAAGTTCTTACAGGTTAAAGCAATATATCAATTCAAAGGAACTATGCAAGATTTGAGGGGCTGGAAGCTCTTGAAGAGAAATACAGAAAATGGCTCAAAATGTGTTGGATGTATTAGTCACTTATTGCTCCACCATTTCCTAAAATAAATAAAAGAACAACTGCTTATCAGTCTATGGGTCACTGGATATTTCTGCTGATTTAAACCAGGCTTCATATATATCCACTGAGATCACATATGTATCTGTGGTCAGTTGATGGGTCAACTGGAATACTAGCTTATATAGCAGGAAATCGCGGATAAACCAGTTCTCCTACATGTATTTCTTACATTTCTCCAGCAGGCTAGCCCAGGCATCTTGTCATGATGTCAGCAGAAGTCAAAGAGAGAAAAGTCAAATGCATGAGCACTTTTCAAGTCTCTGCTTGCTTTAATCTTGCAATGCTACGCTAGCCAAATCAAGGCATATGGCCAAGACCAGAGTCAGTGTGGAAAACCACCATCAAAAGGCCTGGATACAGAGAGGCATAACATAACCATAGTAGGTTAAAAAAAATTGAGATAATGGCCTTATAGGGAAAGTAGAGTGAAAGGGAATCTAACCCTTAGATTAGGATAGACCCTATTTATATTTTGCTCATTTTTCCTTTTTATTTTATTTGTAAAGAAAGTGTGCTCATGGATGAACCATATTTATGTTGTAATAGCAATTGCTGCTAATTTCCCAATAAAACTCTATGGCACAAGTGCTTGTCCTGTATTTTATATTTTCCCAGGAGTCGTAGAAAAGAGGGATATGACACCTGGAAATGTTCCATAAAACTAATTACTTTGGGGAATTCATAAACATTGCACAGATGGAAGTGTTATGTGAAAAAAGTAGCCCCCAATCCTTCAAGATAAAAAGCCCATACTTCTAAATTGAATGTCAATATTTCCTAGAAAAGAAATAACTGTCTATTCTGGTTCTGGGCTTTTAGTTAGTCTTACCACCCTCTACCAATTAGTATTTAAAATATTCACCTGAAAATTCTCTGTCACCCTCCTTGCTTAGTCCTAAACTGGCTATACTCTGATTACATCTCTACTGGGCTTTAAACTCATAGCTTTTTGATCCTGAATTAAGTCTCAATTTTTGGCACCTGCGTACTTAGTTTTGTTGTTTCCCAAGTATTTGAAACTCACCTCTTTGTCTTCCGGTATTCCCCAAAGCATCAGTTAGAAAATTTATCCCATCCCCTTTAAAACCAAACATCATTTCTAGTAATTAGTCAGAAGATTCCATGGAGGAGGAGGTAGGGTGGGGAGTCACAACAGTGAACAGGATAATCATAGTGTGTAGCGTCAGTAGAACTTATAATTGAGTGGAGAAAGTACATAATAACATTTCAATAGAATTGATATCATTTGTCTGCATAAACTTTGTGATATCTCAAAGCTTCTTCAATGTAAGGTACTGTATTTGATACAGAGGTAAGATAAAACAATAAGGCCCTCATGTCTCCTCTTAAGGAACTTGCAAATTAGTAAGAAGAAAGATATAATCTAATGATAGTTGAAAATGATAGACTCTGAAACTTCAGAGATCTAGCAAGAGAAATATGGTAAGATAATATATTCTTTCACTTGCTAAATGGATGTGCTGAAAAGTATTGGCACACTGAGTATGTGGCCAGCTTTTCTCCAATAAGGAAAAAACAACCCTATGGTGTTCATTAGAAAAACAATTTATAGATGCCTATAGTCATACATTAACCTACCTTGTATCCCAAGAATTTGCCTACAAGAGAAGAAAGAACTTATGGGGACTATGGAGAGTAGCTATGCAGAGATAATATACCTTTCACTTCTCTGACTCCCATAGATTAGCAAAATAAGGATAGGTAAGATCTTGGTTTACCTTAATAAATTTTAATTATAGAAAAAATGTCTTAACAGCAGAAAAAAGCAATTTATTTTTAAAACCTGTTGCTCTGACAAGCCCCCCAAACACTAATGCCCACAACAAATATATGGTCTATAATGCCTGGCTGTATCTGAGCTCCATCTGCCTCACCAAACACTTCCCCTGCTAGTCTCTGACTGGCTGACTCTGCCACAAGTCTTGTGATATAATTTCAGTTTCTGGAACAGGTGAAATTCCCTACCACCTCAAGGTCTTTAGAAAGGCTGTTTCCTCTTCCTGAAGATCTCTAAGCATCGATCCCATCCCTTGCAACACCAATAGTCAGTTCTGACTTTACCATACAGATCTCAGAGTAGATGTCACTTCCTTAGAGGGGTATCCCCTTTCTATTTATTCTATCTAAAATATGTTTTTTTTCCTTGTTGGCTTCCTGGCATCATATTGTTCTGCAATAATTTGTCTATATACTTCCTTCCTTGTACTAATAACTGATCACTAACTGTAATTAAATGTTTTCTTTCTTTGTTTACTTGCTTAACATCAGTCTCTCCCACTATGAGTTCTATATATATTCATAGTGATATGGTTTGGATTTGTGTCCCTGCTCAAGTCTCATGTTCGAATTGTTTTCCCCAGTGTTCGAGGTGGGGCCTGGTGGAAGGTAATTGGACCCAATAGTATACTCACTCTGAATATACATTTCATTCATTTATTTAAAAGATATATGTTAAATATACATTTGGTACCCTAAACTGCCATACTTCCTGTACAACCTGTGAAACCGTGAGCCAATTAAACCTCTTTTCTTGATAAATTACCCAGTCTTGGGTATTTCTTTATAGCAGTGTGAGAATGGACTAATACACACAGTAAGCTTGAAACCAATAATAAGTAATAAATATTATTGATGTAATTTATATTTTTGTTTAATCTTATAAGAAAACACCTGACTATGTTTGTCTTTTGTGTGTTTCCATGATAACTGACTAACTCATCTCACTGATTAAACATTATGATGATCTAACCACCGCTCCCAGGCTACCCAAACAGATACCAGCGCTTGCCTCATGGATAATCAAGATACAAATTATATCTGGCAGGAACTAAATCTCCCCTAAGGGTAGGCTTAGAGAATTTATTATTATTTCCATGATGAGCAACATAATCTTAAATTATTTTCAAGACGTTTTTGGGGAAAGATAATATTTGACATCATCAGTAAAGCAACCTATTAATTGATATAGGTATTTTCTGTATTTGTTGACACTGGATTATTGGTCACCAGCCTCTGGGCATTTGCCGATAGCAAGCTAGGTGAACCAGTTGAATACTGACTCTCAGAGCATTGCTGCAGTTCAGTGAGTCACACCCAGTGAGCATATTTAACGATGAATTAACAGCATGTTTCATGTATACAACTCGCTGGAACAAGCTAATTTCATAGTTTATATTAATATTTAACCAACCACAGTTAAACAAAACTCTCATCTATTACAGTGATTAAATTGATAGCTTTATCTCAAGTTAGATTAAAAGGTATTATTTCCTTTTTAAATCTGTGAATATACTTTATTTAGTCATTTTTGTTTACAACGGAAACTATGGGAAATCAAAATTAACATCCTTATCTGTGAGCTTCTTATAGACACCTGAAAAAGTGTCAACCTTGTGTTCCACATTGTTCTGCTGTGCTTTGACTAAATGAACCCTGATGAGCAAGCTGCCCTCCAGTTTCACACAGATTCTCTTGTCCACAACTTCACTTGGAAGACCAAGTCCTAAAGGATCACATCCTACACAGCTGTCAGAGTATGGCTCCTGGGATGCTTTTTCTTATTTATTTATATTTTTTTTGTATGGCTTTTTTTGAGTTGGCTTGGGCAGAATTCTCCTCTGAGCAATAAAGATGACATACTTCCCAATGAACTTCTCCAGTTCACGTACTAGCTGAACTTGGATTTTCTGGAAAGATTTCAGTTGAATGGGAACAAAGATTATGATCACTTTCTGACCACCACCAACTTCAGTTTCCTTGGCTGCTGTGATATTCTGCTCCCTGTGCTGAGTCTTGAGGTCCAAGTTTATCTGCAGCTCCTGAAGAGCCTGGGCCCAAACTCAAACTTGTCCTTCTCCTTGCTGAAAGTCAGCTTAGGGAGAGGCCCAAGTCTCACGAGAGCTCATCAAATTCCAAAAAGTATTATTTCATGTTCAGTATTTTCTAGTTTTGTTTTGTTTTGTTTTGTTTTTTAACTCAAGCCTTGATGTGCTCAAGATACTAGGTTTCTAACGACAATCAAAGATAAATATTGTTTGTGTATAGACATCTGTGTGTGTGTGTTTCCCTCAACTAGGAAATTGCTTTCATATGGCAGTAAAAAAGTTATTGTCTTCATCTAAGGAAGTATCCAAAGAAATCCCTATAATGGTGGCTAAGTATTAAATAGCAGATATCCTCATGCTGTAGATTTGAAAATTCTCAAGCCATATTCACCATCATCCTAGAATGTTAATGCTACATGTGTTAAATGATTATAATCAATCAGAGGTCATTTGACAAGTACTTTCTTCATTTTTTTTTAAATAAACAATATTTAAGTCTTGGCAATATGACCAGCCTAATAAAGAAATCGGAAAAAAATCATACATGTGATATTTATTTCCATAGGCAAGCTCCATGCTACTTAATATCACATATTTTCCTGTACTATAATCTTATTTTAGTGCCACAATGGTACAGTTAGTCTCCTTTGCTGTTGTGTAACTTCCTTCAACCATTTAAAATCTGTTGATTTGCTATTTTTGCTTCCATGTAGTTTCATTTAAAAGTCAAATATACTTGGCATTTGCTAAAGTCATAGCTCTTACTCTTCTTGGAAATTCTCTGCAAGCTTACATTTTATTTAAAAAATTCATCTGCAGTAGCATAAAATTTACAATTTCAATTCTGTTTAAGCTTTGAATGACAAATTGTCCTATTATCTCATTTCTTTCTTGCTTTATTTGACTAAACAAATGCCCTACAGTAGGAACATTTACTTGTGAAGTGAAAATTAATCCATCCTTTTTAGAACTCTGCAATATAATCTCTATAATACCCCACATCAGTAAAAGTAATGAATACTTCATATCTACCTTCACCATTCTATTAAAGGTGTCATACACATTTTTGTAAAGAAAAAACACAGAACGTCATCCACTTTCCATTGCCCAAATCTACCATTTTGTTATTTCAAAGTATTTTATTTTTATTTTTAAGGGACAGTCTCATTTCTATTGCCCAGGCTTGAGTGCAGTGGCACAATCATAGTTCACTATAACCTCAAACTCCTAGGCTCAGGCAATTATCCCACCCCAAGCTCCCGAGGAACTACACTATAGGTGCATACCACTATGCCCAACTAATTTTACAATTTTATTTTATTTTTTATAAGTAGGGTATCACTATGTTGTCCACCTTGGTGTCAAATTCCTGGCCTCAAGTGATCTTCCTGTCTCAGCCTCCCAAAGTTCTGGGATCACTGGTGTGAGCCACCTTGCCCAGCCTCAAAATAGTTCAGTAACAAATAAAGCCTTCTTTTAAATTTCAAATTCTACCCCCCTGTTTTTTATATATTTTTTTCTAAATAATAAGTGGCTGTTTCTTAGTAGCAGTAATATTTGGTTCTTAAAATTATTTTTTATTTTTCATCTAAAAAGTAAAATACCACAAAATAACTGGCATTTACTTCCAAATATATTTTTCCTTTTATTTCACGGCCTCCACCCCACAAAAAAACATTCCTTCTCTTTTCTCTCCAATGAGTTCATTTGCTACTGTTACTTTTGGCATCTATAGAATTTCAAATAAATTCTGTACTTTAGTACCTGAGCTAGAGAGGTCAATCATTGGTGGGTAGCAAATGATCAAACAAGACTGTTACAAGACTGTTTTCCAAAAATGATGAAAAAAATCCATTTGTCATGACAGTAAGGAGGAAAAAACTGTAGAAAGATGTGCAGTCTGTTAGCTCATCTTACCTTTTATTGATGGTTAAAGTATGCATGATTCCGAAAGTATACAGTTTAGCATGTTTGAAATTTTCAACTCTACCTAATTGTATAAAATATGTACCACCTTTTTAATTAATTTATAAGAAAATTTCATCAGTGTTATTTTGATATAATACTTCATATTATTTTGCTGTCATGCAGAAGATGAACTTCTTTTTAATAAAACTATTTGCTTCAAGATTGTTCTCATGGCTCTTAGTCCATACAATTCCTAACAGGATACAAATATAATCAATTAATAAGTTAATGTATTTAGGAGTAATTTTGAGCACAATATTTTACTTTTATCCTCTTTTATTATGCTCTACTTAAATTATTATTGGTGCTCATTCTTTTTAGTTAAAGGCCATCCTAGGACTAATATAGTAGAGTTGAGCAGCCACATTTTTCTCAGTAAAATGCAAAATAGAGATTCTCTAACTTGTTTTCCTATAAGCTGTCCTGTGTTTAAAGTGTATAAGGTAAAAAAATAAATTTGTTTAAATTGTGATTTTTCAAGTGGATAATTATAAAAGTAAATTAGAACTAAAATCAATGCAATTAATAAAATGTGTCATAAAATAGAATGTCAACACTTAAATGTACCACATCAGTGACAAGAGAGGTAAAACCTTTCAAGAAGTTAAAATAAGAAAAACCTTAATTGAATAAAAATAAAATAAATAAAACTTTATCTCATGTGCCATGTTTAGGAGAACTCTTAGACCTATTTTCAGATGTATCTGGATTTGTGTAGGAAATCTTAACTCTCATTTAGATTACAACCTCTTCCATAAGACTTGAAATTATAGGATTCTATCCAATGCCAATGAGCTTCATTACAGTTGAGACTCTGATAATATGTAACATCAATTTTACATTATTTCACATAACATATTTATCTGTGGTTTATTTGATCCCTGCTATTACTGATGTATGAGTTTTAATCTATGGTTTAATTCACACAAATATCCAGAGGTTACCACTTACATTAAATGCATACTTATGTAATATATTTCCTATTATCCTGTTAGGATTCCATTCACTTCTTGTTTGTTTTCTGACAGGTACACAAGACTCCTATTGTTAATAGCATTGTAAAAGAGAAGAAAGGCCTTGTTCCTTTTAAGTTGAGTAACTAAAAAGAGAATAGTGACTAAAGATAAGCTGTGGTAACAGGGCAAAGCAAAGCAAACTTAGTGAAGTCTAATAAAAATAGTGAGTCAAACAAGGCCAAAATGAGGTAGAAAACATTAATGTAACTAGAATCTGAGACTCCCATCTTTGTTTCGCTGTGTTCCAAAAGAGGATTCTATATATATATATATGTTAAGGGGACATAATATCTTAGCTATGTTCACATAAGGAGTAGCACAAAACTAGTTCATAACAAAAGTGGTCATAGATAAGCTATTGGGGGTTCTGTTAATCTTGGACTGGAATTGAAATGTAGTGACAATAGGATGCCCCCACTTGCCGTCATATAGACACTCCTAAAGGTAGAGAACCCTTTCTAGAGAACCTTAGTTTATAATCTTTGTAAGACCTCAAGGAGGACCATGTTTCACTGGAATATAAAATGTCTGGAGAATCCAATTTTGCTTTAGGCTGATGTGAGGAAGAGATAGAGGATAGATAGATAGATAGATAGATAGATAGATAGATAGATAGATAGATAGATAGATGATAGATAATAGATAGATAGATAGATAGATGATAGATAGATAATAGATGATAGATAGATAGATATAGATAGATAGATAGATAGATAGATAGATAGATAGCCCAAATTCCTACATAATCTAGTCATGCCCTCAGTATTCCTGAGCTAGGAAGGTTCAGAGAAAGATGGAAACATTGCTTCATCCATTAAGTGAGGCCAAGGAGACTAACAGTAGTTTGAGAATGTGAACCCAACTTCTTTTCATGCCTTTCAGGATGTGATAGAGTTAATAGAATTTGGAAAATTTTAATAGAAACATCCCCCAAAATGACAAATATCTTGAATTAACCTGCATTTTTGATGTTTAATAGTAATTTATATTAAAATTTTACGTCAATAATTTATCATATTATTACATAATATTCATTGCCTTTAGCTGTCAAAAGCTTCCCAGAGATACTGAATCTGTAGTAAGCAGAGTATTCTAAAGCCTCGTGTCTCTACTAGATTCTAAGAACTCCACAAATTCAAAGAATGTTTGTAGTAGGCTGAATAATGGGCACCCAAAAATATCCAGTACTTTTCCCTGGAACGTGTAAAAGTCATCTTATAAGGAAAAAGGCACTTTGCAGGTGTGATTAAATTAAGGCTTTTGAGATGGGGGGGGAATCATCTTGGATTGTCCAGATGGGTCCTAGTTTCAATCACAAGTGAGAGAGACAGAGGAAATTTGACACACACAGAAGAGAAGACAATGTGATCACAGAAGCAGGTTATTTTAGTAATGCTTCCACGAGACAATCAAGTCACAGAATGCTGGTAGACACCAGAAGCTGAAAGATTTCAGACTTCTTACCTCCGGAATGGTAAGAGAATAAATTTCTATTCTCAAAAGCCAGTAAATGATTTTGATTTTGTGGTGGTTTGTTCATATACAAAAATCAACTCAAGATGGATTAAAGACTTAAATGTAAAACCTAAAACTATACAAACCCCAGAAGAAAACCTAGGAAATACCATTCTGAATGGTCCTGGCAAAGACTTCATGACAAAGACTCCAAAAGCAATTACAACATAAACAAAAATTAACAAGTGGGACCTAATTAAACTAAAGAGCTTCTGTGCAGCAAAATAAACTATCAACAGAGTAAACAGACAACCTGAAGAATGGAAGAATATATTTGCGAACTATACATCTAACAAAGGTCTAATGTTCAAAATGTATAAGGAATTTAAACCAATCAACAAGCAAAATATGAAAAGGCTTTACTGGCCATTGCTGGTTTTGATGACAGAGGAAAGGACCACGAGCCAAGAAATGCATGTGGCCTCTTGCAAAAAGCAAGAAAATGGATTCTCTCCAGAAAGGAATGCAGCTCTGCCAAAATCTTGATTTTAGCCAAATGAGACTCATTTGATCTCCAGGACGATAAGCTATAAGTTAGGGTTGTTTTAAGCTGCTACGTTTGGGAGTAATTTGTTATAGCAGCAATAGGTAACTGATAACACTATCCTATAAGAAAAAAAAAGTATGTAAAAGCCATCTGAAGACATCTGCATCTATATTAAAAAGTCTTCAAAGTATGCCACAAATAAATAATACAAAATATTAATAATTTATCTGCAACCATAATGCCCCATCTACATCCCTTAGTATCATATGGTTTCCTTTTCAAATCTAATGACATGTATGCTATCAGATAAAAGTATAACTTTCATGACTATTAAATATCAAGAACTTTACTAGTTTGGTGGATATTTAATAAAAAATAAGATTTAAATATTCTAGTTATAAAAACCAATGCACAATATCCAGTGATAATTTAATCAAAGTAAATATAATAAATGAATTCCTTGTGTATGTGTGTGCCTAATGCAATTGACCCAGGATAAGAATTCATTAACAGTGAATACAAGAGCACAAGTTTTATTTGTAGAACTGTTTTTCCAGGAATTAGAAACAAAGATTATCTGCTTGCATTGTGGTTTAAAATTTGATATGTTTCTCAAGGCTTGAGCTTGACCATTTATTCAAATAAGCATCTAAACTTAAACACCAAGCAGAAATATTAGCTATTACTCTAGCAAACACAGTAGATGTAAATTTCATTATCAACATCCTGTCTCACAAGATTCTGTAATATTCCAGTAAGCAGGGCCAGGAAATACAAAAATTTTCCCACAGATATTTCACTACTTCGATTATAATTTCAAGTTGTGTAACATTTTACAGTAACCAAACAGGCTAAATGCAAATATATAAAACAAAAACTGTAACCAGAAAATCATTTTATCTAAAACTACCTCTCATTTTTTAATTGCAACATCTTACACGGACCTAAAAAAAAATTGCAACATCTTACTTTTCCTAACTAGTTTTACTGGAATAAGTATATGCCTAATACTTGTTTATTTATTTATTCAAAATCTTTCCTAACTAATAGCAGATCTGTGATTACTGGGCCATTTTAGCATTCTTCCCTATATATACAGAAAGTGAATGCTATCATTATCTTTCAGTTCAATTTCAGATACATCTCCAGATTTTCTTATTGCTGTTGCTATTGTTATTCTTATGTAATATGACTTGACTTCATACTTCTCTACTGGCTTTCTTTAACTTTGCTTTATGGATTTCTGTCATAATTCTATTCATGTCATCAAGGCACTGCATAATTTGCCTGCCTCTTCAGAAGCCTTTCAAGGGAAGCTATATATTGATCATAGTCAACTACACTCTAATTGCTCAAGATACTGCCAAACATTTCATCAGTCTGGTATATGTTAAATACGATAGAACCAATCCTGTTTTAAATAAGTTAATTTTTCTAGGCAGAGAGCTACCGAGTAAGGTTCACCTTTTGGTGCTCAATTAGTAAGAATCATAACATGCTTTTGAAACTCATATTAAACCACTCAGTGTTGCAATGACCTATTGGTTGACATCATGTCATTATAGATTGGAATTTTCAATTCAGCAATTTGCTTCAATAGTGCTGTCAAAAACTAACAAAATTGTGGAAATTGTTCTCAATGAATTCTCAGAATGTGTATTGATGCAGCTGATACTGTCGTTAAAGTTTCTACACTTATATTGATAAGCTGGTTGGTACACTAGGAGACAAATGCCCTTTGTTGAAGGCATCAGCAGGCACATCAATGCACATTTCATTTCTGATTATTTTTTCTTTGGGCTATACTAAATATGGCAGTAAAGTTGAATAAAATTTTAATAATTGGTAGGAATATTATTTTTCAAGTGTCACGAGCCAGGGAGGAGCACAAAATAAATTTTTCTAATAAATCACAATCATAATAACAGATCGAACAGACCTATGAATCCCCCCAAATTCATCATTTTAAAGCGATCAGCTCATTTAACACTAAAATGCATCTATCCTCAGGCTGAATGATAACATCGGTAAAGCAGCACCCAGCAACATAATGCATTTAAGAATATATAATTAAGACATTGGAAAGAATTATGACTATTAGGCCTGAATCTTAAAGGAGTCAATAATTGCTTGCAAACAGTAAAGTCGGATAAATTGCTTCTTAGGAAAATAAACTAGGAGAGGAAAATTTCAGAGGAGTACACAGTAGGTTCCCAGTTAACTTAAAAGGTTAATTTTCCAGAAGAATAACATCTATCTAATAAGATTATATAGTTCTTGAGTTACATAAGATTTGAACCTCAAATACCTATCTGAAGAGGCTGATTCATTCTTATACTTCTCTCAGATCCTCAATCCAGGAGTAGTTCTTCATACAACAGGCTTTGTGAACTATTTATTCAATTAGTAAGCAATCTTGATCCCTAAAGCTCCATCTAATCCTGGCCTCTTTTGAAAAAACAGAACTTTAGAGCTAGAAAGTAATTGCAAAATTATTTATTTCAACCACGTAATTCCCACTAAGGTACAAGAGAAGAATGTGTCTTACTCAAACATAGTGCTTAAGTGATCAAATTAGGTCTCTAGAACCTACGTGCCTTTAGTCTCAGCCATGGAACTTTCTACTTTATTGTCTATTTTTGCCACTTCTATTCATTAAAATAGTTACCTAGATGGAGAATCAGATATCCAGTGTTCTTTATTCCATACACCAGTAATTTTTAATTTGCCCTTGTACAAATCACATTTCCCTTTACTAAGTAATAATTTTTAAAAAGCATGATTGATATACTTATTTTAAAAGGACACTGACATAGTTCGATTACTGCCATACTTATCTCAACCACACCATGATATGGTTGACACTGTAGATTACTTTCCTCTTAAATATTATTTTTCTAGATTAAGAACTATTATGTTAGACTATATTTAGCTAGTGTAAAGTTTGGGAATTCTCTATGTCATTGACAATCTGGTAGTGGGATTAGAAAATACTATCTGTTAACAGATAAAGCACTAAGGCGCTTGAAATGCCTGACTCAAAGCAGAATTTATGCGGAAATGCTAAGGTGGCAATTACAGATAAATGGAGTATTAAGGACTAAAGGAAGTAAAACGCGAACTTATTTTGTCATTGTAAGAGAGAAGCAATTGAGACTCTGTAGAGAAGAACACTCATACTCAGTGATCCCTGACTATCTTGTTTACAACTAGAGCTAGTTTATAAAGAGCAGAAAGACAAGGGCATATGAAGTTAGAGTATTTTGAGAAAAGAGGAAACCTAAAAAGGAATAGTTGGGAGTAATTAAACTGGTTAAACACAAACAGAAAACAAACCATTGTATAAAAGGCGGTAATTAATCCCAACTTAAAAAAATGAAAGAAAATAAGAGAATCATTTAGGTAATACTGCCTATAGTTTTGTGAATGGGATGTAATAAACAAATAAAGAAGAACCTAGAGATTGAGCTTGGCCATATTGTGGAAATGTTATAAAGATCAATATTGATCCCCAAATGGAGATCTGGGGCTAAGCCAGAACATAAATATACAGTTAGCCAAGGCCTGCCTAGTAAGATATGAAGGTGGAAAAGAAGAAAATGAGTTCATTCAAGTCAAGGGAACTATAAAGGGAATATAGAGAGATCTTTGCAAAGACATCAGAAATTCTAAAGAAAAAGTAGCGAGTGAATATTTAAAAAGTAAAAAAAAAAAACACTACATTGATTAAATCTGCCTTTCATAAATTGCCTGTATCAAGCTATAAATTGATGTCCTTAAATATTAAGCACCAATGTTATAAAATAATACAATTTCCATAGTATTTATATACAGACATTATGTGCATACTGAAAAAATTGCAATATAAAATAACCTAAAATATTTTTTAAATAGCAAAGCCAAGAGAAAAAGGGAGATTTAACTAATGAACTTAAATGAAAAGTAACAAGCAATTTAAAGAATGCGTTGAAATCAAAATACGACTAGACCAACCCTAAATGGGGAAATAGAAAAACAATAAAAAGAGTGTAATTTAAATATATTGGAATGGCTATGAGTTTGGACAAGTTATTGCTGGATAATATTCAATCTGCAAGGATATTAGAGCATTAAAATGAATAGTCATATATGCAGATAATAATGAGCAGAGTTAGCACCATTGTAATGCAGTAAAGAAAAAAGTCCTTTTTAAATATAAAAATTTAACAATGAATATGAAAATGTATATCAAAAGAAAAATTAAAAGGTGTACCACATAGCAAGAAGTGGTACCCTGGTTACTATCTAGCTTTGATAAAACTCCTTATAGACTGATATTTGAGAACCAAAATTCAGCACTGGTTATTGAATTTTTAAAAAGTTAACATTTAAATCCTGATAAAGTATAAATGATCTGTATTATTCTAAGCAGATTTGGCTTTCATTTATTTCAAACAGTATTTAATTTTAGATATATTTTACTTAAGCTGTCCTTGAATAAGTGAAAGGATGCTGGTCTGACTCTAGACATAAAAAGAAGAAGAAGAATTAGAACTCAATCTCTCTCTCCCTCTCTCTCTCTCTCTCACACACACACACACACACACACACACACACACACTTCCTTATTATTGCATGTCAAATAAAATATTAACAGGGTGAAATTCAAATACTAAAAATTTTAAGCTAACCAGTAACACAGACATATTCACAATGTACTCAAACCTCTGGAGTTGTAAGGTCAGTACAAATATACCCAATCCCTTCTAAATGTATAGTATTACACAAGAATCATGGATGTTCAGATGGCTGTACAAGTCATTCAAACAGCAAAGAAAGGAGCACACTTTTTTAGCATATAGAGCTCCCTAGAACCAGAAAGCAGATGAATACATTTTACAAAGATTTCCAATAACAAGCTGTGCACCAAAATGTTTTCTTTTTACTCAACCTTTAGTTTTCCAGGGAACTCAGTCTAAACAAAATGTCCAGCCCTGACCAATCCACATAATAAAAGCTTTACAAAGTTTAGAAAACATGTATAACTGTCAATGTAGGTGTTGACCAAATAAAGACAAGAAGGTCACATTTATTTGCAAAGGTTAAACAGCAAGGAGAAAGGAGTCCAAGAGGAGTAATGAGGTGAAACTGTACAAGGACATTTCTAAAACAGCTTGTATGTGTGTTTTGGGTGGAACAGTCTCTAAGAAGTCATAAAATCCTCATTGCTTAGTCATTTAAAAATCAGAGCATACAAAGGCAGACTTAAAATGCTTAATTAGGCCTCTGACTTTTTTCTGAAAAATTAATGTGAATCTGACAGTAATCCACTGTTGGAGAATTCTTAGATTTTTTTGAACTTATTACACAGTTAACATCATGAAACTTACTACAGACACCATTATTAAGAAAATATTGTCAAAAGTGTTTAAGTAATTAAGTTGTTTTTGACCATTTATTTATGGATACAAAATATAAGGTTTGAAACAGCTAATAGTGTTGTACAGACCACATTTACATAACAATAATTTCCTTAAAAATTAGCAAGAATTAAGATATTTCCTATTTGAGAGTAGAAGTACTTGTAATATTTATTTCTTTTATGAAACAGATATGATAGCCTTAAATGAAATTTGTATTTTAGATAGTCCATTATACTTCTAAAGCATAAACATCCCAATGTGTGTTTTAGAATCGAAGGCAATACCACAAAGTTAAAAACAATCCTTAATTAAGTACTTACCTGAGGTAATAAGCAGTGTACTAATGTTAAATGTTAAGACATTAGAGAAATGTTTCTGAAAAGAGCATATGCAGCATCACAATTGCCTAGAGAGTTTGTTAAAAATCGAAATTTCTGTATCTCGGTTCAGAACAATTTGGGCCCACCAATGTGCATTTTACCAAGTTCCTCAGATTATTCTGCTGTGCCATAAAGCTTAAGAATCATTGACAGAAAAATAGAACTTCAATGAGAAAGCTAGAGATAAAAAGGAATGAATTTTCCTTGTTCCAGTGTCATTAGTATATTATACTCTAATTTTCCTTTAATAATATTTTCCCTAGGATAAGACAAAAGACAAGCCACATAGCATTATAATTTCATAAAACAAAAACAATAATTATCACTCAATAGAACTCCATCTCAAAACACGTGTAAGTATATTTCCTTAGGTGGTCCCTGAGAAAGGCTCATAAAGCATAATGCTGATTTAACTCAAGAATATTATAGTATTTATAAAATGGAACAGATTGACCTGAACTCTAGGTGTCTTTGATGGCTCAAAGCAAATCCAGAAGGCCTTACCAGTTTCAACCAGTTTGTGCCAGTTAGCTTCAAAGAGGAAGCTTGCCTAATGATTTTTATAAACGTGAACATTTCCTAATAATATATTGTAGGTTGTTACTTGCTTATCCAAGCGATCCCATTTTGAATAAGGGTTCCTTAAAAGAGTTTTGAACAAGGAACATGACAGATTGCATTTTTAAGCCATGTTCATTAAAAAAAAATTCTAGCTAATAAAAATATTACTTTATATAATGTTGACATACTGTTTTTCTCAGCTTATTTAACAATAGTAGAAGAGATGTTCACGCTTAATCATTAAGGGTTTCGGGTTGATCAGATTTATCAGTGTACTTTTTTAAACTAACAATAAATCACTTTACTGATGGCTCAATCAATTTTTGGCCACTTATTATGCCATTATATCACCTACTTAATTTTTGAAATCAATCTTTATTTATAAAAAGCTTGTCCTCTTCCCCTTGTGTGTCACAGTGTCATGCTGTAGATTTTGGTCCCTATGGAGTAAGGACAGAGCCAGAATCAGAAGGTAGATACAGGACACAAGGAAAGACATGCTTCGGTCACATATGGGAATGAGAAAGGTTTTGTGTATCAAAATAATCATAACTTCATTGAAAGAGAAAAATTTCTTATAATTATTAATTCCACAATTGTACTAATGTAAAAAAATTAGTAACACTGTTATCTGATAATATAATTTATAAAGTATGGTGGCAACATAATCTCATATCTAAAATTCGTGACTACATTTATGATTCATTCCACTTTTCTTTATGCAAAAGAAGAGCTCTTATATCCTGAAATAATCTAACCTCCTTTCTGATACTTATTTCCACATTTTAATGTTCAAAATTTGTTTGAAAGTTTTAAAAATTTCTCCAAATTCTTGGACTGTCCTTGTTTAAGACAAATCATATGTAATTTCTGCTATCTAGTTATAATATTTTATCATATTCACTCATTCCATCAAATATTTATTTTAGCATCTACCATATACCAGACACTGATCTTCCACCTGCACTTTTCAAATTTTAATGCACATATGAATGAGCCATATAATGCAGATTCCAATTCAGTAGGTCTGGGATAGGGCCTAAAATTCCACACTGTTGACAAACCTCCAGGTAAGATTAAGATCATACTTTGAGCATCAGGAGTAGTAACACTTAGTCTATAGAACTAACTTGAAAAAGGTGAAAGAAGCCAGTCTTAATAAAACCATCCCATAACAATTTGAGATATAGTATTGTAGATGGACAGCAGTCCAGGAAGGATTGTAGTTTTAAAATTGCAACAAAAGTTATGGAATCTAATACATCCCAATACACAAAAACCAATGCACTCTATCAGAACATAACCACCAGTGCCAAAGTCAGAAAGAAAAATATGATACCAAGAGCATTCTATATTAAAAAGATTTATAGCTTATTTCTATTTGAGATAATCTATTGCAGTAGGAGGGATTTTTTAAAAATGAGTGAGGTTGGCTGATTTTGAGCGCAATCAATAAATATTTGTGAAATAGATTCAGATCTCCTGACACTATATTCCTAAGCTAAGAAAGAATCTTTCTAGCCACTTCCTAGATGTTGGCTAAATGAGAACCATACTGTATTCACATGCAGGTTGGAAAAAATCTGCCATAAAGTCAACTAAGGAAGTTTTTCCCAAGTGGGTAAAGAATACAAATAGAAAAGCAAACGGGACTTTTTGCTGGAGCAGATTTTGGAAAACAGGAGCACAACATCTCTTTCCTGTGTTTCCCAAAGGAGTCATTCTGTAGACTTTTGGGTATGAATTAAAAGGAATTAGACATACAAAGAGGAATTTGTTAGAAGAAAATAAATAAACACACCCATACACATTCATTTTCTGTGGATTTACAGTTACTCTTTGTAAAATGTGGACATAATAGAATATCCATTTGGATCATTTCATTATGAATATCATTTAAGGAACTGATATTAACTTTATAATTATGCTCTTGGATATTTGTTTGTTACCATATAAGATGACCTGACTTTTCAATCAGATACCATAGCAGAGGAAAATAAGGTGCATATTATCTTTGTTATAATGATAAAACTTTGCACCTCTATACTAGTCCAGAGAAGACATACTTGTATTTATTCTAGACTAATTGCAGACCATTTCTATGTTCTTTTGCTACAGCTTCCTCTCAGACCACCAAAGTCTAGCATTTAACTTTCGTCTCTATTTTCATCTTTGTATATTATGTCTTGGGGAAAAAATCAGAAGCATCTAGATGAAGCCAAGAATTTTAGTATTATCATTCCCTGTAATATATGCAGCTAAGCTGAAACAGGTCTGCTGTATTTCCTGATTCCCTCAATTTAAAGTAATTTGTGTTGAACTGTGATTCATGAGTTGTTGAAAACTAATCAATATACTGCTTAGTTTCAAACAAAAATTTAAAACAAAGCCATTTATGGTAAATAAATTGAAATGAAAAAGCTAAGATTTCCACTACATCCTATTATTTTAATTTGAGTGATCCTTTGTGACTGATTTGCAGGTGGTAATGACTTGCAAATTAAGTTGGCAGAAAACTGTGCTGTTGTGACCCAGTGACTAAGCTTTCGCAGAGCTTACAAAGAACACTGTGCATTTGGGGGCTTTATATTTTATTGCTTATGTCCAGGGTGAGAATGCTTCTTGCAGCCTTGTCCAAAAATTAGCATTAATGAATACTGTCAGTCTACCACTTAGTAGGTTGAGAACAAGCGGTTAACACCTCTACCTCAACACTAATTGACTGGTTAAAGTGCTTGGCCAGGGAATTATTTATTTTCCTGTTCAGCATCTTCTCAGTAAAACAGATTCCTTCCTTTAAACACCAACTCCACTTAACACCACAGTAATGCTCTGTTAGAAATGAAACTAACTCTGTTAGAAATGAAATGCTGCTAGTAGATTCTACATCTGCTGACACATTCCTTTTTAAATACCTTCAATCTAAGTATCGCCACAACTTTCACTGACAGGCTTTTCCTAATTGCATGATTTCCTGAATAGCAAATTTATCAACTGTATGTTTCATCTGGGAGGACTGATCTACCATTCTTGCTGCACCTAAATGTTCACATATGAAAGCAAAAAGTGGCAGTGAGGAAAGGGAGAAGGGACAGGAAAATAATCTCTGGAGTACAATCTACTAAGTCTACAGTTGTATATGCTTTACCTATTTTAATTTTTACAAGAACTCTGAAACTATTATTGTTATTCATACACATTTTCCAGCTAATTTTGAAGTTATACAGCCATTAAGTGTTAATATTGTGGTCACCTCTGAGTTTTGTTTGATCCAGCTCATTCACTACTTCCTTCAGAAACTCTTCCTTAATACCATCATGCCTGCCACCACTGTGGTTATTTTAATAAATCCTCCTTGGTGTTTCTTTCTGTGTTTTCAGATTCTTTTTGCATTGCCTGTTTATACATGTTGCTCCCTCACTAGACCTTGAAATCTGGGAAAGCAAAGTTATGTCTTATCTATGAATCCTAGTGGGTCTAGAACAGTAACTGACACACAGCAGGTTCTCAGTGAATGTTCGTTGAATGGTGACCAAATGACTTCAAAGCCTATGATATTTGAAGCCCTCTTGATCTCCCAACCCCACTTAATCACAAGAAATTTCTCCCTTTTCTGACCTTGCCAAACAGTTTGTATTATTTGAAGGTACTTAGTCCTTCAGGCCTCGCAGTATAGTTATTTTTGCATTCGTCACATGTTCTCTGCCATAACATACACTCTTTGAGAGAGTATTATTCATATTCTCCTAGCAACCAACCACATTGTTTCAATAATGTTAGTCTTTATATGTGCGTTCATTGAACACTTTCTCTGTCTTAGTTACTTTGTTAGGTATTAGGTAAGGGCAATTCAGAGTCAAACAGGAAGTGGTCCTTCCTCTTGAAGGGATGATAGTCTAGCCATAATAGTCTGGTTACAATAGAGTGTGAAAATTACTATGATTGATGCATGAGCAAAGTGTTACGGAAATACACGGAATGAGTATGCCTGCTTTTACAGAGGAGGTAATATTTAAATGAAGCTGAGCTGTATCTTGCATCAGGTGATACAGCCAAGGCATCTTTTTATAACAAAGAGTTTTTAAAGTAGTTTATAGTGGAATAGAATTCAGTACTGTCAAATGCCACTCCTTCCCCCATCAATAAAATTGCTACAGTTGTTTCCCACAATTATTAATCAAAACTTGAGGATTGTAAGATGTGGGCACTGATGTATGCATGGGCTTAGATTCAAATCTCACTCCAACTCCTAACTCTGTTTGACCTTGAAGAGTTACTTTAACTCTATGAGTTTCAATGTTCTAATCAGGGTAAAATAAAGATAATAACTACCCATTGAGTTGAAATATATATATATGTATATACACACACAGATATATATATATAGATATAGATATATAGATATATAGATATCCTTAAAATGTGCATACGTGTAAAGCCTAGTTGGTCTTCAATATATATTATTCTTCTAAGAAGTTTGAAAAAAGGGAATATTACTTTCTGGATAGTAACCTGTGTATTCAATAATAAAAACTCGACTTTTCCAACATATTTTTTCTGCCAGTTTCCTACCCTTATATCAAAGATACTAATGTTTCTTTGTAAACTCTCTAGACTAGGAGATACCTGTTGCATTCTAACAGTCCAATCTTATATTCTTTCGTTCAGTTAGTAAATTACTTAATATTCATAGATTTATTCATCATTTACTAATACACATGATGAAATGCTAGATGCTGAGGATGATACAGAAATGGAAATGTCAGTGTCTATACTTATAATTAAGTCACAAAAATATGACATGGTAAACAATTACCATTATAATTCAAAGTAATGTGTAAGAAGTGATCTATGTATGATAAGATCAGTGTGGGCTTTGATAGCTCTGAAGGGGGAGAGGTGGCAATATTACGTGTCATTAATAGAAGGCTTCTTGGAGGAGTTTGCATTTAACTTCGATCTTAAAGTTTGCTTAGGTTTGAATAAATGAGATAGGTAGGGCTGATTTTTAGAAGTTTCCCATGCAGAATGGATGGTATTAACCATACAGTAACATGGATTACAGCAGGATCTTTGGGATCAGACAGAACTGAGTTGGGATCCTGGCTCGAAAACTTGCTGGTTTTGTGCTATTGGGCAAGTTTCTAACATATTCGAACTTCCAGATTCTCATGTGAAAAATGGGGATAATAAGGGTACCTACCTCACAGAGTTGTTGTAGAATTAAATATGATAATGCATGAAAAGCACTTTGCATGTACTTGATACATAATAAATGCTTAATAAATGGTAGTTGTTATGACTATGAGCAAAGTTGCAGATACAAAGTTCCAAAAGTATACCTGGAGTAGAGTCATTTTTTTCAAAATGGAAGGTACATACATATGTATGTACAGATAAAAAAATCTGGAAACATTAATGATATGGTTTGGCTCTGTGTCTGCACCCAAATCTCACCTTGAATTGTAATCCCCATAATACCCTCTTGTCAAGGGCAGGACCAGGTTGAGGTAATCAGGTCATGGGGGCAGTTTCCCCCATGCTGTTTTTGTGGTAGTGAGAGTTTTCGTGATAGTGACTGAATCTCACGAGATCTGATGTTTTATAAGCGTCTGGCATTTCCCCTGCTTGCACTCATTCTCTCTCCTGCTACCCTGTGAAGAGGTGCCTTCCGCCATGATTGTAAGTTGCATGAGACATGCCCAGCCATGTGGAACTGTGAATCAATTAAACCTTTGTTTTTTGTAAATTACCCAGTCACAGGTATTTCTTCATAGCAATGTGAGAACGGACTAATACAGTAAGTTGGTACTGGGAATAGTACTTTATCTTTACAATAAAGATACCCAAAAATGTGGAAGCAACCTTAGAATTGGGTAACAGGCAGTGAAGAAGACAGGAAAATGTGGGAAAGTTTGAAACTTCCTAGAGACTTGTTGAATGGCTTTGACCAAAATGCTGATAGTGATATGGACAATGAAGTCCAGGCTGAGGTGGTCTCAGATGGAGGTAAGGAACTTGTTGGGAACTGGAATAAAGGTGATACTTGCTATGCTTTAGAAAAGAGACTGGTGGCATTTTGCCCTTGCACTAGAGATCTGTGACACTTTGAACTTGAGAGAGATGATTTAGAGTATCTAGAAGAAGAGATTTCTAAGTGGCACTGCATTCAAGAGGAAGCAGAGTATAAAAGTTTGGAAATTTTGCAGCCTGACAATGTGGCAGAAAAGAAAAACTCATTTTCTAGGGAGATATTCAAGCCCCACCCCCAGAAATTTGCATAAGAAACGAGGAGCCTAATCTTAATCTCCAAGACAATAGGGAAAATGTCTCCAGGACATGTCAGAAGTCTTCACAACAGCTCCTGCCATCACACGTCTGGAGGCCTAGGAGGAAAAATTGGTTTCCTGGGCTAGGCCCAGGGCCTTGCTGCTTCGTGCAGTCTCAGGATTTGGTGCCCTGTATCCCAGCTGCTTCAGCTCCAGCTGTGGCTAAAAGTGACCAAGGTACAGCGTCAGAGGGTGCAAACCCCAAGCCTTGGCAGCTTCCATGTGGTGTTGAGCCTGTGGGTGCACAGAAGTCAAGAATTAAGGTTTGGGAACCTCCACCTAGATTTCAGAGGATGTATGGAAATACCTGGAAGTCCAGGCAGAAATTTGTAGCAGGGGCAGAGGCCCTCATGGAGAACCTCTGCTAGGGCAGCACAGAAGGGAAATGTGGGGTTGGAGCCCCCACACACAGCCTCACTGAGGCACTGCCTAGTGGAGCTATGAGAAGAGGGCCACCATTCTTCAGATCCCAGAATGGTAGATCCACTGACAGCTTGCACCATGCACCTGGAAAAGCAGTAGACACTCAACACCAGCCCAGGAAATTAGCCAGTACAGGGGTGGTACCCTGCAAAGCCACAGAGGCAGAGCTGCCCAAGGCCATGGGAGCCCACCTCTTGCATCAGCATGACCTGGATGTGAGACATGAAGTCAAAAGGGATTATTTTGGAACTTTAAGGTTCAATGACTGCCCTGTTGGATTTCAGATTTTCATGGGGCCTGTAGCCCCTCTGTTTTGGCCAATTTCTCCCATTTGGAATGGGTGTATTTACCTAATGTCTGTACCCCCATTGTATCTAGGAAGTAACTAACTTGCTTTTGATTTTACAGGCCCATAGGTAAAAGTAGCTTCCCTTGTTTCAGATGAAACTTTAGACTTGGACTTTTGGGTTAATGCTGGAATGAGGTAAGACTTTGGGGGACTGTCAGAAGGTATGATTGTGTTTTGAAATGTGAGAACATGAGATTTGGGAGGGGCCAGGGGCAGAATGATATGTTTTGGCTCTGTGTCCCCACTCAAATCTCACTTTGAATTGTAATCCTCATAATCCCTACTTGTCAAGGGTGGGACCAGGGGCAGTAATCAGATCATGGGGGTAGTTTCCCCCATGCTGTTTTCGTGATAGTGAGTGAGTCTCCTGAAATCTGATGGTTTTGTAAACGTCTGGTATTTCCCTTGCTTGCACTCATTCTCTCTCCTGCCACCCTGTGAAGAGGTGCCTTCTGCCATGACTGTAGGTTTAATGAGGCATCCCCAACCATGTGGAACTGTGAGTCAATTAAGTCTCTTTTCTTTCTGAATTAGCCAGCCTTGGGTATTTCTTCATAGCAGAGTGATAATGGAGTAATACAATTAATAAGGCTACTTTGTGAGTTTTGAATGTTAGGCTAAGGGATTTATATTCTATTCAAAAATGCTCCATCTCCAGTTAAAATCCATTTATTTCTCTTCTAGCCTCAGTAATAAAACAGATACAATTTGAGGAAAGGAAAAGCAAGTCATTTCAAATACCCAGTAACATTGCAGTGCTGTACTACAGATTATTCTGATGGACTTATTTATGAGTTTTATAAAATTAATCAATAAACACATTTTAATACTTCCTATTTGCCCTACACTACAAAATGTAAACTTTCCATTTTTTACCTGCTTTTTGCTAAATGGAGAGATTTTTTGATCTAGTTAATATGTTATTGTAAACTGATGATAATACATTTTCAAGTACTTAAGGCATCAACACAACATTCATTTGATTCTTCAAGCACCATTAAATTAAAACCCTAACAGCACTATGAAGTGTTAGCAGCACATATAAGTCAAAAAAGCGTTAATCAGTGCGACACTATCTTAAAATGGCCAGCTACCCAAGTGATGGCTCCACTATCCCATCTAATCAAGACAGGGAACTGCTAAGGTGATGCACAGCTAAATGTATCACTATCTACAGTGCTGAAACTGGAAAGAGCATGCTAGAGATCCTCAGTGGCATTCAGTACTCTCTGTACCAATTAAACATGTAGTAGCATGGAATCTAAGAGCACAAGATATATACTTTTGGATCTAAGTTGTTAGATTCCGATCAGTAAAATACCAACTTCATATTTTTTTTTTACAAAAAAAACTAGCATTTTATGATACATATTCACAAGGGGATAACCTTCTGCAGAATAATGTGATTCTAATTTTTACATTCTTTTGCTGACTGATTTAAAGCCTAGTTTATTTCTACCTGTACAAGATGAGGATGTTTCACTTACAATGAAGACACAAATAGCTCTAATATAGAAGTTGTATTACCTCATAATATATTAGGCTGGATAACCAGTGTGTGTTGATTTACCAACACTACTGACATTTGGCATTTACTTTAATTTCTAGTCATCTCTAAGAATCTGAGTCATATATTCATTATATGAACTCAGCAATATGAAATGGAGGACTATCAAAAGTGATATATATCTGGGGTTATACAGTTATGTATATTAATTTATATTAAATTAATCTGCATCTTACATAACATAATATGGACCATCCATCTTTGAAGAGGAGGAGAGTCATTTCTTTGAGTTTATTGTTTTGATATCAAGAGTTTGCCTCACATTTTTTGTTCATTTCAATAGTTTTTTGGGAACGGGTGATTTTGGTTACATGGATAAGTTAGCTTGTTGTGATTTCTGAGATTTTGGTGCACCTGTCACCCAAGAAATGTACACTGTACCCAACATGTAGTCTTTTATCCCTCATCCCCCGCTGACCTTTTCCCCCAACTCCTTAAAGTATATTATATCATTCTTATGCCTTTGCATCCTCATAGCTTAGCTCCCACTTCACTTAGAATAATGGTCTCCAACTCCATTCATGTTGCTGCAAAGGCCATTATTTTATTTTGTTTTATGGCTGAGTGTATATATGGTGTATATATACCAAATCTTCTTTATCCACTCATTAGTTGGTGGGCATTTAGGCTGGTTCCATATTTTTGCAATTGTGAATCATGCTGCTATAAACATGAGTGTGCATGTGTCTTTTTCATATAACAACTTTTTTCCTTTGGGTAGATACCCAGTACTGAGATTGCTGAATCAAATGATTGTTCTACTTTTAGACCTTGAAAGAATCTCCATACTGTTTTCCATAGTGGTTGTATTAGTTTACCTTCCCACCAGCAGTGTAAAAGTATTCCCTTTATACTGCATCCACATCAACATCTGCTAGTTTTCAATTTTTAAATTATGGTCATTCTTGCAGGAGCAAGGTGGTATCTCATTGTGGGTTTAATTTGCATTTCCCTGATAATTAGTGATGTTGAGCTTTTTTTCATATGTTTGTTGGCCATTTGTATACCATCTTTTGAGAATTGTCTATTCGTGTCCTGAGTCCACTTTTTGATAGGATTATTAACTTTTTCTTTGTTGCTTACTTGAGTTCCCTGTAGATTCTGGATATTAGTCATTGGTTAGATGCACAGTTTGTGAACATTTTTTTCCACTCTGTGGGTTGTCTGCTAACACTGTTAATTATTTCTTTTGCTGTGCAGAAGCTTTTAATTTAATTAGGTCCCATTTATTCATTTTTGTTTTCATAACATTTGCTTTTGGGTTCTTAGCCATGAATTCTTTTCCTAAGCCAATGTCCACAACAGTTTTTCTGATGCTATCTTCTATAATTTTTATGGTTTCGAGCCTTAGATTTAAGTCTTTGATCCACATTGAATTTATTTTTGTATAAGGTGAGAGATGAGGATCCAGTGTCATTCTTCTACATGTGGCTTGCCAATTATCCCAGCACCATTTGTTGAATAGGGTGTCCTTTCCCCCACTTTATGTTTTTGGTTGCTTTGTTGAAGATCAGTTGAATGTAAGTATTTGACTTTATTTCTGGGTTCTCTATTCTGTTCTGTTTTATACTGGTATAAAAGTAGGCAATAGACCAATGGAACAGAATAGAGAACCCAGAAATAAAGCTAAATACTGGCATTCAACTGATCTTTGACAAAGTAAACAAAATGCTATTTTGGCCTTGTAGTATGATTTGAAGTCTGGTAATGTGATACCTCCAGATTTGTACTTTTTGCTTTGTCTGGATTTGGATATGTGGTCTCTTTTTTGGTTCCATATGCATTTTAGGATTGTTTTTTCTAGTTCTGTGAAGAATGATGATAACATTTTGATGGAATTTGCATTGAATCTGTCTACTATTACTTTTGGCAGTATGTCCTTTTTTTTTTTTTTTTTTTTTTTTAGACGGAGTTTCGCTCTTGTTGCCTAGGCTGGAGTGCAATGGCACAATCTCGGCTCACTGCAACCTCTGCCTCCTGGGTTCAAGCAATTCTCCTGCCTCAGCCTCCCAAGTAGCTGGGATTACAGGCTTGTGCCACCACACCCTGCTAATTTTGTATTTTTAGTAGAGATGGGGTTTCTCCATCTTGGTCAGGCTGGTCTCGAACTCCCAACCTCAGGTGATCCGTCCGCCTCGGCCTCCCAAAGTGCTGGGATTACAGGCATGAGCCACCACACCCAGCCAGCAGTATGTTCATTTTCACAATATTGATTCTACCCTTCTGTGAGCATGGGATGCGTTTCCACTTGTTTGTGTCATCTATGATATCTTTCAGCAATGTTTTGTAGTTTTCCTTGCAGAGATTTTTTTACCTCCTTGGTTAAATACATTCCTAACTATTTTACTTATTTATTTGCTTTTCAGTTGTAAAATAGATTGCATTCTTCATTTCATTCTCAGTCATTATCTGTGTATAGCAGTGCTACTGATTTGTGTACATTGATTTTGTAACCTGAGAATTTACTGAATTCAATTATTAAATCTAAGAGTCTTTTGGAGTTGTCTTTAGGATTTTCTAGGTATACAATCATATCACCTGCAAAAAGCAGTAGTTTGTCTTTCTCTTTTACAATTTGAATGCCCTTTATTTCTTTCTCTTGTCTGATTGCTCTGGCTAGGACTTCCAGTTCTATGTTGAATAGAAGTGGTAAAAGTGGGCATCCTTGTCTTGTTCCAGTTCTCAGGGGGAATGCTGTCAACATTTCTCCATTCAGTGTGATGTTGGCTGTGGGTTTGTCATAGATGCCTATGTTACTTTGAGGTACTTCCCTTCTAGGCCTATTTTGTTGAGAGTTTTTATCATAAAAGGGATGCTGGATTTTGTCAAATGCTTTTTCTGCATCTATTGATATGATTATATGGTTTTCATTTTTATTTCTGTTTATGTGGTGTATCAAATTTATTGGCTTGCATATGTTAAACCATCCCTGCATTCCTGGTATGAAACCCATTTGATCATGGTGTCATGGTGTATTATCTTTTTGATATGCTGTTGGATTTTGTTAGCTAGTATTTTGTTGAAGATTTTTGCATCTATGTTCATTAGGGATGTTGGTCTGCAGTTTGTTGTTGTCGTTGTTATGTCCTTTCTTGGTTTTGGTGTTAGGGTGATAGGGTGATACTGGCTTCATAGAATGATTTAGGGAGGACTCCCTCTTTCTCTATCTTTTGGAATAGTTTCAGTAGGACTGGTACCAATTTTTGTCTAAATGTCTGATAGAATTCAGCTGTAAATCCATCTGGCCGTGGACTTTTTTGTTGTTGGCAATTTTTTTATTACTAATTCATCTCACCGCTTATTATTGGTCTGTTCATAGTTTCTATTTCTTCCTGATTTAATCTAGGAGGATTGTATATTTCCAGGAATTTATCCATCTTTTCTAAAATTTCTAGTTTGTTCACATTAAGATGTTCATAGTATCCTTGAATGACCTTTTGTATTTCTGTGCTATTGGTTGTAATAGCTCCCTTTTTATTTCTAGTTCTGCTTATTTAGATCTTCTCTCTTCTTTTCTTGGTTAATGTTCTAGTTATTTTCAAAAACCAGCTTTTTGATTCTTTTTTTTTTGTATTTTTTGTTTCAATTTCATTTAGTTCTGCTCTGATCTTTATTATATCTTTTCTTCTGCTGGTTTGGGTTTGGTTTGTTCTTTTTTCTCTAGTTCATTGAGGTGTGACATTAGAGTTTCTATTTCACAAAGCAAAACAAAAACTCACCAATAACAAAATTCTAGGCATTCTCCTTCACTTTAGAAACAAACAAGAATACCTACCTTCTATTTTTAAATATTGTAATGAAAATTGTTGGTAAAGTAATAAGACATGAAAGGAAATAAAAGGGATAAACACTAGTAAGAAAAAAGAATAGTATATCATTCACTTATGACATAATTATATACCTATAAAACCTAGTTTACTAAAATTATTAATAAAATAGTTATTAATAATTTTAGTTGATTAAAAAATATTCAAAATAATACAACAACATTAAAAACTGGCCAGATATAAGATAAATATTGAAAAGTCAACAGCATTTATTTAACATAACAAAACTTCATTATGTTAAATCAACTTAAGTTTGACCAGAAGTAGCCTGGGTACCTTGAGTCCCTGTGTAGAAAACTGCAACCTAAATTTTTAAACAAACTGAAAGCCTAACTCTGGAGTATATTTCTGTAACAAATAGCTGAGTCACAGATAATTACAGCATATGAGCTTCAGCCAATCACAGGCTGCCAACTGATCAGATCATGACCAAATAAGGCAAATGCCAGATGTAACCAAGCAAGCTATTTCTGTACATCACTCTTGTTTTCTCTCTGTAATTACTGCCTTCCCATGTTGCAGAGTGGAGCTCAATGAACGTCTTCTGGTTTGGAGGCTGCTCAATTCATGAATCATCTTTTGCTCAAATAAACTTTTAAATTTAATTTATCTGAAGTTTTTCATTTCATAATTAATAATGACAACAGTTCTTAGAAATAAATTTAAATAGATATATATTGGACCTTTATAAAATGTAACCTCAAATGTGTATTGTGAAACCTTTATAAATTCATGAATAGAGAAACCTGAGTGAGAAGAGGAAGTAAAAGTATTTGTACACTCCAAATTGCTTAGTATATTTAATATAATTACCGTATAACTCAGACCAGGGATCAGACCCAGGGGTAGATGGCTCAGTGAATCATCTTAGGGTTTATATAAGAAAATAAAGAATAAGAATATACAGCGACATCTCCTGGAAATGAAAAACAATGTGCTTGAAGTGGAGGGTGAAATTTGGGATTATTCATTTTTAAAACATCTGTTTTACAATTTTTACAAAATATCAAAAAATATAATTCTTCCTGAGGAAGAAATAGAGATATGGTTAAGTGGAACATAATTGATTGTAAATAGATAAAATCATATATAAAAGCAATACATCCAGAGGAGGCAGAGCAAGATGGCAGAATAGAAAGCTCCACTGATCATCTCCTCCTACCCCTCCCAACCCCCCCTCACAAAGAAGGACACCAAGTTAACAGGTATCAGCTATCTACACAGAAAAAACACCACTATAAGAATAACAAATCAGGTGAGCACTCATAGAACCGGGTTTTAATGAAGAGATAGAAAAAAATAGTCCTGAATCACCAATGCCATGCCCCTCGCACCCCCAGCACCTTCAGCCTGGTGTGGGGAGCATTTCTGGGCCCTGAGGGAAGAAGAACACAGGAATTGTGATGCATTGAACTCAGTGCTGTTCTGTTAGTGCAAGACAGAAAACCAGACCACTCTTAGCTGACACCCGCCCACAGAGGGAACAGCCTGAGCCAGAAGAAAATCACTGATTCCAGTGCTCTGAACGGCAAACCTCACCGCCACTGGGTGCCAAAGTGCTCTTGGTAAACATGAAAGGCAGTCTAGGCCATGAGGACTGCAACTCTTAGACAAGTCATAGGGCTGACCTAAGCCCAGAGACAGTGACTGGGGGACACGCGACATACTGAGACACCAGCTGGGTGGCTAAGGGAGTGCTGGTATCATCCCTCCCTTACCAAGAAGCTGCACAGCTCACAGCTCCAAAAGAGATCACTTTTTTCCACTTGAGGAGAGAAGGAAGAGTGTAGAAGACTTTGTCTTGCATCTTAGATACCAGTTCAACCATAGCAGGATAGGGCACTGGTCGGAGACATGAGGCCCCCATTCTAGGCCCTAGATCCCAGGTAAAATTTCTATACATACCCTGGGGCAAAAGGGAACCTGCTGCCTTGAAGAAAAGGACCCAGTACTGGCCGGGCGCAGTGGCTCACGCCTGTAATCCCAGCACTTTGTGGGGCTGAGGTGGGAGGATCACGAGGTCAGGAGATCGAGACCATCCTGGCTAACATGGTGAAACCCCATCTCTACTAAAAATACAAAAAATTAGCCGGGCGTGGTGGCAGGCGCCTGTAGTCTGAGCTACTCGGGAGGCTGAGGCAGGAGAATGGAGTGAACCCGGGAGACGGAGCTTGCAGTGAGCCGAGATAGCGCCACTGCACTCCAGCCTGGACGACAGAGCGAGACTCCATCTCAAAAAAAGAAAAGGACCCACTACTGGTACCACTCATCACCTGCTAACTGAAGAGCCCTTGGGCCCTGAATAACCAGCAGTAATGCCAGGTACTACATAGAGGGCCTTGGTGAGCTTCTGAGACTTGCTGGCTTCAGGTGAGACTCAGCACATCAGCTGTGATGGCTACAGTGCTATTTACAGAACATTTTATCGAATGGCTCCAGAATACACATTATTTTCCTCAGCACATGGATCATTCTCAAGAATAGACCAGATGTTATGTCACAAACCGAGTCTTAAAACATACAAAAAATTTAAATAATATCAAGTATCTTTAACCGCAATGTAATAAAACTAGAAATCAATAACAAGAAGAATTTTGGAAACTATACAAATACATGGAAATTAAACAATATGCTCCTGAATGACCAATGGATCAATGAAGAGCATAAGAAAACTGAAAAATGTCTAAAAACCAATGGTAATGAAAACACAACATACCAAAACCTACGGAATACAGCAAAAGCAGTACTAAGCAGGAAGTTTATAGCTGTAAGTGCCTACATCAAAAAAGAGGAAAAACTTCAAATGAAGAATCTAATGATGCATCTTAAATAACTAGAGAACCAAGAGGAAACCAAACCCAAAATTAGTAGAAGAAAAAAAAATAGTAAAGATGAGAGCAGAAATAAATGAAGTTGAAATTTAAAAAAAAATACAAAAATATCAATGAAACAAAAAGATTTTTCTTCTCCTTGAAGGTTTTTGTAATTTTTTCTTCATCTCAGTGTTCCCCAATTTCATAAATTATGCCTTCTTTCTGCTTGGATTCATTGTGCTGGCCATTTGGCAGGTCTTTTCCATCTGGAAATGAAGGTACTTTCAGTTCTGGGAAATTTTCTTTATTTTTAAAATGAATTTTCTTTACAATTCCATTTCTTCTCTTTTCCCAGGGCCATTATTATCAAAATGTGCATCTTATGTAAGGATCCTCTACTTTTCCTTTATTTACTCTACTATTTTACATTTATTTATTTATTTTTCTTTTCTGGAACACATGCTCAAATGTATCATCTGATCCTTCTACTGATTAGTTTTTAAATGATAACTATAGTATTTTTATTTTCAAGAACCTTTTATTCTTCTTTTAATACTTCTTTTTTATACTGTACTGCTCTTATGTCATGAAAACAATGTATTTTTTATTTATTCCTATTAGGATACTAATTAAAGTTCTATTTTTATGATTTCCTTCTGCTTTTTGCATTGATTTTGCTTCCTCTAAGTTTTTTTTTGTTTGTTTGTTTTGGTGTCTGCTATTGTTAAAGTCTTCCTTCAAATACTGGGCAATTCTTGGCTGCCAACTCATATTTAAGAGGCAGATACTAAGATGTGACTTAGAAGCTATATGTTTATGGATAGGAGTTGTCCAATGGTGATATTTTCTCTTGAGAGGATTTATTTTCTAGGGAAACATTTCCTAGGGTTTATTTTCCCTATAAACATTTCCGTAGAAAATAACCCTCTAATCTTCTGCTAGGGGAAACTAAGACTGATTTCCTGAGTTCTAATTGTTTCCCCTACAAACTTGCAATCAATCTTCCTGTCTTCAACTTTTTCCTCCGCCTTTGGAGGAAACTAACATCTCCTATTATTACTATATTTCTGGGCTCCGCAGCATATTTTTGGCTTATTCCTCCTTGACTTTTCCCAGTGTCATTGCGTTGGTTTCAGCCCTTCCAACTCCGCTAAGTGAATTCCTATTTCTTCATGTGCTTTCCAGCTTCCAATAATGTTTACATCCTTCTGGTTTGCTGATGTCTCTCATTTTGTTTGACCTTGTGGATGTATGCAATTTCTATTCACTTGTTTTTATTTCAGTCGAGTCCTGGGAGTAGAAGCTAGCACACATCTTTAAACCGACATGTTTAACTGGACTTCTGATCCATTTTGCATTTCATATTTCAGTAACAAATAAGTGTTATTACTGAGGTTTTTTTAGCTAATAAGTGGAGGAAGGTCATTCTAAGCCTAAGGAACATGAAAAAGAACAGTAAATTATGAAGTAGTATTGGCTGTGCAGCAAGAGGAGCTGCAAATAAATAACCTGCACAGCTTAATTCAAGCATCATCCCTTACAGGAAGTTTTCCCTGATCCCCCGAATCTTGTTGCCTGCAATCCTTGAGACCAAACTAAGTGTTCCCCATCTGTATTCCAAATATACTCTGTGTATATCTCCATTACCATTCCTATTACAATATATTGTTTTAATATTACTATATTAAATGGTGTATCTGTCTCTGCTTCCATTCTCCCTGGAGACCTAAGGATGTTTTATTCATCTTTGTATCCCCAGCATTAAGAAACGTGACTTACTTAAAATAATTTCTGAGTACATGTTTTCCTTTTTAAAATATATAAACTCGCCTGTACTTGCTCACTCTCTCGTTCTATCAGTTGTCCTCCCTCATGGCTATATTTTCAATCTCTCTCTTGATGGGTTCTTTCTATTTCAACTATCCATATGATCAGATTCATTCTCTAAAAAACCACCCATTTATCTACCTCACTTTCTCATCAGGTAACTTTACTATTTCGCTTCATCCTTTATTCCTAAACTTCAGGATTAATAGAACACTCTCACCAACTCTACTTCTCTTCACTTCTCACCTATTTCTCAACCCATTTCACAGAGTGAATCAGTTAGAGTTTAATAAGAGAAGGGTGCCACTAGAAGAGAAACACACACACACACACATACACACACACATATGCACACACACATGCACACAAATGATAAGGGATTTGATCTTATACAGCTGTAGGAACTGGCTAGCATCTGTGTGAAGAAACTCTTAGTTCTGTTTATAGTACAGAAGCCTGAAAGTCAGCAGGGTAGGCAGTTGGGATGGAATGACAGATGTGAAGTGGAGGAAGTGGAGCAAATTGCAATCTGTTAGGGTGTACTGAAACCTACAAGGATAGGCTAAATCTCTCATTAGTCTCTCATTACCTCCAAACCTCCAACTGTGATGAAGGAGTGATCTGGAGGTGAAGATTTTGCCCTTTGTGTCACTAAACAAACATATAACCTAAGAATCAGAAAAGCTGAAGGAGATCCAGCAAGAGGAGGAGTTGCTGTGAGCCTGGCTTCTGCCCCATGCCAAAAAGGTGAGCCAGTAGATAAGCAATAATATTCATATGCTGCAAAAGTTCCTTATGTCTTGCCTTAAACTCCTGAGTGTAAGACAAGATATCTGCTGTTTCTCATCCACATTCCAAATAAACAAAATACTTCCAGAGAGCCACGTTATTCTAGAGCTATACAGAGAAAGGAATTGTAGGAAATAAAATTCCAGTTTAACTATGTTCACACAAAAACCTGCTTTCTGTTCCTCACCTTGCCATTAAAATTGCTGTCACAAAATTATCAATTTCCTTCTATTTGCACAATTCAAAAACCTATTTTCAGTCCATACTATACATAATTATTCCATAATACTTAGTACAATTGATGAATTCCTCTTTTATGAAATTTGCTTGTTATATTATTCAATATTTTCTCTGACCTTTGGGATTATTCCTTCTCCGTCTCCTTCACTGGCTTCTATTCTGCCATTTTATTTGTTTTTACACTCTGTTCTTGCTACGGACTGAATGTTTGTGTTTCCCCTAAATTAACATGCTGAAGTCCTAATCTGCAATGTGTTGGTATTTGGAGATAGGAACTTCAGGAGGTAATTAGGTCATGAAAATGAAGCCCTTATGAATATATTAGTTCCACTGTAAGAAGAGACATGAAGATGTTCTCTCTTTAGGCCATGTGAGGATACAGCAAGAAGGCAACTGTTTGCAAACCAGGAAGAAGGCCCTTGTCTGACACTGAATCTGTCATCACCTGGATCTTGGACTTCCCTGCTTCCAGAACCATGAGAAATTAAGTTATGTTGTTTATGTTATCCAGCCAATGGTATTTTGTTATAGTAACCCAAGAAAACTAAAACAGTTTTTATGTCTCTACTTTTTATGCTTTTTCAATTATTGTACATGGTGTGAGGTAGGAGTCAAGATCCACAATTTTGCAGCAACTCAACATAATTCAACTAGAAACTTAGTCTTTCCCAATGACAGAGTAATCTTTCTCATGAATAAAGAAATTGTATATGTATGCGTCTGTTTCTGGACATTCTTTATTTCCTTTCATCTATTTGCTATCCATGCATTAATACCACACTGTCTTATTTACTCTAGCTTTATAGTATAGTGGGTGGGGGGGGGGGAATGGGAAGTTAGTATTTAATGGAAGTGGAATTTTAGTTTTTGAATATAAAAGAAGTTCTGAGGACAAATGGTGGCAATCATTCCATAACAATGTGAATATACTTAATACCACTGAACTGCATGCTTAAAAATGGTTAGACTGCAATAGCAAAGACATGGAATAAATCTAGGTGTGCATCAAGAGTGGATTAAAGAAATGTGATACATATATACCATGCAATACTATACAGCCATAAAAATATGAACTCATGTCTTTTGCAGCAGCATGGATGCAGCTAAATGCCATCATCCTAAGTGAATTAATGCAGAAACAGAAAACCAAATACCTCATGTTCTCACTTATAAGCAGGAGTTAAATCTTGGGTACACATGGATGTAAAGACAGGAACAATAAACACTGGGAACTACAAAAGGAGGGAGTAAGGCGGCGGGGCGGTGGGAGCAAGGCCTGATAGCCTTCCTACTGGGTACTACATTTACTATCTGGGTGATGGGATTAATAGAAGCCCAAACTTCAGCATCACACAACATCTCATTGTAACAAACCTGCACATGTACCCTTTGAATCTAAAATAAATATTGAAATAAAAAATGGTTAGAATGGTAAATGTTGTTATATATATTTTATCACAAAAAGCCACGGCCGGGTGCTGTGGCTCACGCCTGTAATCCCAGCACTTTGGGAGGCCGAGGCGGGCGGATCACCAGGTCAGGAGATCGAGACCATCCTGGCTAACACGGTGAAACCCCGTCTCTACGAAAAATACAAAAAAAAAAATTGGCCAGGCGAGGTGGTGGGCGCCTGTAGTCCCAGCTACTCGGGAGGCTGAGGCAGGAGAATGGCGTGAACCCGGGAGGCGGAGCTTGCAGTGAGCCGAGATGGCGCCACTGCACTCCAGCCTGGGCGACAGCGAGACTCCGTCTCAACAAAAAAAAAAAAAAAAAGAAAAAGAAAAAAAGAAAGCCACACAATAGCTATGATATTAGCTATCATATCATTCCCTCCTATATCTCTGAGAAATCACTAATGTTGTCCTTTTTCTACAGATTTTCCTGTTTTGAATATTTAATATGAATGGAATTATATACGTGGTCTTTTGTGACTTGTTTCTTTGAGTTAGCATAATGTTTTCAAGGTATTCATGTAGAATGCATCAGTACATCCTTAATTTTTCATGGACAAATTATATTATCATATATGGATGAATACTAGGGATATACCACATTTTGTTTATTCATCAGTTGATGGACATTTGAATTGTTTCTGCTCTTTGGCCATTATAATAATGCTGGTATAAACATTGATGTACAAGTTTTTGTGTAAGTGTATGTTTTTATTTCTCTTAGGTATACACCTAGAAGTGAAATTCATAGGCCGTGTAACACCACAATGAATAACTTGGGGAACTGTTATATCTACTTACCATATCTAAGAATACTTTGCAAACTCTGTGGTGAAAATTTACCCTGTTTTCTTCTATGAGCTCTACAGTTCTAGCTCTTACATTTAGGTGTTTGATTTATTTTGAGTTAACTTTTGTATATGGTGTCAGGTGAGTCTGGCTTTTTTTCTTCTTTTCCATGTCACTATACAGTTATTGCAGCACCATTTGTGGTGAAGAATATACTTTCTAAATTGAATATTATTGACATTTCTCAAAAATCAGTTGTACATTGGAATATGATTTATGATCTGGATTTTCAATCCCTCTATTGATATACATGCTTGTTCTTCTGGCAGTATCACATTACCTTATTAACTGCTAACTTTATGGTAAGTTTTAAAATCAGGAAATGTGAGGACTGCTTTTTCTTCTTTTTCAATATTACTTAGCTATTCTGGGTACCTTGAAATTTCTTATGAGTTTTAGAATCAGCTTGTCAATTTCTAAAATAAAAATCAGCTGAGATTCTAATAGGATTTGCATTGTATCTGCAGATTAACTTGTATAATATTATCATTTAACAATATTAACTCTTCCAATTCATGAACATGTGGGTTTTTTTCCAATTATTTAGATCTTCATTAGTTTCTTTTAACAATGCTTTTTGTAGTTTTCAGAGTATAAATTTTGCACTTATTTGGTTAAATTTATTCCAAAGTATTCTGTTCCTTTTGATAATACTATAAATGAAATAGTTTCTTTTTTTCCTTGGATTGTTCATCACAAATGTGTAGAAATACAATTGATTTTTGTATGTTGCTCTTGTAAACTATAATTTGCTAAACTTGTTTATTAGTTCTATCAGTTTTTTAGTGCATTCCTTGGGATTTTCTATATACAAGCCCTGACATCTTGAGTAGAAATAGTTTAATTCTTCCTTGCTAATCTGAATGCCTCTTTTTTTCTTTTTCTTGCCCAATTGCCCTGGCTAGAACCTCCAGTATGGTGATGAATGGAAGTGGCAAGAATGGGCATCTTTGACTTATTTCAGACATGAGGGAAATGCATCTAGTCTTCCACAGTTAAGTATAATGTTAGCGGTGGGTTTTTGTAGAATATCTTTATCATGATGAGAAAGTTACTTCTATTCCTAGTTCTTGATTTTTTTTATTATAAAAGAATATTAGACTTTGTCACATGCCTTTTCTGCACTTATTGGTATGACTGTGTGATTTTTGTTTTTTATTCTATTGATATGCACTATTATCTTAACTCTTGTGTGGCCCTGCATGGTATTCAGTGTCTTCCTCCCCCAAGCTGTGAGTATATGTTACTAATAAACTGCTATAATTCTCATCTTTTCAATGTTAAGCATCATATATTCAGCCATCGCCATAACCCTATGGTGGGAATTCCTTTCTCGCTATTTGGGTGAATTGGAGATGACTAAACCAATTGGTATCAAGAATAGGATGGCCTAACTTTAACTGATGACACCTGGTCAGCTTTAACTTACTGTTTTGCCTAATTAACTGGTTCCATGATATAGCAAAGGGTGTCTTAGATAGATCCAAAGATTACTGGTGGTCTTCCACATTGGCCTACGTGGTACTGTGTTGTCTTTGTAAGATAATGCCATCTCTTCCCATCCTGAAACTGTCTGGTCCCCACAAAATAATTGTTGTTAATTGACTATAATCCAGTGTGCCATGTCACTGGGTTTGCCCTATATTTTGTAGGTGTGATGGTTGATATTGAGTGTCAACTTAATTGGATTGAAGGATGCAAAATATTGATCCTGGGTGTGTCTGCGAGGGTGTTGCCAAAGGAGATTAAGATTTGAGTCAGTGGGCTGGGAAAGGCAGACCCACCCTTAATCTGTGTGGACACAATCTAATCAGCTACCAGTGAATATAAAGCAGACAGAAAAATGTGAAAAGGCTAGACTGGCCTAGCCTCCCAGCCTACGTCTTTCTCCCATGCTGGATGCTTCCTGCCCTGGAACATTAGACTCCAGGTTCTTCAGTTTTGGGACTTGCACTGGCTCTCCTTGCTCCTCAGATTGCAGATGGCCTATTGTGGGACCTTGTGATCGTGTGAGTTAATAACTCATATATATATATATATATATATATATATGTATATATTATATATATATGTGTATATATATGTATATATTACATATATATGTATATATGTATATATTCATATATATGTATATATATGTATATATTACATATATATGTATATATATGTATATATGTATATATTACATATATATGTATATATTAAACATATATATTATACATATATATCTGACTAATACAGATTTTGGTATCAGGTGTGGTTCTAGAGGAACAGAATATTAAAATGGAGTGGTTTCAATGGTTTTGGGGTTTCTGGAGTTGGCTGCTTAATATGATTATGCCCCAAAATGCTAAGGACTCTCTTCTAATAGTATGGAGAACATTGATAGTCCTTGGCATGAACTGTTTAGAGAGTTATGCAAAATAAATGCATTTGACACTACTGATTCACCGCTCATGAGAGGCAAGGACATTAGTGGCTCCATACATAATATCTTTGACCAAATGTGGAGAACAAAGGCTGACTGGCTAGGGCCACTGCTGAGTGCCCAGTTTTCCAGCAGCAGAGACCAACACTGAGCCCTTGATATGGCACCATTCCTTGGAGTGATCAGCAAGCTACCTGGTGGCAGGTTGATTATATTGGACCTCTTCCATCATGGAAAGGGCAGAGGTTTCTCCTCACTGGAATAGATGCTTACTCCAGATATGGGTTTGCCTATCCTGCATGCAGTGCTTCTGCCAAGACTACCATCTGTGGACTCACGGAATGCCTTATCCACCGTCATGGTATTCCACACAGCATTCCCTGTGACCACAGCACACACTTTATGGCTAAAGAAGTGTGGCAGTAGGCTCATGCTCATGGAATTCACTAGTCTTACCATGTTCCCCATCATCCTGAAGTAGCTGGATTAATAGAACAGTGGAATGGCCTTTGGAAGTCACAATTACAATGCTTACTAAGTGAGAATACTTTGCAGGGCTGGGGCAAAGTCCTCCACAAGGCCATGTATGCTCTGAATCAGCGTCCAATATATGGTACTCTTTCTCCCATAGCCAGGATTCATGGGTCCGGGAATCAAAGGGGGAAAGTGGAAGTAGCACCACTCACCATCACCCCTAGTGATCCACTAGCAAAATTTTTGCTTCCTGTTTCTGCGACATTAGGTTCTGCTGGTCTAGAAGTCTTAGTTCCAGAGGGAGGAATGCTGCCACCAGGAGACATAACAACGATTCCATTAAACTGGAAGTTAAGATTGCCACCTGGAAACTTTGGGCTCCTCCTACGTTTAAGTCAATGGCTAAGAAGGGAGTTACAGTGTTGGCTTGGTGACTGACCCGAATTATCAAGATGAAATCAGTTTATCACTCCACGACAGAGGTAAGGAAGAGTATGCATGGAATACAAGAGATACATTAGGGCATCTCTTAGTATTACCATGCCCTGTGATTAAGGTCAATGGGAAACTACAATGGCAGGACTACAAATGGCCCAGACCCTTCTGAAATGAAAGTTTGGGTCACTCCACCAGGAAAAAAAACACAACCTGCTGAGGTGCTTGCTGAAGGCAAAGGGAATACAAAATGAATAGTAGAAGAAGATAGTCATCAATACTAGCTACGACCACGTGACCAGCTGCAGAAACAAGTACTGTAATTGTCATGAGTATTTCCTCCTTTATTTGTTAAAAATATGTTTGTGCATGTATACACTTGTACTAAGAAAATATCTTCATTTTGTTTTCTTTTTCCTTTATCATGTGACATAAGATTTATTGACTTTATATCAGCATTTAAGTATTAACTTTATGTAATAGTATTTAGGTTGGAGATTGGTGTGTTTCCAGTTGTACAAAGGATAGTTGTATTATGTTAGGTGCAATTATGACCTTATTATTTTCTTTATTTGAAGATTATGTATAATTTCAGGAGATGTATATGGGTTCAAGTTAACAAGGGGTGGACTTGTGATGGTTAGTACTGAGTGTCTACTTGATTGGATTGAAAAAGGCAAAGTATTGATCCTGGGTGTGTCTGTGAGGGTGCTGCCACAGGAGATTAACATTTGTGTCAGTGGGCTGGGAAAGGCAGACCCACCCTTAATCTGGGTGGGAACCATCTGATCAGCTGTCAGTGAATATAAAACAGACAAAAAAGATGTAAAAAGGCTAGACTGGCCTAGCCTTCCAGCCTACATCTTTCCCCCGTGCTGGATGCTTCCTGTCTTTGAACGTTGGACTCCAAGTTCTTCAGTTTTGGGACTTGGACTGGCCCTCCTTGCTCCTCAACTTGCAGACGGCCTACTGTGGGACCTTGTGATCATGTGAGTTAATACTTAATAAACTCCCATATACATATATATGTACATATATATGTACATATATATGTATATATATGGGATATATATATATGATTGATAGATAGATAGATGATAGATAGATAGATAGATAGATAGATAGATAGATAGATAGATCCTAGTAGTTCTGTCCTTCTAGAGAACCCTGACTAATAAGTAGGTGATATCTGAGGCTCCTGCCTACAAAGCTGGTGACCACACATGCCATAATTGGTCACTACTTGAATCCTGCTTAACTAGGGTTGTGCTAGAGATTTCTGGTCACTATATCTAGCCTGGTGACTGTCATTTCCTGATTTTGGAAGACATACAAGTATTATTTTGTGATTTTTCCATCCCCTGGATAGATGGTCCTGGGAAAGGGATTTTGTGAAGTTTGCAGAAAGAAAAGGGACTACTATCCCAGGAATAATTAAGCATGAATCCCACGTTGCCTAATAGTCATTGCTGTTCATGTGAAGGTAGCCCTCTTGCCTGTCTCCTGTGATGCTGCTTCTCTTGCTGCTGTCACACGCATTCTCCTTATCCTCAAAGGTATTTAGATGCACATACATGGTGGCCCATGGTCCAGAAACTGCTGAGATAAGAAAGGGAAAAGGAGTACATGGTTTTTACTAAACTGCTCCCCCAATGCCAAAACCCTGGCCAATATGCCTGAGGTTTTCTTAGCACTACGGTTTGCTAGTATGCAAGATGTTAATCTTTTAATCATGGAAGTTGATGTCTCTACCTAGGCCATAGACAAAATTAACTTACTGGATATGGACCCCGACCCTGGAAGCTAGTACTTCCTGGAGGAAGATGTGGCCATCTATGATGCATGCAACTAAGCACCCATATCTTTCCACCTAACCACCCAAAAAGTCCACCACATGGATGACTGGACAGAAGCAGAAATTGAAAGCCACAGGATTATTTATCTAGAAATGCAAAAATATTCTGAAGAAATTTGTATAGACAAAAAAAAAAGAAGGAAATAGAGAAAACAGGAGGCCCACATGCTGTAGCCAGAGGATATATTCAATCTGAAGACTTCTGGATTTTGGATACAGCACTCTTCTGTTGTGCTCCTTTGCTTTCTAGTCTTCTGCTGCAACAAAGATCCTGATCCTCAGGGCTATAGAGAAAACACCCATGGCACCCCTGTGGCACAGTGAAAAGGTAAATTCAATCCAGATTTAAACTCAGTTTCGTTAATCTCTAAAACACAATTATTACCATGAGGGTGGCCTATGACCCTGATGATACTGATTTGAGGCCCTCTCGAGGGAGACATTTTTTTTTTTTTGAGACAGAGTCTCGCTTTGGAGGGAGACGTTTTTAAATGTAAGCAAAGAAGAAAGGAATCTACCCCCAGCCAAGTATATACAGTGACTGATAAGGAAGGAAGGAAGGAAGGAAGGAAGGAAGGAAGGAAGGAAGGAAGGGAGAGAGGGAGGGAGGGAGGGAGGGAGGGAGGGAGGAAGGGAGGGAGGAAGAAACCTGGACACAGTGGGAGGAAACAAACAAAATCTGAAATAAAGGTCCACAATTTTACCCAACCAGCAATTCACAATTTACTAAAATAATTTATACATCAAAAAGATAAAGGACACTGAATGGCTTTTACATCTTTACAACATAAGTTCTGAATTAACTTTATTATCTGGTGAAATACACCTTTTGGCAAACCTTCATAGCTTTAATACTGGGGCTTAAATTATGCTATGCCTGAAGATGCCATTAAATTAAAACATGGTGTCACCTATTATCTTAAGGGTGTTACTGAATATAAAATAGAGAGCAACTAGTTATATCTCAGAATGATTAATCTTAATCATCAGAATGATTGACTTGCCCAAATTCTCCATGCTGATAGCACCCATTGCCCTGAAACAATCCCACAATTGGCATGAATGCTCTAACTCAATGAGTAACAAATTAAAATCAAATTAAATATTTAGCAATGTAAAACAAAAAGTGTCTGAGACAGGTCTCAATCAATTTAGAGATTTATTTTTGCTAGGTTGAGGAGGTGCCTAGGAAAAAGAGACAAAAGTCACAGTAGGATTTGCGGCCATCACATTTTCCAAAGAGGGTTTTGAGGGCTTCAATATTTAAGGGGAAAAGGGCAGGCAGGAGGGGAAGGGGGAAAGAAAAAAAATGGTAGGCAGTGAGATAAGTAGTCACATTCTTGTGAGGCTTTGATTAGCGCTGACTGAATCCACGTGTTACATATGAATGGAGGAACAGTCAGTTATGCATTCGTCTTGGGCTCAGTAAATCTGCATTTATTTCAAGGTGAGCAGAGGGATGATTTCTAGTCTTGTCTTTGTCCCATAGCTGTGAAGATAAGCTGTTAATTTACATTTTCAGGGAGAGGGGGGCCACCTGAAGAGATACGTGGCCTTCTGTCTTGCAGCTATCTGTTTAGTAACAAGAGGAAGGGCAATGTTTTGCATGACTCAGTTTCCAAGATTAACTTTTCCCTTTGGCATAGTAAGTTTGGGGTCCTGAGATTTTCTTTTCTTTTCATAGCACTTACAAATTGGATTGACAAAATTGGCCCAAATTGACACTTGCAGCTCAGTTAAAATAGTTAATATGGCTCACAGTACATTTAAAAATGGCTTTTAAGAATTGAAACCTATTCTACGAGACTTAATTAGTGAAAGGGTGATTATCGTCACTGCTTCTCCATTTAACATCGAATTCTGGAAAGAATGAATGACACCTCATTGTAGATTAGTGCGACCGAATTCTACAAGCACATCTATTAAGACCCCCATATACAATATTATTGAAATTACTGACTCCATCCATTAAATTCCTAAAAATTATTCAGTTAACCAAGGGCTGCTTCATTCCTGGCACCACCAAGGAACAGCTATTGATCCTCTCAGCACCCATCATGTTAATACAAGCAAAGTATTTTTATGCCTTTCTGGGATTTAGAGGCAATGTATTCCTCATTTATAAATTTTACTTAAACTCGCTTATGCTGTTACTTGCAAATCATTCCAACAAAGGCTTTACAGTTTGTTCAAATTGCAATATAACAGGCACTTTCATTAGGCCCTCAAGAATGCCTTCATTATAGAGGCTTTAGCAATCCCCTCTCGTTCCTCATGAGTTGCCCCAGGGCTTCTGATGCAAGAAACTACTCTCTTAAGCCCTGTACTACACGCCATTACAGAAGCAATTATTAGTCACATAATTTGCTGTCCTGGAAACAGAGGCTTTCACAGACCCTGAGCCTGTGACCCTCTGTATTTAGCTGTCCACTATGTCTTGGGTAATGGAGGCAGCATCTTGCAAGCTTGGCATGGCTATCGAGGCCTCCTTGCTACTACAAGATGGAGCCAAACCTAGGCCCTCTGGCATACCTACCAGCAAGGGAGTAGGCTTCCATGTCTTCAGTCCCTTGCCATGGTGTTGGAGGAAGTCACTCCCTTCCAGATTTCTTGGCTACCTGAGAAGACTCTTTGGAGCAACTTAGTAAACAGCAATGGGATTTCATGGAGTTTACAGATGACATGGCCACCACTATATATGATGGAGCTCAGTGGAGAATTGCTGATTTTCATGTTTTAACTAGGATGTCCCTGATAAAAGAATGGGATATATGGGTTAGCACATTTGATTGTACTTCAGGCAGTCATTATCACTAGATGCCCCAGCCAACAATTAGATCATTTTTACAAACTCTTGGGCCATTGCCTAGGAGTTGCCCTCCATCGCGAGTTGAATTGTGTCCTCCAGAAAAGCTACGTTGATGTCCTAACGCCTCATATTTCAGAATATGACTGTATTTGTAAATAAGATCATTGCAGATGTAATTAGTTAAGATAAGGTCACAGAGAAGGGTGGGCTCCAAATCCAATATGACTGGTTTCTTTACAAGAAGACAGTCATGTGAAGACACAGAGACACAGGGAGAATGCTATATGAAGATGAGAACAGAGATTGAAGTTATGGTGCTACAAGTCAAGGAATGCCTTCCAAGCTACCAGACCTGCAAGAGGCAAGGAAGGATCCTCCCCTGGAAGCGTCAGAGAGAGCAAGGCCCAGCCAACACCATAATTTCAGACTTCTGTCCTACAGAATTGCGAGACAATTAATCTCTGTTGTGTTAAGCCACCCAGTTTGTGGTGTTTGTGACAGTCCTAGTAAAAAATATATATATCTTGTTTGGACTAAAATCTCTGGAAATTTCCTACCTCACAGATACTCAAAAATATAAATCAAGGTAACAGATTTGTCTATAAACACTAAGGCCTGGCCTTAGCTTAGGTGGCAAGTAGATGGCAGTGAGGAGATGACATACTAGGTGGCCACATGGGCACCTGCCCACAATCTATAGGGCACCAACCACCCTCCTCCACATGCATGGCTCTGGGTACTTCTGGGAAGCTGCCAGTCTGGGCACAGCCTCCTTCTGGGCTATGAGAGTCCACAGCTTTTCCATATGCTGTGGCAATAAGAACCCGCTCAAGAAATTTGCCTCTGGAAAAAATAAATTGGTATAAAGATCCTTCCTAGGGATCTCACTTTATTTACAAACTATCCAATTCCTAATGAGGAATGTCTCAAAGAAAATGGAGAAGGAAGACCACATGCATCTACGGACTCTGAATGGCCTTGTTTATAAAGCATTGACAGATTTGCTGTGCACAAGTGAAGTGGGCAAATAGATCTATGACCTGAACCTGAAGTTTTCCAAGACTTCCCAGCATGGCATGTATATTGGAAGACAAGTCTTTCTGCTGAACAGAAGGTGCACACAGAATCCATATTATAGGAACGCACTGCACATATGAGGCATCTTTTAATGTCCCAGCAGATCTTAAGGGATGTGCCACCTATATTGTTTGTGCAAGGCAAAGAAAATGCAGCTCTAGCAGTGATAGATTGGTTACCAGTAATTGCCAATTTGGGAACTCCAGATTAAAAAGAAGACTATACAAAATGAGTTCAGGAAATATAAGGGTCTGTTTAGAGACTGGGCAGTCAATCATGGTCTGATGCCATGGAACGTGCCTTGCTCTCAAGTCTATGTAGAGTCAATCAGGAGGCACTCAACAAGCAAATAGTGAAATGCAAAAGAAAAAAAGGAAGCTTGAGCCCAGTGTGGCTGAAACAAGTACAGAAAGAGTTAGCTGAGTTAATGAAGCAAATGAAAAAAAAAAAAGGAAGGAAGAAAGCAAAGCTCTTCATAGATGGCGATATCTCCCCCAAGAATTTCCTGTGGGTTAGAATAAATGAATATAACCCAGACGATGGTGGTGCTTTTTTTTTTGAGGAGCCCTCACTGGAATATGAATATGAGCTACAAGAAGCAGAAGAGGGCTTGGAGGCAGAAAGAGAGGGTGACTAAAAGGGATAAAGTTCACCTGTTACAGAGCACAAAGGAAGTAAGTTTGTGAGGGATTAGCTCTGCGAATTAACTTTTGTGGGGGGTGAAGTGACACACACCAACAGCTGTATCAGAAGCACAGCCACAGAATCCATACTACGTACTATGTTTACACGTAATTTGAAGTCTGCTTTGAAAATAAAAATAAAATAGAAAGCATCTGTATAAGATGGTATAAAATGTGTCTCACTTTGTCTTTTTAGCATATGTGAAGGGTAAAAGGAAGAGTACTGCTAAAAAGACAAAGTGAGACACATTTTATAAAATTAAAACTCCTGAGTGGTGTTGTCTGCAGTTCTGCCAATTAGATGTTCTGTTGTTTTTAATGAAGTTAAACATGGTTTACTTCATTTTTTTCCGACGCAGAATAGAAACTGAAAAACATGGTTTACTTCAGATGAAAGAGCCGTAAAGTTATTATTGTTTCCTCTCAAAACAGAAAGAATTGTTAAAAGCAGAAAAAGAGTCATCAAAATCCTCTGGAGTATTATTTAAATCAGTAAAAATTGTGGTGCAACCTACATAACTGAATTTAGAAAAACAGCTCAATAAATTATGGCATATCAGTACTTTAAGCTACTAAACATGCATTCAAAACTTGTAGAAACACCAAACATTATTCAAGATATATTAAAAATGAAGAGAGAATATGTAATTATCTATTCAGTGTAATTGCAGCTATATAGAAATACCTATAATTTGTGAAATGTGCAATAATAAAAAGTATTGTTTTATGTTAGTATTATATGTGAATTCAAAATACTTGACATTTTCTTCAATGTAATATCTTTAAAATAAAATGGTGATTACTAGCAAATTGGAAATACATAATTAAAATAATCGTTATAGCCTGAATTACTATTTAAATTCAGATACTACAGAATAGTGCCTCCCTAATAATTTCCACTAAAAATGATAGTACATAGAATTTTATCAATGAAACATGTTCTGTTAGTAGAGAGATCATCATAGGAAAAGTATTGTTGGTATCAAATATCACTATCCTGTACATCAAAATATTTTTTTAAAAAACAAATGAAGTAACTTATTGTCTCCCTAATGAAATTCTGGAAATTCATATTCCCTGACACAATGTTTATTCCTAGAAAATGTGATTAGAAACAACATAGAATTATCTTCAATAACCAAAATATTGCAGGGGGAAGGAGATGATAGTACCGAATCTCTTCTTTTTATATATATTTGTGAACTAGCAGGGAATTAAAATGCAAAAGCATAAGAGATGGCTTTATTTTTCATTAGAAAAAAATAAAATTGCATCTAAGAAATACATAGCTAGGAAGTGAATAGCAAGGAATTTAGTATGGTACTCAGAATGCTCTGCAGTTAAAAGACTTGACCATTTTTTATTTCACTTAGTGAAATCTGTGAGTTTCAACCCAAATCAAATTTGAGATCAAATTTTAAGTCACCTGTACTTAAGGATTTCCCTCTGAAATAGCCACCTTTCTAACTCCAGAAGTTGCCTATTGCTACTCTTGTCCCATAAATTATATTGATTGAGTGATGTGTCAGAAAGGACAGGGCTACAGTTCCAAGTACGTGGTACACAGAGATCAGCCAACCATTTATGAATGTTAAACAGTCAATCAATATTCTTGATTCTGGTGAGGTTCATAAATTTGTACTTTCAAAAAATAATAAGCCACTGTGCATTATTTTCTCATACAGAAGTCTCTATCATTACTTTCCAAAAGTCTCTACACCACTCCTGATTATCTTCTTTGCTTAGGAAAAGTGCAGAAAAGTGTTCTTTCTTATGTTCCTTAGACAAAGTGGCCATTTCTCTTTTCATGGCTTATTTCTAGAACTTATAAAAACTTTCAGTGGATGATGTCAAGGTATTCTCAGCTGATTCTCTCATACATCTAGTATTTCATTTCTCTGATCATAGCAAGTAGTCTCCAAGGTGAGAAAAAAATGCTTTCTTGGTATTTTTGTAATTTTCAGTTACCCGCTCTCCTTCAAACTACATTCCTTTGCTTTTAATGAAGCTTTTTAAAAAATAAAGACAGGATCTTTCTCTGTTGCCCAAGCTGGAATCCGATGGTGCAATCACAGCTCACTATAACATCAAACTCCTGGCTCAAGCGATCCTCCCACCTCAGCTTCCTGAGTTACAAAGACTGTGGGTGCGCCCCACCATGCCCAGCTATTTTTTTTTTTATTTTTGTAGTGAAAGGGTCTTGAACTCCTGACTTCAAGGGATCGTCCCGCCTCGACCTCCCAAAGCACTAAAATTACAGGCATGAGCCACCGTGCTCGGCATTAATGAAACAACACCAAAAAAAAAAAGCTATCACCTCACCTCATCAAGAGGTTTTTAAATAATTCAAAAGTAAATATCCCAATATTATTCCAATCATAGTACTTAGGGCATGGTGTACAATAAATGTCGGTGAAATTAGTAAAATACACCTGCTATCCTTTTCCACCTCACTCTCACCTGAATCCTCATAATATAACACAGTTTTTCATATATTTTTATGATATTGATAATACTTTGTTCTGCTTTATACTAATTTTCTGTTTTCATACTATCTCTCATTAAGGCATCTGAATATAATAGAGAGGGCATAGGGTTAAGATTTAGACAGGCAGATGACATTCGGATTCCACCACTTAGTCCCTGTGTGACTTTAAATAAGCTCTTTCATCTCTCTGAGCCTCAATTTCATCATGTATAAAATGGAGATAGTTATACTTATCTGATAAAATTCTAAGAATTAAATGAGATGAGCATGCAAGTTGGTCAATAAATGTTTCTTAGTATCTTATCTATCACAAATTAGACTATGAGAGTTTTGTCCATTGTATCATTTTTTAACGTGTTTTTTTTTTAACTCTTCCTCTCCTCTTAACCAGTAACTTAACACAAGGCATATGTTTAACTAATGCTTACTGAATAAAGGAATTCTATGTAGGTATATCTGTCTTAAAGACAAGAATGCCGTCATAATATGAATATTTTCATATTAGTTAACAATTATTGATTTATTTCTATGTGCTAGTTCCTGTAGCAAATGATTAGATGCTCTATTTTATATGTTGTGGTCTCCTACAGCAACTTCCTACGATATTCAGAAACCAAGCATTTTATTTATTTAACAAAATCTATGAATGTTATTACTTGAAATTGATATAAAGTGAAATATTTTTATCACAATGCTTGAAGAAATGTGGTATTTGGTCAGGTAAAGGTCATTTAACAATTTATGACTACAGTTGGATGGTGCAAATGATCTCGTATCAAAATATACCAAATGCCCTCACACTCCCCTATTAAAGTATAGGTATAAATAAGGTTCTTTCCTCTCAATTTCTTCTTGTTCTGTATTCTAGATTACTGCCCCCAACTCCTCACCCTAAGCTGAGTAAAAAGAAAGTATTTCATAAATAACTATATTTAGAAATTCCTAAAACCTGTTTTATGAAATTCTATGTCAAACTTTGATATCCTTCTTTTCTATTTTAAGTGTAATGGATTGTATTAAAGCAAACAAACAAAAGAAAATACCAATATTGTTAAGCAATTCAGATATCTGCCTCACAGGGCTCTTGCAAACTTCATGGTTGACAACTGCAGGCAAAATAAAGGCTATGTCTACATCTAACCACATGATACTGTGTGCATTAATCATAAGCATCATGTTTTTGCTAGTTCCGTTTTCCTTGGCATCTTAAATATTTAATATCATGCTTCATCAAGAAGGAAGGGGCATTTAAGTGATATTTGTTTACTAGGTTTTGGGAATTTGTGTTTTTATTTTTTGTTTCCAAATTGTTTGTTTTGATAGATTTAATTTTAACTGTGTCTCTTAGGGCCATGTGTTACAAGCTAAAATAAGATTGAACTCTTTTAACCTAACTCCTGAATTTTTTTCCCATTCAAATGAATTAGACTGCTGGCAGGACAGAATTTCTAAAATAGTAATAATGATAATAGTAATAACAGTGATCGCTTATTGAGAACATATTATATCTCAGGCACAGTTCTGAGTGCTTTGCATGGGTTATTTTATTTAATTACCTCACATAAATCCTGTGAGGTAGGTAATATTGTTATCCCCCCATTTTACAAATGGAAAATACAACACAAGGAAGTTCAGCAACTTGCCCAGTGTCGGAGCTAGCAAAGGGTAGAGGTAAACGTTAAATATCAGGCAGTCTTTCTCCAGAGATACTACAGCACCAGTTTCACACTAGTGTTGAAAAGAATTCAGGATCCTAGTTAGGAAAATGCCAGATAACCTATCTTATAATAGTATCTTATAGTAGTACTTTATAGTACTGAAACGTTGTTTTGCACTAATCTCAGTAACACTAGACTGTGAGCTCCTCAAAAGCAAAGAGCATTTCTTATTAATCTGAGTCCACAGCTTTAAGATGCTTGCCGCATAAAGACTGCTGAATCAATACCACACAAGGCAATCAAACAATAAACAAATGCAGTGTTGAAAATGCCATTTTCATAGGGAAAATCAGTCAGAAGACGCCCTAATTTGGTATAACTATTTTCATGAAGATAACTTGATTGCAGAGCAATGAACAGTGTTCCTTCAAAGATGATTCACAATATAATTCTGGTATTACAAAGGAAGTTTACAGACCTGTGGCCTCCCTGGAGTTGGATACTCATGGCGAATTTCCAAGAAATTGAAAGCGAAAAAGCAACTGTGAGGGCTTAACATTTTGAAGACTAAAACAGATGAAATTTGGTGGTGTAGCAACATACTGATCCAAAGCAACAAGCAAATTTATTTATTCATGTATTCATTCAAGAAACGTATGTTGAGTGCCCACTGTATGCAAGATACAGTTCTGGGTGCAAAGGACACAGTGTGAATAAGAAAGACAAGGTTCCTACCTCGTTGTACTTATATCTAGAAGAAGCCAAACAGTATACAAATATACAAGCACATATATGGTATAATGTCATATACTGGTAAAAATTAATAAGAAATTAAAATATGCCAGTTGGAAAGAGAGTGACTATGGGTGCCCAACTTTACAGAAGGATGATAGGTAGCATCCACATTAAAACTTGAAAGTACAATGTCTAAATACCCTGAGGCAGGAAAGAGTTTATCCTTTTCAAGTAGCAGAAAGCAGGCAGGGGTGGCTCTAGCAAAGTAAATGAGTGCAAGACAGGAATAACATGAGGCCAGAGAGGCAGGAAGGTTCTATAAGTTTACAACTTACAGAATCTTGTAAACCATGGTAAAGATTTAAGATTTAATTCTAATGATAGCAAGGATCCATTGGTGGATTTCAATCAGGAAAGTGATAGTATCATTTCAGAACTTAATAGAATTTTCAATTTTATTGACAGATAACATTTAAATTTAAAATTTAGCATCTCCCTGAAACAAATCCAAGCTTGTTGCCCATTGTATATTTTTGAAAAGGTTTTTCAGAGCTCTAGAAAGAGCTATATAGAAGCGTCTATGGTACCTTCAGAAAAAAATCATTAAATATAATTTATTGGTATGCACCGAGTATTGTAGGGATGTGATTAAAGGCAGCAAACTTGATCAAATAAAATAAGACCTGCCACGAACCGTCATCCAAGCCTTGAACCAAGCATTTTTAAAAAGTGTGGTTTATATAAGCTTGTTCACCTCAACAACATGATCATTTTTCTTTTTTGTGTTTTTGTCATTTCCGCAAATCATGAGAAATATATTTATTTCTTGTTCAACCTAAAAATAAAACTTTAGGCCACACAGTGTTACAGTTAAAGGAAAAAAGAGGCAAATGTGTTTTATTTAAAAATTTAGTTGTAAGGACAAAATCAAAATGCAGGATAGAAGAATGGCATAAATTAGTCAAAAATGGTCTTAGTTCAAACAGCACCTACTCAGAGTGACCTTTCTAAAATTTCTTCTCACCTCCTGGCATAGCTATACTTGTTCACATTATTCGACTCTCTACTTCACTTTTTAGATTTCATTTATCACTAAGTATTACTAGTTTACTGTCTCACTCCCCACAACCCTATAATATAAATCTCATTAAAACTGTATTCATCTGTATACCAATCTATTCCCAGTTTCTAGCGTAGTACCTAGTTCTTAGTGGGGGCTCATTAAATATTTGATATATGTTGATCATTCTATATACAAATATTTATTAAGCACCTATTAATATATAGTATAAAGTTGTGTGAATACTCAAAGAAAAATAAAACATGGTTCTGACACTCCAAGTACTTATCCTCCAAGTATCTATAATGAGGTATGCATGTAAAACATCTCAGAGCATGTTCAGTACCTAAACCAGGAGCTCAGCTTACAACCAGAAAAATGGGGGAAAAGAATGAATAACTATAGCTATAATTGTAAGAGCCCTCTACTTTACTGCAGGATATATCATTGTTACTTGAAATTCTCCTTATCTAAAAGTGCAGAGATCTTCACACCCTCTAAGAGTCAGTGGTAAGGGTTGATCCTTTAAAGCAGGCATGAGAGATACATAAATATTTTCTTATCAGCATATTATAACAAAGTACACTTGTTAAGGATCCTTATTGCAGGTTTTTCTGCCAAGAGTTTGGAGAAATAGGAGGCCAATTTTCAGATAATTTAGATAAAAGTAGATCAGGGGTCTAAATTGTTAGAATTAATTCACTAATGCTATTTTGGGACTTAGTAGCACTGATTAAAGTCTCGCATATTCTACCACTTGTCTGAACTTAGGAAAGACATAAATTATTATTGAAATTATCACACTGATATCCATCTCCTGGGTACTGTGGATAAAACAGCCACTAACGCAAAAATATACTGATAAAACATTTCTGTCAATTTTACCTGTTTTTGCAAAGAACCTTTGGCCTTAAGGTTTTCTTGATGCTGTAATGGTAACCAAACACATGACAATTTTTTTAATGCAGATTTCATTTTCAGTATCTAGATTCACACTATTTGGCTTATTTTATCTCCCACCTATAATCCACAACCTATTCGACAATCTGCCAGAAAATCAATTAAGGTGGTTCATCAGTATTTCAGACAACATCTTCTATCTTAGCAAAGATTGACCATTTTCATTACAAAATACACATCTGTGTCAAACCATGGAGAATGATGCCTCAGTACACTTACAGCCATAAAGAGAAAAGCATGGAATATTTTAATATTCAGCCTCCTTACAAGAAGGCTGAAATACTCTCTGCTTCAAAGGTAATCATGTGATAAATTCTAAAATTAATCGAAAACAGAATTGGTTTAAAATAATTCTCTTTAAATAAGGCACATATTCTTCCTTGCAGTTTTACATTTCATTTTCCTTATCCCAAAATGTGCAATCTCTGTCTGGTGGTCATGCAGCCAGCCTGGATGGGCATTGCTAAAGTTGTGTGCCAAAGTGCGGGAGAGCTTTGCAGCACTGGGAGCTGACAGACCATTAGGCAGATTGGGACTCTGTGCAGCTGTCTGGGTGGTGCTGGAATTGCTGCACTCTTTGTCACAGGATTATGTTGCCAGAGGGACTGCAAACATGCTCTTTAAACACCTTTATTTCCTTTGATGTGAATTTGATCTGAGGGAATTCAGATTTTTGAGAATAGTCTCATCTGGAAAAAATAAAACACTTTCAAATGCCTGTATTCTAATATTTTTATGCTATCATGAGCAACTCAAGTTTTCCTCATGGTCACATATGATTATGTGCTAGGTTCCTTTTTAAAGGATCATTTGAATCCTTATGTTCAAGTCTTTTGCACCCTCAATCTTCTTTATTAGCCGAGCATTCTGCATGTATATTATGCACTTTGACCTTTTGAATTCTGTTTGTGCCTGTTTTCACTTGATCAGGTTCTTGAACACTGAGTATCAAAAAGAGTATTCAAAAATCAATCTCCAGATCGAATTTTGTAGGGGTAACACTTAACTTCCTATCTGTTTTGATTACTATTAGTGGTTATTAATTGACTGTTTTTAAATTTTAATTACATGCTCTCTATTTGTTTAATACCTGTATTCTAAATTGACAAATCAAGAGTTACTGTTATTATCTTCATTTTTATAATTAACCTGTTAAATGTATAACACATAACTTACATCATCTCTGTGGGAGTTTTAGTCATTTGGATGATAATTTCTATTCCACGGAAACACTGCCGGCGAAGTTTGAAGAATAATTTACTACATTGTTCCTAATAAAAACATAACTTTCTGTTTCTATCTCTAAGTGAAGTGACATGATATACTGTATAAGGATGTGTATATGTCCATACCATCCATATGCACGTACATAGCCTGCATTTCATGGATCATAATAAAAGTTAAAAGTGAATACATGTTAAATAATCAGAGGTGTCATAAATATTCACTGTGCAGGATTTCCTCAATAGGCTGTCAGCCTGCTGTAGATTACTCTGCAGACACAGCGTAACCTTACTTAAACATGGGTCTCTTGAGAGCAATAGAGACACACTGAAAAGTAGGAGGAGATGACATTAATACAAAATGCAAAGACATTTCTGCATTTTGCATCAGTGAATTTCGTGATCATCTTTTTTTCATCTTGTAAACATTTGGGATGAGCCATTTTTTTCATATTTCCCTCACTAAAACTTACCTAGATTTTAAAAGTCAATAAGAAGAATACCAAAATTCTAATGCCTACTTTTAATGAAGTCTCATTCCAATAAAATTTAAAGTAGTTCCATAGCATTTCAAATTCTAGTCACCAATATATGTGGTGGATTTAAAACTGTAAAACTAGATGCAAATCGAAAGAGAGACCATAAAGGATTTAAACAAGATCCTAATGGGCTCTGCATTTGCACCTTATAAATGGCCAGCCTTATGGCTGTAAAGAAATGATCAGCACAGTGCTTCACAGGACAGTGAAATACCACATTTCTTGAATCTATATATTTTTTGTACCTATGTTTAAAATTGAACTCAAATATTTGATTTTTTGTTTGACTTTAGGGTATTTCAGTGACAAAGAGTTGTTTTTCCTCTCTCTGACTCTAAATTTGATTAACTCTAAAATATAAACAGCAGTCTCCATGCAATCTCTTCCATTCCATTTTCAATGCTGTTTTTATTTTTCCTTTATCACAGCATGAATTTAGAGCCAGATGAAAAAGTCATTTCAAGAATCTGAATGGCAGCATTACATGAGAATTCCTTTCGTTGGCCTTGTGCATCAGAGTGTGCTTTGTTTCCTGGGTATTTTGGTTAAAAGCAGTCCGGGGATTAAAACTTCTCATTTATGAATCTCTGGTGGACTTAAAATACCTAGTGTAAGAATATGTTGCCAGAAATACCCCCACCAAAGTCTTTTTTGCAAAGGTTCCCTTACAAAGAAGTGGAGAAAAATCACCACCTCACATCTCTGTTTTGTTAGCCAGAAGCATAGACAGGGAAAATAATATTCTGCTGCTCACATATTCCTAACCTCAGCCACGCCGCTTTTCAATCTGAGAAGCTTCCAATTTAAACATTTTCTAATTATGCTACAGGAGGTATAAAACGTGTTTTAAAAATTAAGGCAGGTGGGCCTGGTGGCTCACGCCTGTGATCTCAGCACTTTGGGGAGCCGAGATCGGTGGACCACTTGAGGTCAAGAGTTCGAGACCAGCCTGGTCAACACAGTGAAACCCTGTCTCCACTAAAAACACAAATAATTAGCTGGAGGTGGTGGCAGCACCTGTAATCCCTTCTACTTGGGAGGCTGAGGCAGGAGAATTGCTTGAACCTGGGAGGCAGAGGTTGCAGTGAGCTGAGATCATGCCATTGCACTCCAGTCTGGGTGACAAGAGCGAAACCCCGTCTCAAAAAAAAAAGAAAAATAATTAAGGCCGGGATGTGGGTCATAAAATTATGCATTTGGTAGAATACCTCTGTTTTCCAAAAACTGTCACTAATCACTAATTTTAGAGATATGACTGGAGTCCTTGAGGTAAGCAGGGAAGATCAAGCAGCTCAAGACAGATGTGAGAACAAGCCCATTTTCCCACACAAAAGTTGGGAAATCAATTAATAAAAGATTTGTCATAAGAACAAGTGTTTATTCTACATTTCCAGACTAAAATGTTTGTATTAAACATGGGGACATATTTCTGCCATAATGCACATACTCTTTAAATGCTGAGTATCCACACATATTACAGCAAAAGCTATTACCATTATGTTTTTGTTGTTCTTGTTACCATTCTCCAAGATAATAGATTCCAGGAATTCTAATTAAACTGGCCATATTATGTAGATTGGTTCTAAAAATTATTTCAACAACATTGTAAACTGATTTTCACCATAATGTGTCCAATACAGCAATACATTGGTACTTACTAAAGTATCTGAAGAGCATGCTCTTAAACACATGTATGTTGTCTTCTTCTACCTCTGTGTCTCTCCGTCTGTCTTTTAGTGCTTACTCTTGAATATTTGACTATTTATGAAATATCAATTTAGGATTCAACAGAAACGGGAGAAACTTTGGGTGACCATATACTCCTAAGGCTGGAAAAGAACCATACAGATTATGCAATTTGTTCCAATCTAGTAAGAGAAAGCAAATTGTGCTTGGAAAAGACCTTCACTTTCACAGAACAATGAATTGTCTAGCATAAAGGAAAGATTGTCAGCCTCTGTTTATTTTTGTTAAAGATGGTACAGAATTTCATAAATTCTTGAATTAGTTTTTGTAAGCAATTTTTTTCAGTGTTTCAGTATTTTTACTAAATAATAATGAGAGGACTTTCATATAGGAATATTGTGCCACTGCTGCACTATCCATCGGAAGTACCTTTGCATGGTGTTTTGAGTTTAGTGGAAAGAACATGCACTGTGGTGTGCAAATTGCCATCCTGCTAATGAACAATATAACCTTGGAAAGTTATTCTTACTTCTCTGAAACTCATTTTGAACATCTGTTAACATGGGCTGTCTCATAGGGTTTCTTTGTGAGGAATAAGTGAAGTAATATATGCAAAGCACCTAATAGAGTTTCTGGTGTATAACAGGAGCTCAATAAAAGTGCCAGGTTTTCTAACATGGCCTCTCTACAACCCCACTCCTTCTTCTAGTATAAAAGATTTACAAGGAGACATTTGCACGGATATCTGTAAGCCCCCTGGTAATTAATACCATACATTTGTGAAAAGATTGGCAACAATGCAGGAATGATGATTGTGGTCTCAAGAGCAGAGCTTTAGCCAAGATTTCTCGACCATGGTACTACTGACATCTGGGACTGAATAATTCTTTGCTGGGGGGCATATCCTGTTCATTGTAGGATATTTAGAGACATCTCTGATTTCTACCCACTAGATGCCATTAGTACCGCCCATCTGCCCTCTCCGCAGGTGTGACAACCAAAATTGTCTCCAACTTTGCCAAATGTCCCTTGTAGGGCAAAACCGCCCATGATTAAAACTGCAGGCATAAGCTAATGCAAGAGCAGAGACTTTATGAGTGTCATTTATTAGCAAACTGAACTGATGGGCTTAGCCTTTGATTTCTTAACATTCAGACTATATCATATACTTGTATATGCATATGATTTAATGATTGTACAATCTTTTTGAAGTAGTATAGTTAATAAAATGAAGTGTTTTTTAAAAAATAGAAAACTGGTTCTATTGCAATTCTAAAATATTTGCTAATTCTAAGCTAATAACATACTTTGTTCTGTTATCTTTCAGTTAGCTATACTTTTATTCTAGGTAGCTATTTTACAAATACCATTGAATAGGTGATTTGATGGAAATTTACACACACATATACACATCCATATCCCCATTTGAAAAAATGTTCAAGGTGTATGATATATAGAAGTTGCATTTTAATTCACCCAGACGAGATAGTTAAAAGAACACTCCAGGGGTGGGCTCACTATAGTGTAAAAGGAAGGTACTTTGTTTTCATTATAATAATTATGCATATTTAATATCAAGTTTCCTTAAGGGGTATATAAAATATAACAATTTGAGATGGGATGGGGCAAGATAACTTACTACCAACCAAATAAAATAAAATAAAAGGATGAGTCATAATCGCATTGCCTTCTCTTAATCATACTATAGGTTACACTGCAAATATCAGTATCGCCTTTACTTTTTTATTAAAATACATAAAAAGAAATGATAGAATGGGGAAAAAAGAAAAATAGCAAGAGGAGTCTTTTCAGATTGTGAATGCTATATCCTGACAACTCAAACAATTGAGGAAAAATAGAATAGCTTTCAGGGAAATCCAATCCGGAAAGTCAGAGTATCTCACAGCAGCATATCACTCAATTGCCCTCTACATAAGGACTGGCACAGTCAATGTAATAAAATGAAACATACACTTTCCCTTCTGTAACATGCTTCAGCTGCCCTTATGCTTCAGATATGACAGTTCCCTAAGCTGCTTTTGGATATAGTTAGGACCCTATGTTAGCTGGTGGCCCCTAATGATAATTGAGCAATTATCTACTTTAACAGGCTCAAGTCCATTGAAGCAGAAAGGAATGAAGGTTTCTTCCATCTGCCTGGCTCAGAGAATTCTGTGAATCCAGAATCATTGTTAAGTTTTTTGTGAATGTCTCGTCAACAGCCTTTACTTAACATTCATCTTCGTCCATCTCTTTGCACTGTGGAACACTGTACTACAAGTACATCTTTCTTAAAACTTGCCTTTGTGTGACAAGTTTTATACCTCCTCTTTCCTCTCATTTAACCACATTTTCTCCTCTCCACCACTAGTTTCCTTTTCTTCTCCCATACAGAAATGTGACTACTCCCTAAGGGTCTATCCTTTAGCCTTTCCACTTTTTACATATCATGGTTTTATTTTTAAAGTGCATTTACCCCATGTCTTGAACTTTCTACCACTTTTACTTGGATGACTGCCAGATCTAACAACTCTCCTGATCTCCTGTCTCGTATTTCATGTTACCTACTGTTTAATTCTAACAATATGCATTTTGATAGTGAATCATGCCCAACACAGCTTCTCTTCCAAATTTAAGTTTCTCCTTTGTCTTTCCTATTTTCTTATTCCATCAAAAGATGAATATTTTAAAAACACAGCTCTAATCATATTACTTACTCTTTGCTCAGTATCTTCCCATAAGTCCTCCTATGTGTCAGGCAAAAGACAGAATGCCTTGGTATGGCATTCACAGCTATTCCAATCTGGAAGTGAGGTATAGTGGAGGGACAATATAATAAAATATAAAACTATTGATTTTAGAATCAAATAAACCTGGGTTCAAGGGCATAATCAGCCACATAACAGCAAGGTAGCATTGGACATGTCAATTAACATTCAGCAGCCAAAAAACACATGAAACAATGCTCATCATCACTAGCCATCAGAGAAATGCAAATCAAAACCACAATGAGATACCATCTCACACCAGTTAGAATGGCAATCATTAAGAAGTCAGGAAACAACAGGTGCTGGAGAGGATGTGGAGAAATAGGAACACTTTTACACTGTTGGTGGGACTGTAAACTAGTTCAACCACTGTGGAAGTCAGTGTGGCGATTCCTCAGGGATCTAGAACTGGAAATACCATTTGACCCAGCCATCCCATTACTGGGTATATACCCAAAGGACTATAAATCATGCTGCTATAAAGACACATGCACACATATGTTTATTGCGGCATTATTCACTATAGCAAAGACTTGGAACCAACCCAAATGTCCAACAATGATAGACTGGATTAGGAAAATGTGGCACATATACACCATGGAATACTATGCAGCCATAAAAAATGATGAGTTCATGTCCTTTGTAGGGACATGGGTGAAATTGGAAATCATCATTCTCAGTAAACTATCACAAGAACAAAAAACCAAACGCCGCATATTCTCACTCATAGGTGGGAATTGAACAATGAGATCACATGGACACAGGAAGGGGAATATCACACTCTGGGGACTGTTGTGGGGTGGGGAGAGGGGGGAGGGATAGCATTGGGAGATATACCTAATGCTAGATGACGAGTTAGTGGGTGCAGCGCACCAGCATGGCACATGTATACATATGTAACTAACCTGCACAATGTGCACATGTACCCTAAAACTTAAAGTATAATAATAAAAAAAAAACCATTCAGGAGCTTCAGTTTATTTATATAAAATAAGTGGTTTGGAATTAGGTGATTTCTAAAAACCCTTCCAAATTTTAAATCTGTATCACTGTGGTTCTATTTTCCAAGATTATCTTTCAAGAACCTCATAGTACATACCCTATGCTTCAACCATTCAATTCAACTATCACTATTCCTTAAATCTATGCATTCCCACCACCATAACTTTGTCATGACTTTATCATGAATCTCTTTTGCTGCTATTGAATACTTTATCCACCCTCAAGGCCGGCTAAAATCCTACCTCCTCCAATAAAAATGCTTTGGTCTCCCCAGCCAGAAGTGATCTTTGCTCTTGACAAGTACAATAGTATTTTACTTATATTTCTTTAGGTCATTTATCATATACTTCTTTATATTTTTGTTTTATTTTATTTACTAGATAATAACTGCCTGAAGGATGAAGCATCATGTCTTAAAATCATGGAATTTGGGATATAGAAGAGAACTCATGTTGTATTATTTCCCGTCTAATGTAGGAAGTTGTTCTGCAATATCACTCACAGATGGTGATCCAGATAATACTTAAATAACTTTTATGAGACAGCTTTCTGCCTTATGAGGTAGACTACCCAACGGATAAAAAATTTTGATGGCTGAAAATTTCCTCTAGCTACTAAAACAAAGTAGGGTTGGTCACGACTCCTACTTAGTCTTTTCTAGTTGGCAGCCTGTGTCGCCTAAGTTTTTTCTTGTTTTAGTTGTTGTTTCTCACATGGGGAACACTGATACTTCATCAAATGCAAAAATCACAGATCTGTGGCATAGCTCCAATGGTGCTGAAGTTCAGCTTCACCTTTTCCTTCGTATTACATATATTCATGACACCATCTTAATACCAATTTCAACTCCCTAGTTTCTTTGAATGACTTTCATCATGCATTTCTTTATGATTGTTATTTCATTTAATATAAGACTCTCCTAAGTTAACTGGGGTGGAGCAAGATGGTGGAATGGAAGACTACACCTTTCATTCCCTCCTGCTGGAATATCAAATTTTAACAACAATCTGCACACAGAAACACATCACAAGAACCAAAAATCAGGTACTAGCTTGGCCACAGTGAGATAAAACAACATGCATGCTCTTGGGGTCACCGAGTCCAGGCCTAAGCTCTTGGAAAGCATTTCTAGGCCTGTACTGGACCAGAGGGGAGCCCACTGTCCTGAAGGATGAGTCCCAGGCCTGGCAGCATTCATGAGTTGACAGAAATGCCCTTGGGCTTTAAGCAAACATCAGCAGTGGCCTGGCAGAATCCCCTGTGGATCAGTGGTGGGGGTAGCCACAGAGAGAGGCAGTTCTGTCTGTGGAAAGGGGAGGGAAGAGCAGGAAGGACTTCGTATAGTGGTTTCAGTGTCAGCTTAGCGTTAGTAGAAAATATATCAGGTAAATTGCTAAGTTTTTTTTTCTACAATTCCTGGCTTTCAGACAGTATCTCTGTATACATCCAGGGCCTGAAGGAAACTGCTACCCTGAATGGAAGGGCTTTCAACAAGGCCCAGTGCTATGCTTGCTTCTGGTCTGACCCAGCACAGTCTCCTTGGTGGTGGCCACAGGGGTGCTTGCATCACAGCACCCTCACTTTCAGGTGGCTCAGCGCATAGAGAGAGACTGTGTATGTTTGCAAGAAAGTAAGGGAAAAGAACAAGGATCTTTGCCTGGTAATCCAGAGAATTCTCCTGGATCTTATCCAAGACCACCAAGGTGGTAACTCTACTAGTATGCAAAAACCACAGCATTATAGGACTTCAGGCCCAAGTCCCTTCAAATACCTGGAAAGCCTTCCCAAAAAAGACAGGCACAAACAAGCTCAGACTGTAAAGACTACAATAAATTATAACTCTTCAATGCCCAGACACTGAGGAACACCAGCAAGCATCAATACCATCCAGGAAAACATGACCTTACCAAATGAAATAAATAAGACACCAGGGACCAATCTTGGAGAAACAGAGATCTATGACCTTTCAGACAAAGAATTTAAAACAGATGTTTTGAGGAAATGCAAAGAAACTCAACATAACAGAGATGGAATAGAGAATTCTATCCGGTCAATTTAACAAAGAAATTGAAATAATTAAAAAGAATCAAGCAGAAATTCTGGAGCTGAAAAATGCAATTGGCATGCTGAATATGCATGAGTCTCTTAATATGAGAATTGATCAAGAAGAATAAAAAATTAGTGAGCTTGAAGATAGGCTACTTAAAAATACACAGTCAGAGGAGGCAAAAGAAAAAAATAAAAAAAAAATGGAACATGCCTACACAATCTAGAAAATAGCCTCAAAGGGGTAAATCTAAGAGTTATCGACCTTAAAGCAACATAGAGAAAGAGACAGGGGTAGAAATCTATTCAAAGGCATAACAACAAAGAACTCCCCAAACCTAAAGAAAAATATCGATATCCAAGTACAAGAATGTTATAGAACACCAAGCAGATTTAATCCAAAGAAGACTACCTCAAGCCATTGAATAATCATCCTCCCAAACAACAAAGATAAAGGATCCTAAAAGCAGCAAGAGAAAAGAAAAAAAAAAATAACAAGAAATGGAGCGCCAATATGACTGACCCAGAGTTTTCAGTGGAAGCTTTACAGGCCAGGAGAGAGTGGCATGACATATTTAAAGTACTAATATGAAAAAGAAATTTTTATGCTAGAATAGTATATCTGGACAAAATACTCTTCAAACATGAAGGATAAATAAAGACCTTCCCAGCCAAACAAAAGTTGAAGGATTTCATAAACACTAGACCTGTCCTGCAAAAAATGCTAAACAAAGTTTTTCAATCAGAAAGAAAAGGATGTTAACGAGCAAGAAGAAATCATCCGAAGGTAGAAAACTGACTGGTAATAGTAAGCACACTGAAAAAAAAAACAGAATATTATAACACTCTAGCTGTGTTGTGTAAACTTTCCTTGAGTAAAAAGATTAAATGATGAACCAATCAAAAATAACAATTACAACTTTTGAAGACACAGACTGTTCAAAAAGACATAAAGAAAAACAATAAAAACTCAAAAGTCATGGGATGAAGTTAAAGTGTAGAGTTTTATTGGTTTTCTTTTTTGCTTGTTTGTTTATATGATCAGTGCTAAGTTCTTACCAGTTTACAGTGATGGGTTATAAGATATTATTTGCAAGGCTCATGGTAACCTCAAATCAAAAAACGTATAATGAATACACAAAAAATAAGAAGCAAGAAACTACATCATATCACCAGAGAAGATCACCTTCACTAAAGAAAAACAGGAAGGACAGAAACAAGGAAGGCGACAAAACAACCAGAAAAACAAATAGCAAAATGGCAAGAGTAAGTCCTTACTAATTAATAATAAAGTTGAATATGAATGGAAAGAAGACATACAAATGGCAAATAGGCATATAAAAAGGTGCCCAATATCATTGATCATCAGAGAAATGCAAATCAAAACTACAGTGAGACATCTCACCCCAATTAAAATGGCTTATATCCAAAATACAGGCAATAAAATATGCTGGTGAGAATGTGGAGAAAAAGAATCTTGTACACTGTTGGTGAACATGTAAGTTAGTACAACCACAATGGAGAACAGTTTGGAGAAGGGAAATCAGTATATTGAAGAGATATCTGCACTTCTATGTTTGTTGCAGCACTGTTTACAATGGCTGATTTTGGAAGCAACCTAAGTGTCCATCAACAGATGAATGGATAAATAAGATGTGGTACATACAAATGATGCAGTACTATTTAGCCATAAAAAATGAGATTCAGTCATTTGCAACAACATGGATAGAACTGGAGATCACGTGTTAAGTGAAAATAAGCCTGGCACAGAAAGACAAACATAACATGTTCTCATTTATTTGTAGGATCTAAAAGTCAAAACAATTGAAATCATGGGCATAGAGAGTAGAAGAATAATTACCAGAGGCTGGGAAGGGTAGTGGGGGGATTGGGAGAAAGAGGGGGTAGTTAATAAGTACAAAAAAAAAGAATGAATAAGACCTAGTATTTGATAGCACAATAGGGTGACTTTAGTCAATAATAACTTAACTGTACATTTAAAAATATCTTACACTCAAAAGATAAATGCTTAGGAGATGGATATCCTATTCTCCATGATATGTTTAGTTCACATTGCATGCCTGTATCAAAACATCTACTCCGAAACAAAACATGTACTCCACAGATATATATACCTACTATATACCAACAAAAATTTTTAAAAATTAAAAAATAAAATACGCTGTTTGGTTCAATAGCTACATCTGGAGAATTGTTAAATTCCTCAAGTTAATTTGTAATTGATAATGAAAAAATAAAGACTATTAAATGTCATAATTAATATATTTGATCTGTATAAAAATATTTTATTTTAATTATTTTCAAAGATTCTTGGTAATTAACAAATTGATGAAAATATAAGTTAAGTTACCTTTGTATGGTTAAAAGGAAGCAATATAGTTCAAGAGAAGATAAAGCCTACATTAGGCACATTAGGCAAACATCATATACTAATTGTATTAATGCAAGAAAGGATGTTATTATTAAGTCACCTAATAAAAGAACTAAGTCAGTTTGCTTATATGTATTTCGGTAGGAGGGTTAAACAACATGACTCAGTTTTTGCCTACGACTTAAAACTTTTGGTTAACAACATACAAACCTGTATAGTATATTTTTCTTTCCTATTATGTTGACATATTTTTTTAACTTTACACATGGAAAAATTTGAATAACACCTAGAGTTGAATAAGAAAAGCATGGTTTCACACTTGCAGTGCAGTCTCACTGGATGTGCTCTTGCTTATTTTCATTTATTTTAGTGTATGTGAAGTAACTTGTACAATTAGAATAAAGCAATGAGATCTCTACCTGCCAGGAGGTAGAAGTCAGACAGAGTCTCTCTCTGTCACCCAGGCTGGAGTGCAGTAGGGCAATCACGGCTTATTGCAGGCCAGGCTTGACCTCCCCAGGCTCAGGTGATCCTCCCACCTCAGCCACCCCAGTAGCTGTAGTGTGTTGCATCCTTTCTTGCAACACACTACAGGTGTGTGCCACCACACTCAGCTAATTTTTGTATTTTTTTGTAGAGACAGGGTTTCACCATGCTTCCCAGGCTGGTCTTCAACTGCTGGACTCAAGCAATCTGCTCACCTTGGCCTCCCAAGGTGCAGGGATTACAAGCATGAACCACCAGGCCCAGCTGAAGGGTACTTTTTATTGTATTACAGAAGCAAACTAATGTCAGCAAAGGCTCCCTTTCAAAGTCTAGAACATAACAAATTTCCTTCCAGATGCCTGGAGTGATGGTAGATGGGGGTAAGGGTGGCAAGGCCAGAGGCTCTGGGTACTGAGAATAAGAAGAAAATCACTAGTGTAACACCAGCATGCTATTTATCAGATTATAGGAAAATAAGAAGCAAAAAACTAACAGTGTGCAAGATTTTCTACCCTACAAATAAGAAAGATGACTAGTCCAAGCATCTCAAGAGAAAAGTGTTTGACGGCAAAGCAAGATGAAGCTGTGATGAAGGGTTTCAAGCATCTATTGGTGCGGAAAGAAGGAATGACAGTGAAAGGAAAGATGTGTTTTTCCTTTGATGCCAGGATTGACATAGCTTCAGATATTCTGTTTTTACAAGGGATAGTGAGGAAACGTTAGAAGTGACTGGGTCCTTTTTCCCAGAGCTTGCATTATGCAATAAGGACAGTAAGTTCATGTTATAGTCAATATGCTGAGGTTTCTGTGTATCCAAAACTAAAAGTGAAAAGAAAATTGATGGCATTCACTGAATAAAAGGCTACCTTTCATATAGGAAAGGATATCGCTGATCTATATGTATTAAGGTTTGAATTTGACAAGCGATTTTCCAAATTTTTTAAAGTAGAAGGAACAGATTATCTCTGATCTAGCCACATTTTATCACCAGTAATCTTTCAACCACTAACGTGCATCGGCAAACAAATGGATAGAATCAGAAAGAGAGTCTATATCATTTGAACAGAGTAAGTTAACTGATTTCTGCTGAGATAGAATCCCTAAATTTGAAGTTTCCAGGTTTGGTTTCTAGAATAATGGTTTCCAAATGGCAATCCATGGATCATAGTTCTGACTAAGGTCCCTACTTTTTACTGTTCTGTGGTAAAATCACAAAAAGTGCAATTTTATATGGTCAGTTTATTCACTGCCTCTATTTCAGAAGATTGTTCTTAATCTTTTCTACTTTTTTGAAGTTAACATACCCTTTCTTATATGAAATGATGATAATAATATATGACAATATGTGTTACATACAGTATATGTTCTTGGTAAAATGAAAAGCTGGCAATCTTAGTCTTCAAATTTGGGGGAGGGGTATTCTATTTTACCTCCAAAGTTTTAAACCCAATAGATGTTCCAATTTTGTGATGTATCAATTTCTAAGCAATGTAGAATCAATTGTGTATTTTTTCTAATACCTTTGAATAACTCTGCCTATCATTCTCTCCAGTCGATAAGTCCCAGAATAGCATATCATATAATTGACTGTCATACATTTTCATACAGGCAGGTATTTGTTATTTATCAATGAATCAAATACTTTTCATATGCTAATGGAATGTATATAAGATATCAATAGACTATGAAACTTTCATTTTTGCTGGTATGACCATCCAAGTACTATGACAATCTTTTTTTCTTTTTTTTTTTTGAGACAGAGTCTCATTCTGTTGCCCAGGCTGGAGTGCAGTAGCGCAATCTCAGCTCACTGCAACCTCTGCCTCCCAGGTTCAAGCAATTCTCCTGCCTCAGCCTCCCAAGTAGCTGGAATTACAGGCCTGCACCACCATGCCCAGCTAATTTTTGTATTTTTAGTAGAGATGGGGTTTCACCATGTTGGCCAGGCTAGTCTTGAACTCCTGACTTGAGGTGATCCACCCAACTCAGCCTCCCAAAGTGCTGAGATTACAAGCGTGAGCCACCGCACCCAGCCGACAATCTTTTAAAAAGGAAAACCAGAAAACAATATCATGACTGAGAACCAACAGTAACAGACAACAAACTATTAACCCATCAAGACATCGGGAATTGGAACTATAAGACACATGATAGTGGTTAATGTTTAAAAAAAATAAAGGTGATACTTAAAAATATTAAAAGTGGCAAGTGAACACAATGTCAGAATATGGCAATTTAATAATTTAAAAAATCTCATTTGTGGGCAACATCATTAAATAAAATTAACAACATAGAAAACTGGAAGACATCTTAAGAAATTGGTATGCCACATGACATGGAGAAACAGAGAGATGAAAAATAGTAAAAGGGATTTAAAAGATGTGAAATATGGAGTGAAAAGTTTTACCACCCATATAATTGGAGTTCCAAAAAGAGAGGAGGGAGACAAAGAGGAAAGTATAATGTTTGAAGATTTAACTGCTGAGAATATTATAGAATTTAAAACAATAATGTGATAGATTGTTGAACTGGTAGTTCAACATGCACAACAAATCTCAAAGAGTTTACATAAAAAGGAATCCATCCTTGTATACATCATAGCAAAAGTAAAGAATACCACAAAGACAAAAATCTTAGATGCAGCCAGAAAAGACAAGACAAATCACATATTAAAATGTATAAGTACACTGATGGCTGACTTTCCAAAAGCAACATTGTAACCCAGAATACAGTGAACGTGTATTTTCTCTGTGCTGAGGGAAAAAAAAGAGACATCAACCTAGAAATCTATTCCCAGGAGAAATATATTTTAAGAAGGGATGTAGGCCCAGTGTGGTGGCTCATGCTTCCTAGCACTTTGGGAAGCCAAGGTGGGAGGATCCCTTGAGCCCAGGAGTCCAATACCAGCCTGGGCAACATAGTGAAACTTCATCTCTACAACAAAAAATGAACAAAATTAGCCAGGTGTGGTGCCTCAGGCCTGTAGTTTCAGCTACTCAGGAGGCTGAGGTGGGAGGATCGCTTGACCCTAGGAGGTTGAGACTGCAGTGAGCCATGATTTTGCCAGTACACTCCAGCCTGGTTGACAGAGTGAGACCTTGTTCCTGACTGCAAAAAAAGAAAAGGATAGAATAAAGAGAATTTAAGGCTACCCAAAACTTACTGAGATTTATACCAACAGACCACCACTAAAAAAATGCCACAGGAAATATTTCAAGCAGGAGGAAAATTATCCCAGATAGGAGGCTCAAGATAAATGAATGAAAGAATAGTCAAGAAAGTGGTAAATATGGACTCTGTAAAAATAATATTTCATGAAGTTATTACATAGAATTAAAATACACTACTGTCAGTAATGTGCTCTAATATTCTCATATTAATTAGAGAAATTTAAAGAGATTCATTAATTTAAGCACTGATAAATTAAGTAAGCACATTAAAGATCCTGTGGTTATAATTTAAGAAATAGGTGCAGAGTATATAAATTCTAAAATAATAGAGGAAAAATAAGTGGGAAAAAAACCAAATGAAGTCAAAGAAGAAGATAAAAATAAAATAAATATATAAAAGATAGTACAAATAGAAGGCATAAAATAAGATGATGGAGATGAGCTTAAATATAGCAATACTTAACTGTAAATGAACTAAATGGTCCTATTAAAAGATAAAGATCATCATACATTTTTTTCCATCTAGCCATACTTTGTTCATATGAGATACAACTAAAACAAAGGGAAAAAAGACTGTAAATAAAAGTATAAGAAAAAATTATAAAAAATACTATTTCAAATAAAACTAGTTTAGCTATACTGATACCAAATACATTGAACTTTATGGTAAAGTGATAAAAGGGACAACTACATAATGATGAAAGGTAAATTTACCAAGAACATAAAACAATTCTAAATATGTATGTACCAATAATAGCCAAAAATTATGTAAAGCAACCAATTATGGATATAAAACAGAAATTTTAAAATCCACAATTGTAATTGGAGCTTTTTAGCTGATGTCTTTCCCATTATTTAGTAAATTGAAAAGCCAAATAATTCTGCAAGAGTATAAAATATTTCAGCAATGTAACTAGCAAATCTCATCTAGTGGATAAGTATAAATACTACAGAGTACCAATTATTTCAAACACTCATAGAAAAGTGTTTACATTCTGAGTAAAATTTGAAGTCTCAATAAACATAATATCCATTGCCATCATACAGAGCAAATATCCTAATTAATAATATAGTTAAATTATGATAATATCATAAGCAAAGGAGAAATAAGGTCCTTTTCAGAAAAGCAAATGCAGAGGGAATTTGTTACCACCTGACCTGCCTCACAAGACCTCCTGAAGGAAGCACTAAATATGGATAGGAAAGACCATTATTGGCCACTACAAAACACACTTAAGTACACAAACCAGTGATACTATAAAGCAACCACAACAGTAAGTCTGCATAGTAATCAGCTAACATCATGATGACAAGACCAAATCCACACATTTCAATACTAACCTTAAATATAAACAGGCTAAATGCCCCAACTAAAAGGCAGAGAGTGGCAAGCTAGATAAAGAAGCAAGACCCAATGGCATGCTGTCTTTAAGAGACCTATCTCACATGCAATGACACCCACTGGCTCAAAATAAAGGGATGGAGGAAAATCTACCAAGCAAATGAAAAACATAAAAAAGTAGGGGTTGCAATCCTAATTTCAGAAAAAAAGAAACAGACTTTAAACCAACGAAGGTCAGAAAAAGAGAAAGACGGGCATTATATGATGGTAAAGGGTTCAATTGAGCAAGAAGACCCAACTATCCTAAACATATAAGCACCCAACACAGGGGCACCTAGATATATAAAGCAAGTTCTTAGAGACCTTCATAAACACTTAAACTCCCACACAGTAATAGTGGGAGACTTCAACACCCCACTGACAGTATTAGACAGATCACTGAGGTAAAAAATTAACAAACATACTCATGACCTAAACTCAGCACTGGACCAAATGGACCTGACAGACATCTACAGAACTGTCTACCCCAAAACAACAGAATATACATTCTTCTCATTGCCACATGGCACATACTCTAAAATTGATCACATAATCAGACATAAAACACTCCTCAGAAATGCAAAAGAAGTGAAATCATAACAACCACATTCTCGGACCACAGCACAATTAAAATAGAATTTAAGACTAAGAAAATATCTCAAACCATACACTTAAATGGAAAGTGAAGAATCTTCTGAATGATTTGTGGGTAAATAATGAAATTAAGGCAGAAATCAAGAAGTTCTTTGAAACTAATGACAAAAAAGATACAACATACAAGAATCTCTGGGACACAGCTAAGGCTGTGTTAAGAAGGCAATTTATAGCAGTAAATGTTCACATCAAAAAGAAAGATCTCAATTTAACAACCTAACATCAAAACTAAAAGAACTAGAGAACCAAGAGCATACCAACGCCAAAGACAGGAAATAACCAAAATTAAAGCTGAACTAAAGGAGATTGAGATACAAATAACTATTACAAAGACCAACGAATCCAGGAGTTGGTTTTTTGAAAAAAAATTAATAAATTAGACCACCAGCTAGATAAATCAAGAAGAAAAGAGAGAATATTCAAATAAACACAATCAGAAACAACAAGGAGGATATTACCACTGACCCCACAGAAACGCAAACAATCATCATAGAATATTAAAAACACCTCTGTTCACATAATTAGAAAATCTAGAATAAATGGATAAATTCCTGAAAACATACACCCTCCCAAGACTGAACCAGGAAGAAATTTAATCCCTGAATTGTCCAATAATGAGTTCTGAAATTGAGGCAGTAATAAATAGTCTACCAATCAAAAAAGCCCAGGATTAGAAGAATTCATAGCTGAATTCTACCAGAGGTACAAAGAAGAGCTGGTACCATTCCTACTGAAACTATTCCAAAAAAATTGAAAAGAAGGGACCCCTCCCTAACTCATTCTGTGAGGCCAGCATCATCCTAATAACAAACCTGGCAGAGATACAACAACAACAACAAAGAGAACTTCAGGCCAATACCATAGATGAACATTAATGCAAAAATACTTAACAAAATACTGGCAAACTGAATCCAGAACCACATCAAAAAGGTCACTCACCATTATCTAGTAGGCTTCAACCCCAGGATGCAAGCCTGGTTCAACATATACAAATCAATAAATGTGATTCATCCCATAAACAGAACTAAATACAAGAACCATATGATCATATCAATAGATGAAAAAAAGGCATTCGATAAAATGTAACATCCCTTCATGTTAAAAGCTCTCAATAAACTATGTATTTAAGGAACATACTCAAAGTAATCATAGCCATACATGAGGAGAACACATGGACACATGGTGGGGAACAACACGTACTGGGGCCTGTCGGAGGGCTGGGTGTGGGAGGAGGGAGAGAATGAAGAAGAATAGTTAGTGGTTGCTGGGCTTAGTGCTTGGGTGATGGGGATGATCTGTGCAGCAAGCCACCATGGCACACATTTGCCTATGTAAAAACCTGCACATCCTGAACATGTACCCCTGAACTTAAAATGAAAGTTGGAAATAAAAATTCAACTACTCAAATGCTACCACACTGTGCGGAAGCCCTAGTGGTGCTGAGAAAGAGGGGTAGAGAGAGAGAGAGAGAGAGTCAGGCAGGCTTAGCCAGCCCCCAGCTGCTCCAGTCTCCATCCATTTGAGTTGTCAGAGCTGATGCCTGAGACGTCGTGAAGCAGAGACATGCAATCCCCGCTATGTCTAGTGTGAAGTACTGACCCACAGGATGGTGAGACATAATAAATTATTATATTTAAACCCAAAGTTTTGGAATAGTCTGCTATGCAGCAATAGATAACTGTAACAGAGTAAAGTGAAGGCAGTAGTTAGAAAGAAATATATTCCTTTCATTACTGATTATATAGTCTTGTACTGCATAACAACATTTCAGTCAACAAAAGACTGCATATATGATGGTGGTCCCATAAGACTATAATAGAGCTGAAAAATTTCTATCACCTAGTGATGTCATAACATTGTAGCACAACACATTACTCATATGTTTGTGATGAAGTTGCTTTGGACAAACCTACTGTGCTCCCAGATAAATAAAAGTATATGCACAGCACGTAATACTTCATAATGATAATAAGCAATTATTTTACTGATTTATGTATTTATTTATTCTATATTTTTATTGTTATTTTACAGTGTACTCATTTTTAAAAAAGTTAACCATAAACAGCCTCAGGCAGGTCCTTCAGGAGTCATTCCGGAGAAGGCATTGTTATCATAGGAGATGACAGCTCCCTGCATGTTACTGCTCCTGAAGACCTTCTAGTGGGACAAGATGTGGAGGCAGAAGACAGTGATATTAATGATCTGACCCTGGGTAGGCCTAGACTAATGTAAATGTTTGTCTTAGTTTTTAGCAAAATGGTTGCAAAAGTTAAAAAAATTAAAAATAGAAAAACGTTTATAGAATAAGGGTATAAAGAAAGAAAACACTTTTGTACAGAGTTGTGTGTGTTTGTGTGATTACAAAAAAGTCAGTTAAAAATTTTTAAAGCTTATAAAATAAAAAATTCTAATTTTTAAATGAATGTGGCAAGCAGTACAAGATCAAACCCCAATTTAGAAGGCAAAACAAAATTTCTGGGGGCAGTTTGCAATCATATATTGATGTGGTGTAGTGATATCCTTTCTCTTTCATAAGAAGCAGCGTTCATCAAAAACATACCTGGATAACAGCCAAATCCCAGTGCTTATCAACCTAAGAAAAACAATAGAATCTTGGCACAAAACTGGAAACCCACTGAATTTGTTTTTTCGGTGTAGTTAAAAAGGCCATATGTTGTTATTCCATTAATATGAAAATACTAAGCAGCAGACAGTACAACCACAAGTGCATTGAACTTTATTGACTAGAGTCTTATAAATTAGAGTCAGTTGTCCTGAATATGAAAGCAACACCTGCATAGGCTACAAAAACACAGGAGTTCTGAATCAGGAAAAGAAACTTACTGGAATTCAGAAATAAATTTATAATCAATAGTACATTTTCTGGAATATATGTGGAATCAAATTTCTATGTAGATAAAAAATGTTTCTGAAGTCTGTCTTCTCCTTAATATATATATAAGATACTAGGAACCAAATGGGAGTTTTTGTTTTTTTTTTTTTAAGACAGAGTTTCACTCTCGTTGCCCAGGCTGTAGTGCAGTGGCGCGATCTCTGCTCACTTCAACCTCTGCCTCCCGGGTTCAAGCGATTCTTCTGCCTCAGCCTCCTGAGTAGCTAGGATTATAGGCGCCCGCCACCATGACTGGCTAATTCGTGTATTTTTAGCAGAGACACCATGTTGGTCGGGCTAGTCTTGAACTCCTGACCTCAGGTGATCCACCCGCCTCAGTCCCCCAAAGTGCCGGGATTACAGGCGTGAGCCACCGTGCCTGGCCCCAAATGGGAGATTTTTAAAGGACTACACATGTACGAAAGTGTTAGATATTTGCATACATATACCAATCAAATTCAGTATCAATCTTGAAATGTTTCAGTTTTTCTAATAAAAAAATGTGTTATTTGGAGTTAAAAGTTATGGATTTTTGTAATCCCATCTACTCCTGAGGCTGGGGCAGGAGAATCGCTTGAACTCAGGAGGCGGAGGTTGCAGTAAGCTGAGATTGCGCCATTGCACTCCAGCCTGGGCGATAGTGCAAGACTCCGTATCAGAAAAAAAAAAAAACAAAAAACAAAAAACAAACAAAAAAAAAAACACTATGGATTTTGCTATCATTCTTAGTATTTCTACAGATTATTTTTCAATGTTTTGATATATAGCTATCTCAAACTTATTGGTATACCTCATCTGTGGTATATATGTTTTATACAAATAGTAACAACTCTAAAAAGTAATCAAAGGACACCTAGAAATTACTTTGCTTTTCAGAAATGATTGCTCTAGACTTTTACTGGGTTTAAGGAAACAAAACTCATGTTTGATAAGTAAAGATTTATGAAAATTAATACCAATTCTCAATTATTTGGGGTCATTAAAGTACTTTAAAAAACTACTACTGACATAGTGAACTGAAAGAAAAATTGTATGGGTAATATTTTAAGCAACATTAATACAAATTTCGTCTACCATACTTATTCAAATACTTCATGCTCTTACCCCAAATATTTTAAGGATGAGATCACACAAATATGCTGTTTTAACAGGGTGTATATCGGCAATCAGGGCAGCTTATAGCATAAGTTCCAATGCCAGATTTTATGACTATCAGAATCAGCAGTCCTCTGAAGAATCAAAAATTTAAAGAATTCTCTAAATGTTACCCATTCACTGGTTCTTTTCAGGGAACACTAAAAGTGCATGCATACACACACACACACACACAAACACACACACACAAATCCATTTTTCCACATCTGAAACCCCCTTGAAAAACACTAGAGAAATGTAGGAGAAAAAAATTCCATGAATTATAAGTTGTTTTTTTTTTTAAGCCAGCAGAAGGGGGATAATGCCCCGGTAACTGTGGTAAATAAATTTTGTATGGAAACTGGGAGAGGCAGACCGGGGAATTCAAGCAGTGCCTCCCTCCAAAAAGCAGAGAGAAACATCAAATAAGGTTTACCTACTCGTTTTTCAGGGACTTAGGAACTACAGAATTTATGTAACTGAAAAAAAGATGCTACTTGTTAGCAAAACTGTCTTCAATATTGGTTTTACCAATGGCAAAAACCGTGATTATTTTTGCACCAACCAAATACTATGCGGGAAACATAAAATCCTGAGTATATATGAGAGAAAGGAAAATATTTAAGTAAGAATGGTAATTTCTAGATTTGGCTAGGTATGATATAATGAATGCATGGAATGAAGTTGCTAACAACAAATTTGCCCCTATGAAACTTTTTTTTTTAACCTTATGCGGCCTTTTAGCCAAATCGAATTTATCTTATTTTATTTTTGTTTATACTACTTCATGGAACAAAATAAATAAATGTCTTATTAAATGAGGGTTTCATTTTTTTACATTGTCTCTTTGCATAGCCTTTTGCAAATGCTTGATTTTTTCGAGAGAACACATGAGTAGAATGTAAATTCCATGGTAACCAATTTCAAGTACTGTTTCAATTACTGTTATGGTTCAGCACCAAGCAATGGACTGCATGATCAAGTAGTTGCTCACATTTACTTTTTGAGAAATAACTGGACCATAAAGATATCTTGTGGTTCCTTAAGTCATATTAACATTGCTTTACAGATGACCAGTTCAGTCATCAATAAATGCAAAAAGTCAATAAATCTATCAAAATATATCAAAATCCTCAATATATTCAGGGGATAATATGATATTCCACATGGAAGATCCAAAATTAGAATAGCCATTTATTTTTTCTCACAGGAATATATATCCTTTCTGGAAAAAAATTTAAATTTTCTCAGAAAAATACCTCATTTTATATAAAAATTTTAGTGATTGATAGACATCTAGCTCTTGGCACACAAAAATAGTTTACTGAATTATCTGGGCAGTATATTATGACCCAGAGAGGTTATCCCAAAAGAATATCTAGAATCCAGAGTCAGAGACACCACTGGCAATATCAGCTGTCTTTTTCCAATTATCTGTTCATATTTGAGAATATAAATTGTACAAATTCCAATTTGTTTTTCACCCAATTTTGTTATAAATAAAAGTCAGTATAGCATATTATTTATAGCCAGAGTGAAATAAAATGTATTTTAATTTCATAAAGTTTACTATAAGCCTAATTTGTAATTTGTTTTGCTTATACGTTGTCGTTTTTTTTCCTTCTCAATCCTCCCCCCATCCCCACTCCCTGGTCACCACCATTCTATTCTTCGATTCTATGAGTTCAATGTTTTTCTTTAAAAAAATTTCATATAAAAATAAGATTATGTATTTGTCTTTCTGTATCTGGGTTATTTCACTTAAAATGATGTCTTCCAGTTTCATCCATATTGTCACAAGTGAAATGATTTCCTTCCTTTGTAGAGCTGAAGAATATTCCATTGTGTGTGTGTGTGTGTGTGTGTATGTGTGTGTGTGTGGAATATATATACATACACACTACATTTTCATTATTCACTCATTAATTGATGAACACAGGCTGATTCAATGTCTGGCTACTGTGAATAATGCAGCAATAAACATAGTAGTGAAGATATCGCTTTGACAGACTCATTTTCTTTCTTTTGAATACACATTTAGTAGTTGGATTGCTGGATCATGTGGTAATTTTATTTTTAGTTTTTGAAGAACTTTTAATTTTTTTCCAACTTTTATTTAGGTTCAGGGATACGTGTGCAGGATGCGCAGGTTTGTTGCATGGGTAAATGTGTGCCAAGGTGGTTTGCTGCACAGATCATCCCCATCGCCCAAGTATTAAGCCCAGCATCCATTAACTGTTCTTCCTGATGCTATCGTTCCTCCCACTCCACACCCTCCAAGAGGCTCCAGTGTGTATTGTTTTTCCCTCATGTGTCCATGTGTTCTCATTATTCAGCTCCCACCTATAAGTGAGAACACACAGTGATTGGTTTTCTGTTCCTGCGTTAGTTTGTTAAGAATAATGACCTCCAGCTCCATCTATGTCCCTATAAAGGACATAATCTTGTTCTTTTTTATGGCTGCATAGTACTACTTGGTATATATATACCACATTTTACTTATCCATTCTATCATTGATGGGCATTTACGTTGATTCCATCTTTTTTCTACTGTAAATAATGCTGCAATGAACATACACGTGCATGTATCTTTATAATAGAACAATTTATATTCCTTAGGCCATACATCCACTAAAGGGACTGCTGATTTGAATGTGATTAATGCCTCTAGGTCTTTGAGGAATTGTCACACTGTCTTCCACCATGGTTGAAGCAATTTACACTCCCACCAACAGTGTGAAAGTGTTCCTTTGTCTCCACAACCTCAACAGCATCTATTGTTTTTTGAATTTTTAATAATAGACATTCTGACAGGTGTGAGATGGTATCTCATTTTTGAATCTCTCTAATAATCAGTGATATTGAGCTTTTTTTATGTTTGTTGGCCACATGTATGTCTTCTTTTGAGAAGTGTCTGTTCATGTCTTTTGCCCACTTTTTAATGGGGTTGGTGTTTTTTCTTCTAAATTTGTTTTATTTCCTTATAGACACTGGATATTAGACCTTTGTCAGGTTCATACGTTTCAAAAATTTTCTCCCATTCTGTAGGTTGTCTGTTTACTCTGATGACAGTTTCTTTTGCGGTGCAGAAGCTCTTTAGTTTCATTAGATCCCATTAGATCCCATTTGTCAATTTTTGCTTCGGTTGCAATTGCTTTTGGCATCTTCATCATGAAATCTTTGCCAATACCTATTTCCTGAATGGTATTGCCTAGGTTTTCTTTCAGGTTTTTTATAGTTTTGGGTTTTACATTTAAGTCTTTAATCCATTTTGAGTTGATTTTTGTATATGGTGTAAGGAAGTGGTCCAATTTCAGTTTTCTGCATATGGCTGGTCAATTATCCCAGCACCATTTATTAAACAGGGAATCCTTTACCCAATGCTTGCTTTTTGTCAGGTTTCTTGAAGATTAGGTGCTTGTATATGTGCAGTCTTATTTCCCTTGATCTATCTGTCTATTCTTACATCAGTACCATGTTGTACTGGTTACTGTAGCCCTGGAGTATAATTTGAAGTCTGGTAGCGTGATGCCTCCAGCTTTGTTTTTTGTTTGTTTGTTTAAAATTGCCTTGGATATTTGGGCTCATTTTGGGTTCCATATAAATTTTAAGGTAGTTTTCTCTAATTCTGTGAAGAATGTCAATGGTAGTTTAATGGAAATAGTACTGAATCTACAAATTACTTCAGGCGATATGACCATTTTCACGATATTGATCTTCCTATACATGAGCATGGAGTGTTTTTCCATTTGTGTCCTGTCTTATTTCCTTGAACAGTGGCTTGTAGTTCTTCTTGAAGAGGTCCTTCACTTCCCTTGTTAGCTGTATTCCTACGTTATTTTATTCTTTTTGTGGCAATTGTGAATGGGAGTCCATTTGTGATTTGGTTCTCAGCTTGCCTGTTGTTAACGTAAAGAAATGCTAGCGATTTTTGCACCTTAACTTGTATCCTGGGACTTTGCTGAAGTCGTTTGTCAGCTTTAAAAGCTTTTGGGCTGAGACGATGGGGTTTTCTAGATATAGGATCATGCCATCTGCAAACAAAGATAGTTTTCCTCCCTTCCTGTTTGAATGCCCTATATTTATTTCTCTTGCCTGATTTTCCTGTGCTCAAATTCCAATACTATGTTGAATAGGAGTGGTAAGAGAGGGCATCCTTGTCGTGTGCCAGTTTTCAAGGGGAATGCTTTCAGCTTTTGCCTATTCCGTATGATATTGGTTGTGGGTTTGTCATATATGCCTTTTATTATTTGGAGGTATGTTCCTTCAGCACCTAGCATATTGAGAGTTTTTATCATGAAGGGATGTTACATTTTATCAAATGCCTTTTCTGCATCTATTGAGATAATCATGTGGTTTTTGTCTTTAGTTCTGTTTATGTGATGAATCACATTTATTGATTTATGTATGTTGAACCAGCCTTGCATCCTGGTGTTTAAGCCTACTTGACCATAATGGGAAAACGTTTCAGTGTGCTGCTGGATTCAGTTTGCCAGCTCTTCGTTGTACATCTGGTAGAATTCAGCTGTGAATCCATCTGATCCTGGGCTTCTTTTGGTTGGTAGGCTATTTATTACTGCTTCAATTTCAGAACTTGTTATTGGTCTATTCAGGGATTCAATTTCTTCCTAGTTCAGTCTGGGGAGGGTGTATGTGTCCAGGAATTTATCTATTGCTTCTAGATTTTCTATTTTATGTGCACAGACATGTTTGTATTATTCTCTGATGGTTGTTTGTATTTCTGTGGTGTCAATAGTGATATCCTCCTTGTCATTTCGAATTGTGTTTATCTGAATCTTCTCTGTTTTATTATTAGTCTAGCTATGTTTTGCTTATACTTTCTAAAAGCTATAATATGCCAAAATAACCATAATGCATGATTGGTATACATAAAATATTTATTTGTTCTTTAAATCACTTTTTTTCACTCAAAGTATCTTCTTTACTTTCTAGTTTCTTGTTCCAAGTTCTTAGCGGGTAATGACTGACTGAAATCTTCCCAAAGCAGAGATGACTGTTGCCAGAGCCCTACATAAGCTTACTAATGCTCAGTCACTCAGAACTACTCCATCTGGGTTTCCGTCCATCCAAAGAACCAGCTGTTCTAAACAAATGCCTTACTCATCTTGCCTGTGGTATCACAATATGAAATATGCTACTTCCATAATTACCATTCCCAACTTCTGAATAGAGGCAGCAACCAACCAATAATTTGTTGGGTACACAGGCTGTGGTTAAGTGTTTGGTCACATAATTGGGTATAGGGATTACTTTATTACTGCTGACTAGAAGCAGCTGTGCTCGAAAACCCAATGTGGACATTGCATTACCTTACACATGGAACATGAATCTATGAAACTGCTTTTAAGTATCAAGAGCTGACATGTGGAAAATGTTGAGTATTCAAGGAAGTCAATTATTAGAAGAAAATATTCAGATTAAGAAGGATGACTTATATCAGAAAGGTATAGTTTGCAATTGCTCTTTATTAGCAATAACCTGGGGGTACAGCTTGCTAGGAGAAGTGGGACATTTTTTAAGCTGTCCCAATAGAATTTCTGTACATTCTTCTCTGGCCCCAAGACTCATACTTACAACAATAGTAGCACTAGTAAAAAAAGGAAATGCAAGACAGAAGAAATACAGGCAGCCAGATCTATCTTTTCTAAGCCTCAGGCATGAATAAATGAGAACAACTATGCAAACTGTCCTTCATATCAACCATATACACTCTGTACTAGAATCTGAGAGAAGAAACTCTGCTGTCTTTCTAATACCTAGATCGATATCTGGTATGTAATAGATGCTAAAGACATATTTGCTTAACAAACAAATGTGGAACAACATTTTTTTGTAATTCTTTAAAAAAAAAAAAAAATCCGGGGTACATGTGCCGGATGTGCAGGTTTGTTACATGGGTAAACGTGTGCCATGGTTGTTTGCTGCACCTATCAACCCATTACGTAGGTATTAAGCCCAGCATGCATTAGCTCTTTTCCCTAGTGCTCTCCCCATCCACCTTCCCCCTGCAGGCCCAAGTGTTGTTCCCCTCCCTGTTTCCATGTGTTCTCAATGTTCAGCTCTCCCTTATAAGTGAGGACATGCAGTGTTTGATTTTCTGTTCCTGCGTTAGTTTGCTGAGAATAATGGCTTTCAGCTTCATCCATGTCCCTGCAAATTACATGACCTCATTCCTTTTTATGGCCGCACAGTATTCCACAGTGTATATATAACACATTTTCTTTTTCCAGTCTATCATTGATGGGCATTTGGGTTGATTCCATGTCTTTGCTATCGTGAATAGTGCTGCAATGAACATACACGTGTATGTATCTTTATAACAGAATGATTTGTATTCCTTTGGGTATATACTCAGTAATGGGGTTGCTGGGTCAAATGGCATTTCCGGCTCTTTATCACTGGGGAATTGCCACACTGTCTTCCACAATGGTTGAACTAATTTACATTCCCACCAACAGTGTAAAAGCATTCCTATTACTCCACATCCTCACCAGCACTTTGTTGTTTCTTGACTTTATAATGATTGCCGTTCTGACTGGTGTGAGAAGGTATCTCATTGTGGTTTTGATTTCCATTTCTCTAATGATCAGTGGTGTTGAGCTGTTTTTCATGTTTGTGGGCAGCACGTATGTCTTCTTTTGAGAAGTGTTCATGTCTTTTGCCCACTTTTTAATGGGGTTGTCTGGATATTTTTCTTGTAAATTTCCTTAAGTTTCTTGTAGATTCTGGATATTAGCCCTTTGTCAGGTGGATAGATTGCAAAAATTTTCTTCCATTCTGTAGGTTTTGTGTTCACTTTGATGATAGTTTCATTTGCTGGGCAGAATCTCTTTAGTTTAATTAGATCCCATTTGTCAATTTTTGCTTTTGTTGAGATTGCTTTTGGCAATTTCATCATGAAGTCTTTGTCCATGATTGTGTCCTCAATGGTATTGCCTAGATTTTCTTCTAGGGTTTTTATAGTTTTGGGTTTTACATTTAAGTCTTTAATCTATTTTGAGTTAATTTTTGTATAAGGTGTAAGGAAGAGATGCAGTTTCAATTTTCTGCATATGGCTAGCCAGTTCTCCCAGCACCATTCATTAAACAGGGAATTCTTTCTCCATTGCTTGTTTTTGTGGGATTTGTTGAAGATCAGATGGCTGTAGATGTGTGGTTTTATTACTGAGTACTCTATTCTGTTCCACTGGCCTGTTTTTGTACCAGTACCATGCTGTTTGGTTACTGTGGCCTTGTAGTATAGTTTGAAGTCAGGTAGTGTGATGTCTCCAGCTTCGTTCTTTTGCTTAGGATTGTCTTGGCTATGCAAGGTCTTTTTTTGGTTCCATATGAATTTTAAAATAGTTTTTTCTAATGTTTTCTAATGTGGAACAACATTTGTTGTTAAGCTTAAATCACAGTCATCCTTTAGTGTTGGATGTCTACCACATTATCTAATACAATATTAAAACCTAATGATAACTTATATTTATTGAAATTTAAAATGCACATACACTTTCAACCAGCAATTCCATCTCTAGGAATTTATTCAGAAATATGCTTGCACATACACACAAAGTAAACATGCAAGAATATCTCTTATAAAAATTTGTTTATAGTATAGACAAACTGGAAACAACCCAAATGTCCTTAATTTGGTGATGGACTGCATAAATTATGATACATCCATATAATAAAATAACATACAGCTATTAATAATAGAAAGCTGTATTTACATGTAAATGGAAGGATATTTAAGATACATTTTTAATTTAAAAAGGAAGATGTAAAACAAGGTGTAGAGTATGCTTCCATTATGGTTAGAATAAATGAAGATACACACAGATATCATTGTATATGCATAGAATATTTCTGGAAGAATACCTAAAAAATTGCTAATATAAATTATACCTGAGAAACAGGACAGAAAGCATGAGAATTAGGGTTGGGATGCTCATTTTTCACTGTAACTTTTAGACTATTAGAGTACTTGCCATGTGCATTAATTATCCCAAAGAAAAGTAAAATTAGAAACAAAAGAACATAATGTAATTTTCACTACATAAAAATGTACAGTAGAAGAAATGCCCACTTTTTGATGGGATTGTTTATGTTTTTCTTGTTGACTCATCTGAGTTCCTTGTAGACTCTGGATATTAGTCCTTTATCGGATGAATAGTTTGCAAAGATTTTCCCCCATTCTGTGGGTTGTCCGTTTATTCTGCTGATTACTTCTTTTGCTGTGCAGAAGTTTTTTTAGTATAATTAAGTTCCATCTATTTATCTTTGTGTTACATTTGCTTTTAGGTTCTTGATCACGAAGCCTTTGCCTAAGCCAATGTCTAGAAGGGTTTTCCTGATGTTATCTTCTAGAATTTTTATGGTTTTAGGTCTTAGGTTAAAGTCTTTGATCCATCTTGAATTGATTTTTGTATAGGGTGAGAGATGAGGATCCAGTTTCATTCTTCTACACATGGATTGCCAGTTATCCCAGCATCATTTGTCGAGTAGAATGTCCTTTTCCTACTTTATATTTTTGTTTGCTTTCTTGAAGATCAGTTGGCTGTAATATTTGGATTTACTTCTGAGTTTTCTATTCTCAGCTCCATTGGTCTATGTGCCTATTTTTATGCCAGTGCTATGCTGTTTTGGTGACTATATCCTTGTAGTCTAGTTTGAAGTCAGGTAATGTGGTGCCTCCAGATTTGTTCTTTTTGCTCAGTCTTGCTTTGGCTATGCAGGCTGTTTTTTGGTTCCATATGAATTTTAGTATTATTTTTACTAATTCTATGAAGAATGATGATGGTATTTTCATGGGAATTGCATTGAGTTTGTAGATTGCTTCTTGCAGTATCATCATTTTCACAATATTGATTCTACCCATCTATGAGCATATGATGTGTTTTCATTTCTTTGTGTTATCTATGATTCCTTTCAGAAGGGTTTTATAGTTTTCCTTGTAGAGGTCTTTTACCTCCTTGGTTAGGTATATTCCTAAGTATTTTTTGAGCTGTTGTAAAAGGGGTTGAGTTTTTGATTCGATTCTCATTTTGGTCACTGTGGGTGTACAGCAGTGCTACTGATTTGTGTACATTGATTTTTTGTCCTGAAACTTTACTGAATTCATTTATCAGTTCTAAAAGTGGGCTAAGGACATGAATAGAAAATTCTCAAAAGAAAATATGCAATGGCCAACAAACGTATGAAAAATGTTCAATGTCACTGATTATCAGGGAAATGCAAATCAAAACCAAAATGTGATACCACCTTACTCGTGCAAAAATGGCCTTAATGAAAAAAATAAAAAATAATAGATGTTGGCATGGATGTGGTGAAAGGGAACACTTTTACACTTCTGGTGGGAATGCAAACTAGTACAACCACTATGGAAAACAGTGTGGAGTTTCCTTAAAGAACTAAAATTAGATCTGCCATTTGATCCAGCAATCCCACTACTGGGGATCTACCCAGAGGAAAAGAAGTCATTATATGAAAACGACACTTGCACACACGTTTATAGCAGCACAATTCACAATTGCAAAAATATGGAACCAGCCCAAACACCCAACAATCAACAAGTGGAAAATGAAAATGTTATATACACACACACACCATGGAATACTACTCAACCATAAAAAGGAACAAAATAATGGCACAGCAACCTGGATGGAGCTGGAGACCATTATTCTAGATGAATTAAATCAGGAATCGAAAACCAACCATCATATGTTCTCACTTATAAGTGGAGATAAGCTATGAGGACACAAAGGCATAAGAATGATACAACGGACTTTGGGGACATTGAGGGAAGAGAGAGAGGGAAGCAAGGGATATAAGACTACACATTGGGTACAGTGTAGGTTGCTCATGGGATGGGTGTACCAAAATCTCAGAAATCACCACTAAAGAACATATCCATGTAACCAAACACAACCTGTTCCCCAAAAACCTATTGGAATTAAAATAAATAAATAAATAAATAAAAATGTACACTGGAAGAAATAAATAGTTAACCAAATTCTTTCAGCACACACATCTTAGTATAATCTGGGAATAAATCTGACAATTTTTACATCATTTGAGAATGTAGTATAGGGCTCCCATAATGCCTAGTTTCTTGCTATTCCTGTTCTGCATTATACTTTTTCAAGAGTCTGTCCTTCAGTAACAATTTACTGAGAGATACAGAACAGATTGGATTTTAGGTAAAATTATGAAGAAACCCTAATTAATCTTTAATAAAATCTTCTCCCCTCTTCACTTCTGTACAGCTTCACCCAAGGCCTGCATGCACACCTGTATCTTGACTTCTAAAAGAACTCCCATACAATATCTTCCCAGAGGTTTTGCAGGAGAGGACAAATAGTGTGTTTCATATCCTACTAATGATTAAGTCAGTTTTAGTCATTTGAGGTCCATTAAAATAAATGGTATAACCTCACCCCCCATAGGCAAAATTAAAAATTAAAGACTAATATTTAGAAGACAAGAAATAGAAATAATCCAACTGTGTTTAATTATGTGCGGCTTGAATAAATAAATAAAAATAAAAACAAAAAAGAGGAAAATAACTCTTCTTCAATAATTTTCATGAGTAATCCTTTTAAATCAATGTAAATTTTTTTATTTTCTATTTTTTCTTCTTTGAATAAATTACAAATCTGTGCAAAAAAAAAAAAAAAAAAAAAAACACAGTCCCTTCTCAGAGTCAGCATTTATGCATCATGTAGTCAAAGGAGTCATCCCCTAATAGTGAAAGCTATCCCTTCAGTTCTCTCTTTGTTGTGTTATCTAAGGCCTTTTCACAACTTAAATTTAAATGATCTGAAAAATTCAATGTACTAATGTCTATTAAAGAATATTACATTTTACTTTTTATTGGTCATATATTCTACTTCACGATGGAGCAGTGGTGGGGAAGGTGTTTTTTAGTCAGGTACTAGTCCAGGCCAGTCGAGGGAGTTATTTGGAATCAGGAAGACCTTGTAGATTGCCGACCATGCACTGAACCTATATAATGAACCACAGTAGCAGGCAGATATTTTATGGTTCAGCAAATCTCTACCCAAAGCTGACAGGAGCTATGAATCAAAAAGAGGAAATAAGATAAAAAGCAGAAGGAAATTTGGTTTCTACTGGTGCATGATTTTGTTCCTTGAAATATGAGAGGAGTGAATTTGGTAAAATAAATCTGAATTTTGGCCCATCATGTGCCTTTGCCACTAGTCTTTCACTACTGGATGGGCTTGATAATGCTGATAAAAGAGCAAGTTCTTGATTTTTGTTTGACACGCCAGTGGACATCTCTTAGGAGCCCTGCATATTTGAAGAAAGGACGTTCTCTTTGTTTACAATACATTAGAAGGCAGTAACGGTGACTTTTAAGAAGGCTTTGAAGTAGGTTCTTTAAAAAGTAAAAGAAAAACACACAGAAAAATCACAAGAATTTTCAAGACATTTAAGAAAGAAAATATAAATCGTATGGCCTCTCAATCCTGACAGTTTTCTTAAGTAGAATATTATATTTAATTATATATATGTTGACTTAAGGATAAGTATCTATTTAATCTTCTTAATTTCCATCATTTGGTACATTCTGACAGAAGAAAAAATACATTACCTTTGATATATCATACAGTATATTACATCTATGTATGAAGCGTATCAAGTATAATATGCTACAACTGCATTGAGATAATGAATGAAATTTGTTTGTAGTATTTTCTATCAAAGTGGAAAAGAAAAACTAAATATATTGCTTCCTGCAAGAATAAAAATATTTATATATCTAAACATAATAAATTAAACACATTTTATGCATGTAAAAGACAAAAATTTGATTTGAAATATGTTTTGTTGGTTTTAATACTATAGATATATGATTTATAAATACTAATTTTGGAAAGTAAGTTCAATTTACAAAGCAAAATGCAATCTACTCACAGTCATGCACCACTTAACAATGGGGATACGTTCTGAAAAATGTGTCTGCCAATTTGTCTTTGTGCAAACATCATAGAATGCACTTACATAAACCTAGATGGTCTAACCTACTGCACACCTAAACTATATAATATTGCTTCTAGACTACAAACCTATACAGCAGGTTACAGTTTTGAATACTGTAGGCAACTGTAACATAATAGTATTTGTGTATCTAAACATACCTAAATGTAGAAAAAGTACAGTAAAAATACAGTATAAAAGATTACACCTTTATAGTGCACGTACCATGAATGGAGTAACTTTCAAAACTGGAAGTTGCTCTCGGTGAGTCAGTGGGTGAGTGGTGAGTAAATGTGCACACCTAGGATATTATTGTTTACTATTGTACACTTTATTAATACTGTACACTTAGGCTACACTAGATTTACTAAAAAAAATTTTTCTTTCTTCAAAATAAGCAGCTTACTCTAACTTTTGTACTTTATGAACTTTAAATTTTTAACTGTTTGATTCTTTTGTAATCACACGTAGCTTAAAACACAAACATATTGTGAAGCTGTACAAAATATTTTCTTTTTTATATTCTTATCTGATAAGCTTTCTTCTATTTTTAATTTTTAATTGTCTATTTTTTTACTTTTTAAATTTTTTATTAAAAATGAAGACATGAACCCACACATTAGCCTGGCTTACACAGGGTCAGGATCATCAATAACACTGTCTTCTGCCTCCACATCTTGTCCCACTGGAAGGCCTTTGGGGGCAATAATACACATGGAGCTTCCACCTTCTATGATAACAATGTCTTTTTTCTGGAATACCTCCTGAAGGACCTGCCTGGGCTGTTTTACAGTTAACTCTTTTCTAAATAAGGAGTACACTCTAATCATAAAGGTATAGTATAGTATAGTATAGTATTAATAGTAATAAATACATTAACCTGTAATGTAATCGTTTATTATCATTATCAAGTATTGTACACTGTACATAATTGTATGTGCTGTCCTTCTATATGAATAGCAGCACAGTAGGTTTGTTCACACTGACATCACCATAAGTACATGGCAATGTTTTGTACTATGACATTTTGACAGCTACAATGCCACCAGGCAACAGGAATTTTTCAGCTTCATTATAATCTTAAGGAACCACTATCACATATGTGATTTGTCATTGACCCAAACATTATGGGCTGTATGACTGTATTTGCATTTGTTTTAATGACAAGTAAAAACTCTTCAAAAGTAGAATTCTTATTTTAAATATATTTCTATCTTCTTCAGTGCCTAACACAAGCTCTTGCACATGTGATATTTTAGAGTTTTATAGTTGAGCCCTATTTATTTCCTAAAGGATTTGAAGAAACTATCTGTTTTTGATAGAATGATTGTGTCCCTCCAAAATTCATATGTTGAAGCCCTAACTCCCAGTGTGATGGTATTTGGAGATGGGGCCTTCCAGAGGTAATTAGGATGAGATGAGGTCATGACAGTAGAGCCCCCTAGTGCCCTTATAAGAAGAGACACCAGAACTCGCTCTTTCACTCTGTTTCTCTCTCTCTCTCTCTCTCTCTCTGTCTTCTCTCTGTTTCTGCACATGCACAAAGAAAGGGGTCATGTGAGCACACAACCTACAAACCAAGAGGCCTCAGGATGTAATCTGTTTTGTTGGCACCCTGACCTTGGACATTCCAGCCTCCAGAACTACGAGAAATAAATTTCTGTTGTTTAAGCCTCCCAGTCTGTTACGGCAGCCTGAGGTGACTAAAACCTATCAAAATAAAGTGTAATGCAATTCATGATAATTAATATGATAAACAGAATAGGGATCATCAAAGAGATCTGGAGAAACTTAATGTTCTTGGGTACCTGAGATATATTAGTTACTACTGTTTGGGACTGACATTTTCTTCATTTTCTAGCTACTAAGACACAATGGGAAACATGCTGGATTACATAGTATTGATGATTTGAAAAAAAAAAGCAAACATTCTACTCATTTTAAAACTTTGTCTAGAATGATAACACCAAAATATAGAAGCTAGGTGGAAAAGCCTCAGGAGCCAGCCCAAGGGTTATGATTAAATACATCAATCCAATAGAAGGCCTAAGGTGTGGGTGGCATTTGAATAAGAGCCATTAAGTCACCCACAGAAACAAGTTTTCACCCTCTCTCACTTTGAAAAGGTGTCCTATGTCTAGTCGAATAAGCATCAACCTTCACTGTTGGAAAGGTCCAATAGTTCAAAAATAACTTTTACCAATTTTGCTGAAATGCCTAAATGTCCACTTAAGATTGGAGGGAAACTGTCTCCAATAATTTACCATTAAGATGCAGATTAAACTTCTCATTTAATAAATGTCAAAAACTTTTAAAAATGTTTCAGTATGCATGGAAGTTTATTTTATGCAGTGACAACTGATATGAGAAAATATTTGGGAAATTTTTTATAAAAAGAAAATTTAAATGAATGTTGCAATATTCTTTTAGGATTGTGAGCTATGCACTAATTTTGAACACAAAAAAACTTTTTGTCTTGCAGTAAGTAGCCAGTGAACATATTTTTGTTTATTTTAGAATTTTTTTAGAATTATAGAATACAAGTTTTTCATGTTCTGGACATCTATCACCATTTGACTTCGACTAAACTGTAAATGGTATAGGAAATTGGGCTGATTGCTTATTGATATCTGTCATGACATACCCTGAGATTTTCTTTCTTGATTAAACCCTTACTATCACAAAGCTGTCTGCTAACTTGCCTCTTTCTTCTAAAAATTGAGTATGGATACTACAATGGTAGACAGATAACATTGTACATTTATCCAAACCCTTCAAATGTATAATAAATACCAAGAGTGAACCCTAAGGTCAAATATGAACTTTGAGTGATTACAATATGTCAGTGTAGGTTCACCAATTTTAACAAACCACTCTGGTGGGGAATGTTGATGACAGAGGAGGCTATGCACGTGTGGAAGGCAGGGAGTATATGGGAAATCTGTATCTTTCTCTCAACTTTTTTGTGAACCTGAAACTGCTCTACAAAATAAAATGTTCCTAAAAAATGGATAGAGAAAAATGAATTTCAATGTGTGAATGTTTTTGATTAACTATACTCAAATTAATTGGTGTGTTATTGCTTCACGAGAAACAATACATAGGGAAAGAAAAAGGCAGACCCAAAATATTTTTTTAAATTAAAATCAGTGTCCAATTCACAATCATAAACAAATACTGCAATACTCAATTAATTGCCTTCTTTCAAAATTCTTTCCAAAAGTTTCCACAAACTAGTTGTCACTGTATAAAAGAAGTTGCTATATGTACAATGGTAACCATGTTATCCTTCATATTATCTGCATAATGCATGCTTAATTCATTCTTGTGCAAAACATAATTGGAATGTAGCAAAATTTAGCCTCTCCAAAGCATCATTATTATATGAAATGCATACAGTCAAAGCATAGATACTGCCACAGTGGGGGAAAAAAGGAAGAAAATAAAGAGAAAAATAGAATTTGGTTGCTATTATTTGAGGATTGCATGACCACTAAATCCGTCATAAATAGTTTTAAATAAACTGTGTGACTTACAGAATCCTAGCCTTCCTAGTTTGTGTCCCTACTTTATGGCCAAAAGGTGGCACTGTTCCATTTATTATGAGTTTGGCATCTAGTCCATGGTGCTGTAGTCAGTCACTCTGTAATGTTCACTGAAACTAGCAAGGCGTTCATCATTAACCATTCTGCTTCACAGGCCCTGATATCAAAAGGATCATACCAGCAGCTACTCTGACATAACTCATTAAGAAACTGTTGTAAATAAGAATCTTGTAGAAAAGCATAGCGGCAGGTTAAATCAGCTCCCCTACCTTGGAAGGAAACTAAATCCTTGTGGCTGACCTGCTGTTGGGAAGAAATAAATTACTATTTGCATCACAAAGGATGGAGGCATTCCACCAAGCAGGGAGACAGCTACAGTTAAGACTCTGTGGCATTTGATTCACTTTTCTCTCCAAGCCCCATCCAAGCAAGGTGATTTATTCTCATGAGCAATGACTGAAATGTTTACTTATTCACCTGGTCAGGCAGCCAGCCACATGCACATCTTAAACAGCTATGGGAAAATGATTTTAACTGACCTTAGAGGATCCTGATTAAAAGCAAGACAGGTGTCTAACTTTCTGAAACAAATTAGCTAAATGAAAAAAAGAAAAACCTAACTGGAGACTTTACCCAGTGTCTCATCAGCATGCAACAACAGTTCTTTATGGTTTAAATCAAACAAGAAAAAGAAGATCCTAATACAAATGCAGAAGCGATCAGTGAAATGTCCCATCGCCTACTACACAGTCAGCAGCAGGGGATAGAGAAAGGGGTTGTTCAATATCTCTTCTTTTTGGTAGAAACATGATGGCTATGAATGAAGAAGTAAGATGCAGCTCCCTAAGCATTATACTCTACAAAATACTAACAGTATACTAAACATAACAGCATTCCATTTTAACAGCTTGTATTTATGTTAAATTTTTCCCCATCTCATAGATTCATTTTAAGTTTTAAACCTGGCTGTAACAAAGGATGGCAACAGAGTTGTTTACACTGTAAAGATATATTTAATCTTTATTTCTTTGTCAGTAATTACATTCTGAGGTCAAAACACAATGGAATAATTACCTGAGTAACATTAGGCAAAAATGAAAAAAAAAAACAGAATCTGCATTATTTGTATAATAGAATTCTTCAATTTTTCACTTTTTGCTCTGACAGTGGAAATGTGACCTTTTAATGCAATGGTATAGCACAGCTGAAATGGCTCATGTTGTTAGGAATGAAAGAGAGCCCAGTCAAATTCAAATGATGAAATTCTCTAATTACTGAAACATATAGCAGAGCACCTGCCTACTCTCCATCCCTGCCCCAGCACATACAGTACTCTAGTGTATGGCCTTTTGTTGAACACTCAACGCACTTGGTAGCTAGGACGTTGCTTTGGGAACAAAAAGGAGGATGCTTTCTGAAATCACAGGTCAGGAAGCTTGCAATCACATGCATTAGGGAACAGGTAAAAATCTCACTATTATGAAAAGGGGACTTCAGAATTCATTTTTGTTGTAGTGATATTTCATTAAAGATCCACAGAAGCTGGGAAAAAATAAGCTGATGCCCAGTCGGTTTCTGTATTTGAATTAAAACGTGAAAAGCAGCATTTTAGATACTGATGGAAGAAAACAAAGAGGACATAATACATGTGGAGGGGTAGTAGGGGGTGGTAAGAGAAGTTTCATGTAGACACCTACATCCACCCCATCTCAATATCTTACTCCTTTTTTTTTTGTGAACTTGCAGGTATATTGTTTTAATACTGTTGTGTACATATTTTGTTCTGGGAGGTAGTGTGGAACTTTGTTTGTTTGTTTGTTTGTTTTTTTAAACATATTCCTAGTGGTCAAGAAATGTATTCAAGAAATGTATTGGACCTTTTGAGAAGAGAAAGGAGGTGTCAGTAATGGCTACTAGGTACTAATTCAAGAGAAATAAAACAACCAGTTATAGCTTATTTCTCCTCCTTTCCCTTCCTGCTCCTACCAGGAGGCAAACAACGCAAAATAAATAAGTGGGCACTTTTCATACATTGATGGTAGTCATGTAAAGAGAAATGTGCCTGAAATAATAATTCTCACCTAAAAAGTACTGTCTGAAATAACAATAATAAATAACAATACCACATTTCAATCAATTAACTATAGCTTTTATGGCATTGCATATACACGTGTAATTAAGAGCAAGATAAACATGAAAGAGCCCGTCAAGCACTTGTTCTAATTTAATCCCCAACCTCTATATGCTATTCACTACATGCCTTACTAATCCACATTTTGGTATGTATATCTCCTCCCATAAATACATATTTCTCTATATTGCCAGTAAATGGCAATGGTGCTGTATACATAGCAACATTTTAGGAACTTTTTGGTTGCTACTGCTATTAACTCACTTGATTTTTGATATCCAGGATTCCAACTAATTTCTAAAATAAATATGGTGACATAAAAAGTCTTTTACAAAAAAATGAACTTGCCCAAGAAATCATAATCTATTAACTAATTAACTAATAACCCGTTAACTGTTAGTATTAGGTAGAGACGGAAGGATGTGTCCATATCAGAGGTGGTGACCAAAAACACAGTACTAAAAACTGTATGTTTATGATGTTTATGCCAGGTAAAACCAAGATCAATTTCACAACACAGGCAGTTTCTAGAGGATATACAACTAAGTGCACAGCTGTACAATCTGGAAATCTCATGGAAAATTATTCTTGTGAGATTGAGCCATCAAAGGCATGTTATCAAACCTAAGTGGTCGTGATAAGCATACCGCCTTTCAGCCAAATCCAAGTTATATGCAGATCTTTTCATCACAAATTTAAATGGCACACAAATGTGACTGGTGATATAAAATGTGTTGTAACAACTTATTAGTTGAAATTACCATTTAAATCCCTTTAAGACTGAGTTAAATAAAGGAGAAAATCCATACATCCTTTTACTGTGGAAAACATGCTATTACCAAATGTTGGTGGTCTTTGAGAGGGAACGGCAGCAGTGATTACAAAACCATAGAATTTCTGCTGCAGTGTAATGGCTGGAAGATACATTTAACCTAATGCTATTCCAGTCAAGTCAAGGCAACTGTCCCAATAGTTTGCATTTATAAACAGTTAAGATCCATTTTCAGGCAACTTAATGATTTTCATTTCAAATAATTTCTTGAGTACCATAAAAATAAAGGGTTTCATGATGTTGTTTTACCTTTCATTTTACTTTAAGGAAGAACTTTTTTGCCCTTCCTATAATATTTAATTCTTTTTTTTTTCACTCATTAGAACCAGAATTGCAGAATTGCAATCATAGCAGTAGTTAGTAATTGTGGGCAATTTAGACAACACCTACTCTATTTCTACTTCAAGTTAGAAATTATTTGTCCCACTGGTTAGAGTATCGTAATAAGAAGATTTACATCATGGGGCAAATTCTCATATGGGTCAGTCAGTTTCATTTCATATTCTAATTACAGAATGTGCCCCTAATTAGTTGTCTGGCTTGTAACTATGTTCCACAGGTCATAAGACACAAGCAATGAAAATGATTTTGCATACAGCGTCATCCTGCTTCTGACAAAACAACTCAAAGCTGAGTACCTACACACTATAGATTACTGTGATCTCACAATATTAAGAACATAATATTTCTTATTAAAGCACTTGACCACCATAATATACAGGCTTACTTAATTTTATTGCGCTTTGCTTTATTATGCTTCACAGATACTGCTTTTTTAAAAACAGTTGAAAGTTTGTGATAACCCCACATCAAGCAAATCTATATTTCCAACAGCATGTGCTCACTTCATGTCTCTGTGTTACATTTTTGTAATTCTCCCAATATTTCAGGCATTTGCATTACTATTATATCTCTTATGATGACCTATGATCAGTGATATTTGATGTTACTCTTGTAGTTGTTTTGAAATGCCACAAATGGCACCCATTTAAGACAATGAACTTAATAAATGTTGTGTGTATACTGACTGCTCCACTGATTAGCCCTTCCCCCATCTCTCTCCCTCTCCTTGGGCTTTCCTAGTTCTTAAGACTTAACAATATTGAAATTAAACCAACTAATAACCCTACAATGGCCTCCTAGCGTTCACGTGAAAGGAAAAGTAGCATGTCTCTCACTTGAAATCAAAAGCTAGAAATGATTGGGCCAGGCGCGGTGGCTCACGCCTGTAATCCCAGCACTTTTGGAGGCCGAGGTGGATCACGAGGTCAGGAGATCGAGACCATCCTGGCTAACACGGTGAAACCCCGGCTCTACTAAAAATACAAAAAATTAGCCAGGCGTGGTGGCGGGCGCCTGTAGTCCCCGCTACTCAGAAGGCTGAGGCAGGAGAATGGCGTGAACCCGGGAGGCGGAGGTTGCAGTGAGCCTAGATCGCGCCACTGCACTCCAGCATGGGCGACAGAGCAAGACTCCGTCTCAAAACAAACAAACAAAAAGCTAGAAATGATTAAGCTTAGTGAAGAAGGCATGTTGGAAGCTGAGATAGGTGGAAAGTTAGGCATCCTACCCCAAACCCTTAGCTAACTTGTCAATGCAAAGGAAGAGTTCTTGAAGGAAATTAAAGGTACTCCTGTAGTGAACACATGAATGACAAAAAGGTGAAACACTCTGATTGCTATTATGGAGAAAGTTGTATTGGTCTGGCTAGAAGATCAAACCAGCCACAACACTCCCTTAAGCCAAAGCCTAATCCAGAGCAAGGCCCTATCTCTCTTCAATTCTGTGAAGGCCGAGAGAGGTGAAGAAGCTTCACATGAAAAGTTGGAAGCTAAGAGAAATTGGTTCATAAGGTTCAAGGAAAGAACAGACACACATAGGCTCAAAATAAAGGGATGGAGGAAGATCTACCAAGCAAAAGGAAAGCAAAAAAAAAAAAAAAAAAAAAAAAGCAGGGGTTGCAATCCTAGTCGCTGATAAAACAGACTTTCAACCAACAAAGATCAAGAGACAAAGAAGGCCATTACATAATGGTAAAGGGATCAATTCAACAAGAAGAGCTAACGATCCTAAATATATATGCACCCAATACAGGAGCACCCAGATTCATAAAGCAAGTCCTTAGAGACCTACAAAGAGACTTAGACTCCCACACAATAATAATGGGAGACTTTAACAACCCACTGTCAATATTAGACAGATCAACAATACAGAAGGTTAACAAGGATATCCAGGACCTGAACTCAGCTCTGCAACAAGCAGACCTAATAGACATCTACAGAGCTCTCCACCCCAAATCAACAGAATATACATTCTTCTCAGCACCACATCACACTTATTCTAAAATTGACCACATAATTGGAAGTAAAGCACTCCTCAGCCAATGTAAAAGAACAGATATATAGATCAATGGAACAGTGCAGAGGCCTCAGAAATAATGACACACATCTACAACCATCTGATCTTTGACAAACCTGACTAAAACAAGAAATGGGTAAAGGATTCCCCATTTAATAAATGGTGCTGGGAAAAATAGCTAGCCATATGTAGAAAGCTGAAACTGGATCCCTTCCTTACACCTCATACAAAAATTAACTCGAGATGGATTAAAGACTTAAATGTTAGACCTAAAACCATAAAAACCCTAGAAGAAAACCATTCAGGACATAGGCATGGGCGAGGACCTCATGACTAAAAAAACCAAAAGCAATGGCAACAAAATCCAAAATAGACAAATGGGATGTAATTAAACTAAAGAGCTTCTGCAGAGCAAAAGAAACTCCCATCAGAGTGAACAGGCAACCTACAGAATGGGAGAAAATTTTTGCAATCTACTCATCTGACAAAGAGCTAATATCCAGAATCTACAATGAACTCAAACAAATTTACAAGAAAAAAAACAAACAACTCCATCAAAAAGTGGGCAAAGTATATGAACAGACACTTCTCAAAAGAAGACATTTATGCAGCCAAAAGACACATGAAAAAAATGCTCATTATCACTGGCCATCAGAGAAATGCAAACCAAAACCACAATGAGATACCATCTCACGCCAGTTAGAATGGTGATCATTAAAAAGTCAGGAAACAACAGATGCTGGAGAGGATGTGGAGAAATAGGAATGCTTTTACACTGTTGGTGGGAGTGTAAATTAGTCCAACCATTGTGGAAGACAGTGTGTCGATTCCTCAAGGATCTAGAACTAGAATTACCATTTGACCCAGCCATCCCCTTACTGGGTATATATCCAAAGGATTATAAATCATGCTACTATAAAGACACATGCACACATGTGTTTATTGTGGCACTATTCACAATAGCAAAGACTTGGAACCAACTCAAATGTCCATCAGCAATAGACTGGATTAAGAAAATGTGGCACATATACACCATGGAATACTATGCGGCCATGAAAAAGGATGAGTTCATGTCCTTTGCAGGGACGTGGATGAAGCTGGAAACCATCATTCTCAGCAAACTATCACAAGGACAGAAAACCAAATACCGCATGTTCTCACTCATAGGTGGGAATTGAACAATGAGATCACTTGGACACAGGCTGGGGAACATCGCACACCGGGGCCTGTTGGCGGGTGGGGGGTTGGGGAGGGATAGCATTAGGAGAAATACCTAATGTAAATGATGAGTTGATGGGTGCAGCAAACCAACATGGCACATGTATACCTATGTATCAAACCTGCACATTGTGGACATGTACCCTAGAACTTAACGTATAATAATAATAATAATAAAATACTTTGAATAAAGCTATAGCTGTCTCTGCTAGATCTGGGCCAAGTACACTGAAAATCTTTTAGAAAGGATTCACCATTCTACATACCATTAAGAACATCTGTGATTCATTGGAGATCAAAATTAGCCACAGTAAGAGGAATTTGGAAGAAGTTGATTCCAACCCCCATAGACGATTTTGAGGAGTTGAAGACTTCCATGGAGGAAGTAACTGCAGATATGGTAGAAATAGAAAGAGAATGAGAATTCAAACTGAAGTCTGAAGATGTGACTGAACTGCTGCAATCTTATGATCAAACTCGAATAAATGAGGAGCTGCTTCTTATGGATGAGCAAAGAAACTGGTTTCTTCAGATGGAACCTACTCTTGATGAAGATGCTATGAACATTGTTGAAACAATAAGAAAAAATTATAATATTCTATAGACAGTTGATAAAGCAGCAATAAGGTTTGAGATTATTGACTCCAATTTTGAAAAAAGTTCTACTATGGGTAAAATGCTATCAAACAGTATCACGTGCTACAAACAAATCATTTGTGAAAGGAAGAGTCAGTCAACGTGGCAAATTTCATTGTTGTCTTTTCTATTTATTTTTTTGAGACAGAGTCTCACTCTGTCACCCAGGCTGGAGTGCAGTGGCACAATCTTGGCTCACTGCAACCTCCACCTCCTGGGTTCAAGTGATTCTCCTGCCTCAGCCTCCTGAGTAGCTGGGATGACAGGCACCTGCCACCACAACCAGCTAATTTTTGTGTTTTTAGTGGAGATAGCGTTTCACCATCTTGGCTGGGCTGATCTCGAACTCCTGACCTCAAGTGATCCACCTGCCTCGGCCTCCCAAAGTGCTGGGAATTACAGGCATGAGCCATCGCGCCCGGCCTGTTGTCTTCTTATCTTAAGAAATTGTCAGCCGGGTGCGGTGGCTCATGCCTGTAATCCCAGCACTTTGGGAGGCCAAGGCAGGCAGATCAAGAGGTCAGGAGATCGAGACCATCCTGGCCAACATGGTGAAACCCCGTCTCTACTAAAAAACAATACAAAAAATTAGCCTGGCATGGTGGTGGGCACCTGTAGTCCCAGCTACTCGGGAGGCTGAGGCAGGAGAATGGCGTGAACCCGGGAGGCGGAGCTTGCAGTGAGCCGAGATCACGCCACTGCACTCCAGCCTGGGCAACAGAGCGAGACTCTGTCTCAAAAAAAAAAAAAGAAAAAAGAAAAGAAAAGAAAAAAATGGAAATTGTCACAGTCACCCAAACCTTCAGTAATCACCACCCTAATCAGTCAGCAACCATCAATATTGAGGCAAGACCTTCCAGTAGAAAAAAGGTTATTACTCACTGAAAGCTCAGATAATTGTTAGCATTTTGTGGCAATAAAGGATTTTTCAAATTAAGATATGTACATTGTTTTGTTAGACAATGCTATTGCACACTTAATAGAGTATAGTACAGCGTAAGCATGTAAGCATAACTTTATTATGCACTTAGAAACCAAAATATTTGTGTGACTCACTTTATTGAAGTGGTCTGGAACCATACCTGCAATATCTCTGAGGTATATCTTTATACCTTTTTAACCATGTGCAAAGCACCTATTGTTTTAATATTTACTTTGTCTGTGCTAATTTTTCTTATTGACTTTTTTATAATTATGTGAACTTAGCTATTGTATTAGGAAAGATTTTTTTAGAGGTCTCACTCTGTTACCCAGGCTGGCCTCGAATTCCTGGCCTCAAGCGATCCTCCTGCCTTGGCCTTTCAAAGTGTTGGGATTACAGGCATGAGCTGCTGTGCCTGACTGAGTCCTGATATTTTTGAGAAACAACTCTGGGAAGTTTGATTAATCTAAGATGGGTTTCTTTGGCTCTGGAATTAAAAAAAAAAAAAAAAAGATGTAGTACTCAGTCCTTGCCTTGATGGAGGGGGAAATAGCTCAGTCCCAGAGAAGATAGCATAATATAGCTCTGATATATGAACTGCAATAGAATACATACGTGACTTTGAGATATGCATAGACAGTAGATGAGATAGGTGACAGATTTTATCAGCCTTCCTACAATCTGTATGATAGATTTTGTTGAGGTTACTCTATAGCCCCCAAATTATTTTACTACGGTATCCTCATGTTGAAAGAAAATTATGGACAATTTGTTTCCATGAAGACCCTGACCATATGGCCCATGGATGTGCATCAGAAAACAATAAACAAATTGCAACTGCTCAGCCCACAGTGCTTGTCTGCAATATCAACTGACTGTCTTTCAGCACAGCTTGTTGTCAAAAAGCATGAGTTAGCAGATGCAGAGGCACATTTTGTTATTTATAGATTTGAAAGCATTAATTCCATTATAAATTTGGAAATTTCACTTTTCTGATGTTGACAGTCTGCATATCTTTGTTTGTTTCTCTATCCTGTGTGATGATCATGGAGAGGGGCAGAAATAGTTCCTCCCTTCAAATGACTGTGTTGTGAGCTCATTCTCATTAACAATGCCACTGATTTTGATGACATGCATTATATGCATATAATTTTAAAAGATCTTTCTCCAGTTTTTAGTATATAAAAAGCTTGATTAGGCAATTTGTTCTTTTCATTATGTCAACTAATAAGACATCAGTTGAAAGAACAGGGAAAAACCAATTAAAGGCATGAATATTCACATGGAAAAAAATCCCTCTGAATGAGAGATGCCTGTGCAGACCAAAAATGAATAGGAGATATGCCAAAATGTTTTAACTGATCAGGGTAGAGCAAAAGCATTACCAAATGAAGTTCAAGTTACCCTGCCTCTGATGAGCTGTTAAACATTGTGTAAAATAATGGTTTTCTATGATTTCAATAAATGGAGACTTAGTGTGATATAGATGCCTGTGTTACTTATCTTACTGCAGGAATTTTTAAACTCTCACTCTGATTTTTCAGTTTGCAACCATGTTTTAACCCATATTGCTATTCTGTAAGCCTATATAAGCTTTATTGCTAATGATAAATAATGAAGGTCGTTGCCTAACTATATAGAAGTTTTTGTATTCGAAGTGCACACCATTAAGAGATGATTGTATGTATGTGCTCACTTTTCCCACACAAATAACACAATGGGTGTGCTTATTTGAGTGGTAGTTTTGTCTTATCTACTTTATCAACTACATGCTAAAAGAAATGTGAATTCTATATTTTGTAAATTATTCAATGTGTTAGAGTCAATTATACAAATAATAATGCATATTAATTCAAAGTAAAACTACCTTTAATAAGTTTTCTCAGAGAATTTTCTTTTTTTCTTTTTTTCGGAGACAGAGTCTCACTCTGTTGCCCAGGCTGGAGTGTAGTGGTGGCACAATCGCAGCTCACTGCAACCTCCGCCTCCCAGGTTCAAGTGATTCTCCTGCCTCAGCCTCCCGAGTAGCTGGGATTATAGGCGTGAGCCACCGCACCCGGCCAGAGAATTTTCACACTAGAAGCAGTGAGTTTTTCTCAGTGAAGTAGAAGTGTCACATGGCAGTCTCTGAAGCCCAATAGTGTCTCTTCCCCCATTAGATATAGTGACCTTCGAGTCTTAGAATGCCACCAGAAAAGGAGAAAGGGGTACCAAATGAGGAGATAGCAGGCAACTGAAGATTAACCTCACCCACTTTATAATTTCACTGTATTTCAATTCTCCTATACAGAGCACAGATATCAGAATGATGTCATTTCAGTTCACAAAATTTGAGTGAATTTAAGCTTAGTGACCTTGAATGTTGAATTGTTCTTCCAGGTGACATCAAATGGTGGATAATGCCTCCTTTGTGGGACCAGGCAAGAAAAGCCCAGTTCATTGGATAGTAGAGTGAACCATTAGTACAATAAGAATTTCATGAATTGCTACTGTTCCATGAATCAATTCAGAACAGTTTTATGATTTACTGTGTAAAATATATATTCTATACTGCCAAGATCAAAACTGCAATCAGCACAACAGTTAACATAACCCATATCAAAGAATGAGGCAAACTCATTTGGATTCCTCCCAATACTATAGAACAGCATACCTGAAAATGAACAAACCTACCTTCATATCTCCTTGAAAATCTCTGGAGCATTTATGAAATAGGAGTTATTTTATTTTGTCTCCATTTATATTAAATATAGAAGCTAGATTATCAGAATGTTTGTTATCATAACATAGAAAAACACATTGTATCCTAGCTTTGTGATCCTGAATGCATTTCCAGTTCAACAAATAATTTAGGTCCTCTTTCTAATTATAACAAATCAGATTCATAACTTGCAATAATATTTTTCCTTTATAATGTATACACAGGCTTTGCAAATGAATTAAAAATTAATTACTTTTCCCCTTGTTTTGCAGAATATTTTGTGTGCATGTACATATTGAAAGCTTGAACAAATTTCTCTATGATAAAAAACAGATATATGTGATGCATTCATCTTCTGGGTGGCATAGGGCAAGGCTGTTTAGAGGTACACGAATCAGACATACCACCTTTGCAAACCCTTGTGTTGATGACTTTATTTTTCTTTTTCTGAGAACAGTTTTACAATTTTCTTTTTTTTTTTTAATGGTTTTTCACTCTCCATGACTTTGTTTTTAGCTAGCCATTCTTTTTTTTTATTATTATTATACTTTAAGTTTTAGGGTACATGTGCACATTGTGCAGGTTAGTTACATATGTATACATGTGTCATGCTGGTGCGCTGCACCCACTAGTTTTACAATTTTCTAAAAGTAGTTCAATTATTCTACTGCTGCTTTCAGATCCGGATTAATCACACAGTCATTAATACCCTGGATACTGAATCCTCACTATAACCTTGTTTTTTTGAGCAGCATGCATGAAATTAAACTACATGTAAATTGAGATGTTAAAGATGAGACTGTAACTTAGGTTGAGTTTTTAAAATCAGGACCTAAGATGAAATCATATTACACGAAATTTTACTGTATCATGCATCATGCTATAATAAAGGCATCTGTGTTATCTCTATGTCACTAATGAATACATTAAAAGACAAAGTATGCCAGTATTATCAAGCACCTTCTCTCCAACCACTCATCAAGTAAAAATTGTTTCCTTACTTAGATTATAAAATTATACTAAAGGTCATTATTGATTCAGGATGTCTTATAAAGTCTGTCTAATAATCATGATATTAGATTTGCAACTTCAGAATGCCTGTAGCATAATCTTCTGAAATACTAGCATTAAAAATGAGGCATGGCTTAACAGCTTCAAAGAAAAGTGTTGCTGGATTTGTTGACTATCCATGAAAACAAGTACTTTCTAGTAAAATACCATCAGAGCTAATTGATCACAACAGGTATCTGCACTATACTTGCATTTTTAGGGCTCCTAAATATTAAACTGAATTAGTGAAGTTTTTTTTTTCCTAAAGCTGTTAAAATGTAAAGCTTTTACATGTTCGGGACAATTTGGTGTCATGGCTCCTGAACGCAATTGCATGCACTCGGTAACCTACAACATTACTATTGATTTTTTTTCCTTCAAATCTCATTTATCAGCCTTATGTGAAAGTATTTCTGACCCATTTTGAAGGCTACTAACTTTTGATTAATGAAAAGCAATGGGAAAATATTTTGGAATATCATCTATATCTTTTAATAATGAGAATTTTATTTACTTATTCATTGTAACAAGAAAACAATTTCATTATTTCCCTATCTAGCTACAAACTATAAACAGCCTGAGATTGTTCAAATCTACTGGTTGTTAATTAATTTTGTCTCTGGCCATGTTAACTGGCATGATGTCTTGGACAACCTATAATTCAAAATGAGATGATTCTCGAACAACTTTTAAATATCAATAGTTTTATAAAGTAGAGGTAAAATTATGAATAAAGTTACTTTTGCCACTACCATCATCAAAGAAACAAGAGGAGATAGTAGTTAGAATGGAATTCTATTGTAAATAGAATTGTAATAGAATTGTAAATAGAATTCTATTGTAAACAGAATTGGATAGAGAATAGTTATCAATTTGTTAACAATGACATCCTTATAATGGATTGTAGTGGTTCCCTAGTACCAAAAATGACAATAAAGGGAAAAGAGAATAAATCTGTTTGAACACGTGATGAGTTTTTTTCTGTGATAAGTTCCTGTTTCATAGAAAAAAAGATGAGCAATTTCAAAATAGCCCTTGTTCATAAGGTTCTAGTAAGCTAATGTTTTACCAATTTGGAGACAGGGAACATACTTGAAGCGACCTAAGACCGCCACTAAAATCTTGCAAAAATATGAACACTGTCAGAAACAGAGCCTCATCCAATCAGCTGGAAAGCCTTAAGAGAAAACAATGAGGTTTTCCGGTAAGAAGAAATTCTGCCTCAAGATTGCAGCACCAACTCCTGCTTGAGTTTCCAGACTGCCGGCTTGCCCTACAAACTTCAGACTTGCGAGCCCTTACGATTATGCAAGCCAATCCTTAAGACAATGTGTGTGTGTGTGTGTGTGTGTGTGTGTGTGTGTGTGTGCACGCACACAAGCGCATGTACGTGCATGTGCGCACGTTCTGAAATAGACATAAAGATATATCCTATTGGTTCTGTCTCTTTTTCTGGAGAACCCTGACTGATACAGATATTTGTACACACACAGACACACAAGTCTTTAAACATTTTTACAGACGTAAATGTCAAAGATTCTTATTTTTTAAGTGCCTGCTGATTAAAATGACATACTACCCAAGCCTACAAATTATGTCTTACATTTCATAACATGGGTCAGTACATGGAGGTCAAAAGTCAGGTAAAGTCATCGAAACATGACACTGATTTAAAGCAAACTGAGATTTTGTTCTAAAACAAGAGTTTCAAAATTATTTATACACAACCAAACAGACTAACCTGAGGAATAAACAATTTTGTGAGTGACCTTTTTGGTATACTCATCCTATCTTATTGGATCATCAGTAGAATGGAGCAATGAGTTCTTTCAAGTAGCCTCAGGTTATTTCGAAATAATACCTTGAGGAAAAAAAAAAAAAAAAAGACCACGATCCAAAACAAAGCAATGCCATCTAACTTCCTGGAAAAATTGACTATATTTTAACGATGAATGTATTAATCAGATATATGTAGAGGAGAAAGAAAAACCATTACATTAACAATATTCCTTTTATAGGTTACTGTTAAAATTAAAAATGGGTATTCCTTTAAACAGATTAGAATAGTTTTGAACAAATACTGGAATCAGACAGCGTGATCAATTGTGTCCTTCAGAGATTCAATAGAAACCCAATTTGACTATTTGTCCTTTGCTTAAAACATTTGATGGGCATTCTAAGACTGTTTTATCACTGAAATGCTTATTTCCATTTCACTTTTTCAAAATATGTACACGTTTTCTGTAAGTCGGATTTGAAATGTTTCTCTACCGTTGCTCCTCACATCCTTTTATGTTAGAAATGCAAGTACCTGCACTACACTTGAAATTATGACTGATATACAGCATCTCTTTTCTTAGAGACAGTTCTCAAGAACTTAGGTCAGCTCTTTGAGAAAGAACATAAGCTTTTTCGTGGAAGAAGCAAACATAGGGCAACTGGGAGGACAAAAGAAAAATAGCAATAGTTTCCTTTTATCCTAGATAATTTTCTCCTAGGATTCAACAAAAGCCAGACTACTTGTGAAGTAATGAATATTCAATACCATATTTTGCTGCTACAATGTTCTAAGAGGGATTGACTCAAAAATAAAATAATAAAACAAAAATAAAAACAAAAACACAAAACCTCCTATCACAGCACCACTTTAAGAAGTGTCTTTCAAATTTGACTCGAAAGCACTTCCTTTGTTAAGTATTTTTAAAGGCAAAATATATGCCTTTTTCCTTTGGGAAATTGTTTAATCAGTACTATTTTTTGTTTTTGTTTTTTTCTTTTCACTAAATAAAGGAAGCCTATGATATCCCCTGCAAATCTGAAGAGAAAATGAAATAAGGGCAATGTTATAAGCATATAGACAGAACAGCAGTGTTACAAAAATTGTTTAAGAAATTTGCCTAGTCATAGTCATGTGATTAAGGAGTTCTTTATTTTATTCTTACCCTCTAAATAGCCTGAGATAAAAGCTAATGTTTTTCAAAATTCATAATCAGTAAAATATTGATTATTCAGAACCCTCATTGGTTTTCAAGTTTAACAATTGGGTTTTCAATGTTATTACTAAATATGTATTTTGGATTAACATACTAAATATATGCAATGTTTAAAAGATATTAAACATAATTTTACTGTTTCCAGTAATTCGGGGTCACTCTAATGAATTGAAGGTGTATTTAACATAATCAGAGCGTTTGCCCCTACCAAACTGTTATTAGAAGTAATGGTGTATGGTGCTCACAAAGAGCTGGGAATGGCGCCTGCACCCACCAGCCAGAGAGGAAAACCTCATGATTCATAGGGTATGGGGAGTGTAATCAGAAGGGTCTTCCCACAGTAGTGTGGAATAATTAGCCCCACAATGAACACTGCTTTTATCTTGACAAATAAATCTTAAAAGCAAGTCCCCAAAAACCAAACTATTTTCAAATAATTTAACTGCAATCTAGAGCAAAACTGGAAAATATTTATAGAAATGCAAAAATACTCAGCATCCAGACAGGTAAAATTCATAATATCTGACATCCAATTAAATATTACCAGGTATGAAGAGAACCAACAAAATACAACCAATAATGAAAAGAAAAATCAGTTCATGGAAAAGAAACAAGAGCTGAAATAGATGATAGAATTAGTAACGACATTAAAATAGTTATCATAACTGAATTCCATAGAATCAAAAAGTTTAGTAGAAATATAGAAGATATATCAAAAGACCCAAACTAACTTTCGAGAGATAAAAGTATAATATTTGAGATGGAAGATACGCTGCATCAATTCACAGCTGATTAGATATTACAAAAAGAAGATTAGTAAACTTGAAGACATACCATAAAACTGTCCAGTGAATCACAGGGAGAAAAGATAACTTAAATAATAATAAACAACAATCAGTAAGCTGTGGGACAAGTTAAAGCAGCCAAATATATATGTAGTTGCAATTGTTAGAAAGGAGGCAGAAAAAAATATTTGAAGAAATTATGGCCAACAGTTTTCCATATTTGATGAAAACTACAATCCCATAGATGCAAAAATTCCAGTGTATTATTGATGAAAACTATGATCCCAAAAATGCAAAAAGTTCAATATATCACAAGCACAAAAATATGAGGAAAACTCTAATAAGGCATACAGTAATTATATTGCTGAAAACTAGTGATAAAGAGAAACTCTTAAAAGCAGTGAGAGAGAAAAAAACCTGCTGCATACAGAAGAACAAAGATAAGGGTGACAGCCAATTTCCTGTCAGAAACAACATAAGTGAGAAAGTGCAGCAGCATGTTTAAAATAGCTTAGAATCCATATCCAATGCATCTATGAGTCTATCTTGAAAAAATGAAGGCAAAATAAAAACTATTCAGACATATATAAGCTGAAAGAGTTTAGCAGCAGCAGATTCACACTACAAGAAATGTTAAAGTCCTTCAGGCAGAAGGAAAAGATACACCAGACGGCAATCTGGGCCTACACAAGGAAAGAATACTAGGAATGGTAACTACTTGGATACACAATAAGAGTGCTTTTACCCATATTATTGAAATATCTTGCAATGATAGTTGACTGTAAATAAAAATAATAACAATGTATTTTGGCATTTGTAAAATAAAGTTCTTATAATATTCAGTAGTTCTCCCTTATACACTGTTTCATTTCCTTGGTTTGAGTTGCCCACAGTAAACCACAGTCTGAAAATATTACATAAAAATTCCAGAAATAAACAAGTCATAAGTTTTAAATTGTGTGCCACTCTAAGTAAGGCGATAATATCTCGCGCCATCCCACTTTTTCCCACCCAGGATGTGAATCATCCCTTTGCCCAATTATCCATGCTGTATACACTACCTACCTGTTAGTTACTTAGTAGCTGGCTCCATTTTGAGATCCACTAACATGGTATTGCATTGCTTGTGTTCAAGTAATCTTTAGTTTACTTAATGATGGCTCAAAATCAGAAGAGTAGTGATGCTGGCATATTGTTATAGTTGTTCTATTTTATTATTAGTTATTGTTGTTAATCTCTCACTGTGCCTAATTTATAAATTAAACTTTATCATAGGATAGGAAAAAAACATAGTATAAATAGAGTTAGGTTCTACCCAAGGTTTCAGGTATCCACCGGTAGTCTTGGGACACATCCCCACAGAAGAGAAAGGGTGGGACTACTGTACATTAAGTGGTATATCACTTGAGGCTTGAGCATAAAATTTAAAGAGGTAAATACTATAAATCCAAGGCAATCACAAAAATAGTAAAACATAAATTTTTAGTTAATAAGCCAACAAGGAGATAAAATAAATCACAAAAGATATCCAACTAACCCAAAATAAAGCAGAAATAGATTAAAAAATAGAAAAAAAATTAAGGTGGGAATTCTAAACCTAATTATGTATGTAATTATATTAAATGTAAGTTATCTAAATACCTTAACTAAAAGGCAGAGATTTTCAGATTGGACAAAAAAGGAAGAACCAAGTATATGCTCCCTTCAAAAAAAAAAACACACTATAAACATACAAATACAAATAAGCATAAAAGAATGGGAGATGATATGCCATGCTCATACTAATCAGAAGAAAGTTGGAGTAACTATATTATTATGACTAAGTCAATTTCAGAGCAAATACTATTATCAAGGATGAAGTATATTTTATAATGACAAAGGGGTTTTATTTAACAAGAGGAAAAAAAATCTTAAATGTTTATGCACCTACTAACAGAGCTTCAAAATACATAAAGGAAAAATAAATAAAACTGCAACCAAAGTATGGTTCCCCTTTTATTAGCTTTTGTTATGTTCTTCTCAATAAAGTTTTGTAGTTCTCATCATATATACTTTATGCATTTCCTGTTAAGTTATGCCTGTGTATTTCACATTTTTTGGTAATCTCTTGATCTTCAATAGTTCATAATTTAGATTTTTATTACATTCTTCTTTTAGTATGTTTCTAGCTATAGTTACTGGCTATAATACATTCTGAATTTGTACTCTTCTTTAATGTGGTCGAAAAACTTCTTGCTGCAGGTACTTTTCATACCAGGAATCAAATAATTATTCAGGCAGTAATATACCCCTTCAAGTGAGAGTGCTCTTTCAGTTATATATTCTCCACACATTTCTCTAATCCTGCATGTTTTTTCTGGCCCCACTAAGTCAGTAAAATAACTTCTATGAAAGTTTTTTTTTTAATTTTTAAAGAAAAAATTTCCCTTGGAAAAAATTGAAAAATGCTTCTCCAGCCAGCCACAACACCAAACTCTATAGCACAGGAGAACCACGTGTTGCTATTAAACATTTTCATGCCCATTTTGAAACATGTAATAGTTCTTTGTGATATTGTTTTTGGTGGATTATTGTACTTTACTGGTTACTTTGATTTTTACCAAACTTCATACACATTTGGATGCTCAAGAGTTAAGTGTTTTGTTTTTAGTATTAATTAATTTATTTATTCAACAAATATTTATTGATCATTTGCTATTTAGCCAGGCACAATTTTAGGCTCTAAGGATTTAAAAAAAGGTGAACAATTCAAAGTTCCTATTCTCATGACTCATACACTCTAAAAGGGGGGAGTTTGGAGAGACAAATAAAAAACATATATTTACTGTTGATGATTTTTTAAATAAAAATAGGTGGGATAATAGTAAGAGAGTGAAGACAGTTATTGTTTTGTTTTATAGAGGATTTTCAGGAGTAATTTCTTTGATAAAATAATATTTGAGCATAGACGTTAAATTAATTTAAAAAATTAAACATCAATTTATGTAACTATGCAAGATGTTACCAAAATAGCACTGTTTTCTTTCTATCTGGTGTACATCAATGCAAAATGGGGATGATTTGAATTAGATAGATCTATTTCCCTTTAATTTGTTCTTCTTAACAATCATTTAAAATAGAAGGACTCTTTGAAATACCTGATGAAAGCTACAGACTTTTTCCAAACACTGCAGACATTTAAGATTCGGCAAACAATTTCAGGGAGAACTACAAACATGTTCTTTAATGATGAAAAATATCTTCTTTACAATTTGTTGTTAAAGTCCTCATGGGCTGATACATTCAAACACATTCAACAAATACTGATCACTTAGATTTAGCCAGATAATCTGCTAGGTACTACTCGCTTGAGGCACAGAAAGGTATGGGAACCTAGCTCTCAGATGAAGTATAGTAGAAAATTAAAACTGTTACCCATACCATTCTAGCAGGAGAGTATGAGGGCGAAAAGAATGAAGGATTCTGTATTATCTAATAAATGGTCCACTTCAATATGGTTTTAAATACGTGGGTTTGGGGTATTATTTTTATCTAGGATGTCAAAGTATCACATTAGTATAGGATGGCCATTTTTTCTCCACAATTGTGGAGAACACTCTTATAAATAGTAAACCAATATTACTAATGATTCAGAAATATTTTCAAAAATTTCAGGGCTTCAATTGTATTAAATTCAGAGCCAGCAAATTATTTTTGTTTAATAAATTGTCACAAAATGCTAACATAAAATGTAAGGGAAAATCCAATTGTGGCCTTAAATTTTTACAAAACTGTGAAGGCAGAAATTACAACACAGGTAATATGTTCCTCACAGCAGCAGCACCAGCATTTTGCTCTATTTTTGTTTCCTACCACATCTAAATTTGTTGTGATGATCAAATGAGAAAATGTATAAGACACTATTTTGTAAACTGTAAAGTGTCTTGCAAAGAAGGCTGAATGTTAAGACATGCTCAAAAGAAAATTAACATTTCTTCAATTTTGGGCTAATTATATTTAAAATACTAATCAGAGAGTCTTAATTATGTGAATTGATCACCTGGCATTGATTTTATGGAATTACCTCTTAGTTCCTGCCATTAATTAGCTCCCTCTGAGCTTTCAAGATCACTGAGAACAAGGCTCACCATCAGCACTTTCCCATTGTGAGCAAATATAAGTGCCCAATAACAGTAATTTGTCTTCTTTTTTTGTGTATGTGCAATTTGACATGTATGTTACTTTCATAGCAACAACAAGACTAACAGTAAACACTCTTATTGCATTTACAATATGTCAGATACTATTATAAGAACTTAACCTACCTTAATTCATTTAATGCCCCATAGCAATAAACAGAGGTACACCCAATCTTTGGAAAGCTGGGTGTGGTTGGCTGGAATTTACTACAGCTTCTGCTGATAAACAATTTTGTTAAAAGACGTGCCGTTTAAATAGAGGTAGTTTGTAACTTCACATGTTATCACTCATTTGTGGGAGCTAAAACGTAAAACAATTGAATTCATGAAGATAGAGAGTAATATTATGGTTACCAGGGGCTGGGAAAGGTAGTGGGAGTGCAGGGAAAGTGGAGCTGGTTAATGGGTACAAAAATACAATTAGATAGAATGAATAAGATCTAGTATTTGATAGCACAACAGGGTGACTACAATCAACAATAATTTATTGTACACTTTAAAATAACTAAATAAGTATAATTGGAATGTTTATAACACAAAGAAATATTAAATGCTTGAGGTGATGGATACCCCCATTTACCCTGATGCAATTATTACATACTGTATGTCTGTATCAAAATATCTCACATGCCCCATAAATATATACACCTACCATGCACCCATAAAAATAAAAATAAAAAAATTAAAATGTGAATATAAATAAATAAATAGAAGCAGTTTGTAGATCAATTAATGCTTTGTTCTGAAAAGAGAAGAACCTGACTGCTTTCTGGCCTATTTTTAAGAGTACATCTTCTCATCTAAGAAGTGAGCTGTAAGAATGTATGAAAGCAGGGACAAGACTTTTCACAAAACGCAATACTTGATCTGCTCCAAATCCAAGAGTCCTGCACAATGAAGTATCAAAGAGATGATGTTTGCCTAGAAGCTTTTGAAGAATTATATTACAGAAAAAATTAAGTAGACTTTTTTTCTAACAGAAATTCTCTCCTATAGGCTGGCCAGAGATAGCTATAACATTCACAAAGTCACTGGATGTAGCATACTCAGAGACTGCATTCAATGGTATGCATCTAATGGAAAAAATTACTGGTAACTTATATGGTCTGGATTTTACATGTGCTTGGGATTGCTCTCAATGAAGATAAATGAAAAGTTGAAAGGAGAGGCAGATTGTATAATTATTGTCAGAATTTTTTTTTACTTGAATTAGAGTTACCAGATGTTAGAAAACACAGGACTGTGTTTCTTTAATTTCTTGATGGAAGCTCATACTAGGAGATGCATACTAAAGTCCTAGGCAAACTGATATGGCTTGGCTCTGTGTCCCCACCCACATCTCACCTCAAATTATCATCCCCATAATTCCCACGTGTCAAGGGCAGGACCAGGTGGAGGTGATTGGATCATGGGGGCAGTTTCCCCCATGCTGTTCTCATAATAGTGAGTTCTCACAAGATCTGATGGTTTTATAAGCATTTGGCACTTCCCCTGCTGGCACTCACTCCATCCTGCTGCCCCGTGAAGAAGGTGCCTGCTTCTCCTTTGCCTTCCACCATGATTGTAAGTTTCCTAAGGCCTCTGCAGCAATGCAGAACTGTAAGTCAATTAAAACTCTTTCCTTTATAAATTACCCAGTCACAGGTATTTCTTCATAGCAGTGTGAAAACAGACCAGTACACAAATTATCCTTTTCATTCGAAATAAAATTGTGGCACATAATTGAGCTACTATGAGTGATCCTAGTCACATTTTCTAATACCTTTTTATAGCCAATTTATTTTTTAATCAGCCTATTATTTTAGGAGAGTTTTAGATTTACAGAAAAATTGTGAAGATGCTAGAGAGTTACCATGTTCTCCGCAGCCAGTTTCCCCATTATTAATATCTTAGTATAGTACATTGGTTACAATTAATGAATCAATATTGATACATCATTATTAACTGAAGTCCATAACATATCCATATTTTCTTAGTTTTTACCCAACACATTTTTTTCTGTTCCATGACCACATTCAAGATACCACATTACATGTACTTATAGGTCTCCTTGGGCTCCTCTTGGCTGTGACAGTTCTCAGACATTTCTTATTTTTGGATGAACTTGATAGTTTTGTGGAGTACTGGTATAATTTGTAGAATGCCCCTCAATTGGAAATTGTCTGATGTTTTTCCCATTGTTAGAGAAATTCGTGTAATTAAATCCAATATTTTATTTAATCTCATGCTGTATGGCATTAATTTCAGATGCAGTTAACTATTTTTTGTTCTTGCTGTAGTTGTTCACAATAGCCTGCCTCTGAACTGTGACAAACTCTCCATTTAATCTAGATGTTATGTTAGGCTATTTGTTGATATATTGCTAGAATATTTCATGCTCACATGTTGTCTGATTGGGTGCTTTCATAGCAGCAAAATATTAAATTTGTATTTGTTTTTTAATTCACTTAATGTATTTTCTGGGTAATTCATTGTAGGCATTATTTGTCTTGGATCTTCCCAACATATCTGAGGTGCTGCATCATAACTGCTTTAGTTGTCCCTTAAATCTTTTAAGTCATCAATTTGCTCTACTTTTCGAAACCAAAACTATCCTTCTGGGTATGGCCATTATACAAAACAATGTTTTTATTTGTTTATTTATTTATTTATTTATTTTTGAGACAATGTCTTACTTTGTCACCCTGGCTGGAGTACAGTGGCGTGATCTCGGCTCACTGCAATCTCCGCCTCCCAGGTTCAAGCAATTCTCTAACCTCAGCCTCCCAAGTAGCTGGGACTAGAGGCACACACCACCACACCCGGCTAATTTTTGTATTTTTAGTAGAGACAGGGTTTCACCATGTTGGCCAGGCTGGTCTCAAACTCCTGACCTCAAGTGATCCACCTGCCTCAGCCTCCCAAAGTGCTGGGATTACAGGCTTGAGCCACTGCGCCTGGCCCCTAACAATGTTTATTCTTCACTTATTTAGTGTTTTAACCTCACATTCTATTGCCTGATACAATAAGAAAACAGTTTGAATTTTGAGTTATTACTAGGCTATGATTGTTTTAAATAGTCTTAAATAATTACTCAGTTTAGTTAAGTGTGCACATAAAATGTGACTAAACGAGTTGTGACCCCAATTCCAGGACAGCAACAGAGGAATCTGAGTTCCTGCACTCTCATTTCATTCCTCTGCCATTGTGTCATGATGAATTACATCCACCATCATTGGACAAAACTGTGTTTCCTATTGAAGCACTGCCTGACATCCTGAATTTGAACTGTATGGCAGTTTATATTCTAGAGGATGGAACACTTTAAGATAACTTTAACATAAACAAAAAGACTAAGAAGAGGTCAATATATGAAAAGAATAATCAAAGTTCATTCAGTCCCACTTACTCTTAACTATGTTTGATACAACACAATTCCAAGATCTTAAAATAATTTAGAAAATTTCCCAATACAGTATGCATTAATCCATAGAAGAATCCAGTATCATATAATACAATTTTTCTACATCTAAGAAATAATAAAATGAATATCTCTAACTACATTTCCTTATTGTGGTAAAACGAATATAATATAAAATTTACAGTTTTAACCATATATAAGTGTACGGTTTACTGGCATTAAGAACATTCACATTGCTGTGAAACCATCACACTATGCATCTATCTATATCTATCTTAAAGACCATATATACATCCTATTGGCTCTTTATATATTCTGTATATTAATATCTGTATATTACTTCTGGAATGGCTTCTGATTATTTATTGTGTTACTTTGAACGGGCCAAGTTTTTATATTTCTTTGTATGCCCTATTACTTTTGTTGTTGGAAATTGAGCATTTGAAAAACAGCTACCTTTCTCACTCCTTACAGACAAGCTCTGTGCTGGCATAGTCCATCACTAATTAGTTGAGTGTATTTTTAGCCTGATTAGCTCAACGTGAAAGCATAAGGTCTTCTCAAAACTTTCAAGACTATGCATCTTACTTTGGCCTATGTGTGGCTTTCTAAATTCTGTGTACATGGCTGCTTTTAAATTATTAATTTCCCAAAGACTCTCATATCACCTTTTCTTGGTGCCTTAAATGTTCTACTATATGTCTCCCTGCTTAATCTCTTGTCCCAGGTGTCTGCAGATCTGTTGTTTCTCTGTAGTTTTTATGAGTATTGCCTGGTACTTTCCACTGTTTTTCCATGCTTGAAGTCTGATGTCACTTTTCCATAACTGAACTCTGAGATAAGTAAAAAAAGAGATCAGTCCTTCAGGTAGTCTCCAGTTAGAACATCACTATATGGTCTGCTCTGCTACTTCCAGTTTGAGGAAAAGAATTGGGAACTGGAATGCTGCTTCCTCTGGACCAAGACCATGCCATGTCAGAGAGGAGGTAGAGCAAATGGGAGTTAAAATGTCCTAAAATGTCCTATTATTTCCAATGTGGCTTTTCTTGACTGGGCATTCATTTCATTGTTCTTAATCTTTGACTGTTAACCAAAGCTACTATAAAGTTACTGTAGCCAGTTTCTCATCGTTTTTGTTATTGTTGCTTTTAATGTTTCAGTAGAAAAATGAAGGCCTGGAACTTCCTAACTGACCCTTTTGCAGATATCCCAACGGTAGTTTTTTCTTTTAATTGTCTTTTTTATGACCCTGATAACGTGAGTATACAATGAAGAAAAGTCTACATATACAGTCCCATATGCTGCATTAATAAACCATTGTCTATAGAGTTTTACACACGTATATCACCTTCTTTATTTTTATTTTTATTTTTATTTTTTGTTTATTTATTTATTTTTAGATGGAGTCTCGCTCTGTCGCCCAGGCTGGAGTGCAGTGGTGCAATCTCAGCTCACTGAAAGCTCCACCTTCCAGGTTCACACCATTCTCCTGCCTCAGCCTCCCAAGTAGCTGGGACTACAGGCACGCGCCACCACGCCAGGCTAATTTTTTCTTTTTTTTTGTATTTTTAGTAGAGACGGGGTTTCACCGTGTTAGCCAGGATGGTCTCGATCTCCTGACCTCGTGATCCGCCCACCTCAGCCTCCCAAAGTGCTGGGATTACAGGTGTGAGCCACTGCGCCCGGCCCTTTATTTTTTATGTTAATTTAAGTCTTGAGAAAAATCAATAAGGTATATTATTAAATATCGATTATATATTAAAAAACTATGAATGGCATGGGATAAGGGGAGAAAATGACAGTGTAATAACAATAACATGATATTTGAAGTAGAATTCAACTGGATTCAACACCAAACCTGACCTTGGACAAATTATTCAACATGTAATGACTTATCTGCCTCATCAGTCACTGGTTAGTAGCCTAAATGTTAAAGCCATCCTGCTTTGGTTTGAATCTTAACTCTGACACTTGCTAGCTATGTGATCTTGAGAGAATCATTGAACCTGTTTTTCCTTATCTATAAATGGGATAATTTAAGGTATATACCTCATATTAGCATAATAAGGATTAAATAAGTTACTTTGTAGAAAATGCTTAAAACAGTGACTGGCAATGTTCTCAGCTATTATCATCTGTAAAGTAGTATAATAATGACTACCATCCAGAGTTCCTGTAAGAAAGAAATTGAATAACTTACAAGATAGCAATAAAGGTTAATTTAATGTGTCAACTTGACTGGGCCATGGAGGTGTCCCATTTGGTAAAACATTATTTTGGGTGTTCTTATGAGAGTGTTTTGGGATGAGATTAACATTTAAATCAGTAGACTAAGTAAAGCATACTGTCCTCCCTAATATAAGTGAGCCTTATCCAACCAGTTAAAGGCCTGAATTGAACAAAAAGGCTGACCCTTCTCTGAGCAAAAAAGAATTCTTTCTGCCTATCTTCAGAGTGGGACATCAGCTTTTTTCCTGCCTTTGGTTCAAACTGATGTACTGGCTCTTCTTGGTTCTCAAGCCTTTTGATCTTTGGACTGGAACTATACCATCAGCTTTCTGAGTTCTTTGGCTTCTGGACGCAGACTGTAACTAAACTATTGGCACATCTTGTTCTCCAGATTGCTAACTTAACTTGCCTCCATCAGAACTTCTCAGCCTCCATTATTGCATGAGCCAATTTCTTACAAATCTCTTTCTATATATATATAGATGTGTGTGTGTGTGTGTATATATATATATATATATATATATATATACACATATACATGCACACATATATCCTATTGATTTTGTTACTCTGGAGTGTTCTAATACAATGGAACTTGGTGTTCAATGGATGTTTGTGTTTTAAGCCCTGACAAGAATACACCTAAGAATAAATTACTATCTTCAGAGAGCTTACTACTAACTCTGTCCCTGATATGCATGTTGATGCCCCACCCCCACCCCAGGTCCCCTCCACCACACAGTCACTATAACTTAAACAAATTTCGAATTAAAATAAATAGCTTTAGAAGCATATGGGACATACACAGGACTGTCTTAACTGAAGATAGAAAAGGAAATGAGATAGAAAAGTACTTTTCTTGTCACCTGATTTACTGATTGAAACTAACTGAGCTATACAGGTTTGGGAAGAGAATGCAGAAAATAAAGAAAATGAAGAAAGAAACATGGGACTTTAAATGTCTGTCAACTCAAGGCACTAAGAAAGAAAAGAAAAGAAAAGAAGAAAAGAAAAGAAAGAAAGAAAAAAGAAAACAAGGAAAGAAAGAAAGAAAGGAAGAAGGAAAGAAAGAAAGAGAGAGAGAGGGAGGGAGGGAGGGAGGGATGGAAGGAAGGAAGGAAGGAAGGAAGGAAGGAAGGCAGGCAAGCAAGCAGGCAAAAACAATGCATGATATTTATTTTTAGATTAGTTGGTGAAAATATGCCCTTATAGGAAGAGTGATTAGATGTCTTCTACAACCAGGAAAGCCTTAAATAAGGCTTTTGGAGAAGGGGAATTTAAAGGTAACTTCAAGCTTGAGTCAATACAGGTAGTCTTTGTGCCAGATTATAAAAATAAACACCAAAATCACTAAAATTAATCATTAGAATGTGACATATTCACTCCTCCGTCAGATTTCTAAAACCCAGAAAATACTCTACCTTTATTCTGAAAATTAAGATGAGACATGAAAAACAAGAAGGAGCAGGAAAAAAAAATAGGTAAAACAGCATATGGGAAGGCATTAAACAATATTGCAAGACAGACTGTTTCTGCGCCCTAGACATTTTCTTTTCATATCAAGAAGATGGACTACATTCTGTTTTCTTTTGTTTTGTTTTACATTCCATAGCAACTTTCAGTGTATTTGCCAAATTCATTTTCAGTACAGTAACTCAGAAACCCAGGCTGGAGAGAGAGATGGGATTTGTTCACACCCAATGACAAGTCAATAGGGATTTGCTCTGTTTATTCTGTTTCAGCCTGGGTGATGCCTGGCAATTAAGTAATTAAGCAGCAATGTGTGGGTTAAATCAGTTTCTTTTTTTCAAAAAGATAGGAAAGATTGTCGTTCCCCATGTTTTTCTTCAATAGTGTGTGCTTGTCAAAAGTAATTTAATGAGGGCCGTGCACTGTGGCTCACACCTGTAATCCCAGCACTTTGGGAGGCCAACGCAGGTGGCTCACTTGAGGTGAGGAGTTCTGGACCAGCCTGGCCAACATGGTCTACTAAAAATACAAAAATTAGCCAGGCGTGGTGGTGTGCACCTGTAATCCCAGTTACTCAGGAGGCTGAGGCGCAAGAATCACTTGAACCGGGGAACCTCAACCAGCCGAGATTGTGCTGCTGCACTCCAGCCTGGGCGACAGAGCAAGACTCTGTCAAAAAAAAAAAAAAAAGTAATGTAATTAAATTTATTTAAGGAGGAAATGACAGTAAATCTATAATTTCTGTAATTCAGTGTGTCAGGATTAGCAATTTACCCCATGAATGAAAATAAAAAGGAAAGACAGCCCCATATTGAATATTTTCAAATCAGTAAATCTTGCTTTACATTTTCATTTACTAATGTATTAATTTTTAATTTCCATTTCATTTCTGGCTATATTGGTTGCCCTCAAATCTTTTTTTTTTTTTTTTTTTACCCAAGCTTCCATTTCTTCTTCCTGTAAAATGGATAACTAGTGTGGTCATGCCTTGTCAAATTGTATAGCTATTCAGAGTTACAATACATAGTTTTGCAGATAACTCAGGAAGCAGAAAATATTGCAAACTTTCTTAGAGATCATCTAGTTACATCCTTTCATTTTACTCATGAGAAACATTAGGTTTAATATAATAGGTGACTTTCTCACCGTCATCTCGCATATTATTGCAACAGCTGGTTCTAGGTCTCCTACCTTCAAGTCAACCCATCTTTTTACTATACATAGCATCTTTATAGTTAAGGATCTTTTCTTCAACAACTTGTGATAAAAACTTGGGAACAAAGTATAAATGACATGGTTAGATCATCTTTCTCAAAGATCACTTCTGAACCAGACAGTCTGATTTTTAAATGTTAGGTGGGAAATATGCCAGCAATTAAAAAGTTCTTTTCCTCTTTTTTAATTGACTTTTTAAAAGTGATGGCATGATATATGCAAATAAACTTTGAAATATGATGTAAATAAATATAAAAGCTGCAATCTAGGGGTCATTATCCATAGGTGTTCCATAGAATTTCTTTTTTATTTGCTCTACAGATTGTTATCTAATATACCCCTGTTTATTGAACCAGCTGTCGCCATAAATAAAATGGGTTCCTCTTTTAAGAAGTTAATTTTCTGAGGCACTCAAAAGAAGTAAAATCATACATATAATACAAATATTGGTGCTTGCTTTTTTTTCAAGCAACTAATACATACAAACATTCTGATGTGTTAAAGCCTGAGACACTATAATTACTAAATCAGCCAGGCATGGCCTTAAGTGCCCTGGGGTTTTGAGTGAATAATTTAGGGTAATTATCTCTAGATGACATTACCAGGTATCTTTGTCTTAATAAGCAAAGATTTCAAGTTCATTGATATTTCTAAGGACAACCATTGTATTCTAAATCGTAAGTTTCCTAGAAGACAGGGACATTATTTTAACTTCTATAATTTAAAAATCCTTTCCCATTTCAGCATGTACTACACTCAATATTGCTTTTTATGGACTAAATTGACTATTAAAATATCACCATTATATTAAACATATATGTGATTAAAGAGATGCAAAAACTAAGGATAATTGAAAGCAAGAATAAAGAAGTATAGAGCCTCAAAATAAATTGACACTTTCCTGTTGCTACAACATTTCAGTTGAAAACCCCCTTCTTTCAGCATCATAAACTCTTATTTGCTACTTCTATGGCTCTGGTATTATAACAGTTTTTGCTCCCAATAATAGCCATTTTTTCCTCCTGGAGACTATCTTTTTTTCTATTTTTTCAAATTTAAGTTCAGGGGTACATGCTCATGTTTGCTACATTGTTGTATTGCCTAATGGTGGAGATTGGGTTTCTACTGTACCCACCACCCAAATATTGAACATTGTATCCCATATGTAATTTTTCAACCCTCATCATCCACCCACCCTCATATTAAGAGCAGTATCTTTAGTTTCAGTTTTCTCCTTTTCATTTTAGCCCTTCCTCTCTAAAACAACTAGACTTTTTACTCAACATTGTCCTTCTCCAATACCAGCAAAGGCAAAGGGAAAAATTATATTATAGTATGTCGTAATCAGAAATGATCTTTCCTTCTTCCAGATCAGAAATTTTAAAAAATAAGGATGACAAAAATATTCACATTTAAATAGTACTTCAAAATCTAGAAAGTATAATAAAATGCCTCCCTCAAGATAGTCTGAATAAGAACCATTTAAGAACAGGTAGGATATCTCACACCTGTAATCCCAGGGGTTTGGGAGGCCAAGGCAGGAGGTTCGTTTGAGCCCAGGAGATCAAGGTTACAATAAGCTATGATCATATAACTGCACTCCATCCTGGGTGACAGAGTAAGACCCTGTCTCTAACAATAAATAAATAAATAGCCATTCATCTCCCCTGCTATTCTCCTTTTAATATGACAACAATTAGGTAATCATGTTACTATCTTAGCCAGTTTTATTATTTATTTTATACTTCTCCCTCTTGAAATTTTTCACTGTCTCACACTTTTTACATGAATAATTTAACCTATATGGATTTGGATTTCAACACCGAAACTAATAACCCTAGCACTTTTGACAACTTTTCAGAAGCTAAGGCAACTGTCTACTTAAAAGGGTTGGCCTTTTATTTTTCCACCCTAGAGACCACTAAATGTTTTTAAACTAACATAAAACACCTGTGATAAAGAGTGAAATGAAGGATTCAGGCAATGCATCATCATCTTATCTTTCCCAGATAATAAAATAAAACCTCCTAAGTAAACCATCTCCCTGTTTATATGTTTGTGTCTTCCATTAGTCTATACTAAACACAGCAACCAGAACAAATATTTGTACAAGAATTAGCCAGACTGTGATTGCTCTGCTCAAAAATGCCCAATAGCTGCACCCTACATATTTTCTAACATCATTACTTACCATTCTCCCGCTTACTCACTTCTCCCTAGCTACATGGGCCTTGAATAGGTCAAGCTCATTCTCACCTCAGAATCATTGCCCTTGTTCCTCTGTGTGAAGGCATGTATTCCTGATCTTTGCATGGCTTTCTCTTTGATAAATATCCTATCTTAAATAATGTATAAATACATGTTTATTTACACCTATTAAAATATCCACTTACTCTGTGTTATTTTTACAGCATTAGCATTACCTCACATTATATTATATATTTATTTGTTATCTACCCATCCAACTAAAATATAAGCTCCTGAAGCACTGGACTTTGTCTTTTCTTCACTGTATCACTAGAACCTGATAAAATAGCACATTAAAAAAGTGCCTAACACATTTAAAAGTATTCAGTGACCACTTATTGACTAAATGAGTGTATGAATTAATGACCAAAGAACGTGGGTACTAGCCTTGACTCACAATTCTCAGTAATTTCAATATACACTGGAATAATCCTTTTAATATCATGACTTCACTGTTCCTTAATATTCTTTTCTCCAATGATCTTGCCTGCAACCTACATCAGCCACCCAGTCCCATAGATAAAACCCTAGATATTGTCATTATCACTGACTAAAATTACTCTATAATCTCAATTTCACATATTCACATCTCTCACCACCACCTTCTATCTTTCCAGCTTATGCTCACTAGTACCTCAACTACAGAAGTGCTCTTACCTTGCTGGGGCCTACAATCTATCTATCCAACTCCTTTTTCCCAATCTTTCACCATCATGTTCTAATTTTCCTCCTTATGCAGTTTAAATTCCATACTCAATTTCATTCCAACTCTATAGCATGCACTGTCAAACTCTGTGTGTTTTTTTCTCTTTCTGCTATAACAATGGAAAAACTATAACTCTGAACCTATTCTGTGCTACACTGGGCAACTGAACATGCCTGGAGTAAAACAAAACCATGAGAACTCATCTCACTTTCAATTTATGATATAAAGCCTCAAGTGGTCCATTACTTCTGCTCCACAATCTTACTACATTTCCCAGGCCAACTCACTATTCCACTCTCCCTGAAGGTTAAGTCACACCATCTGCTTTCTTTTTTGAACCTCAAATACCTATTTTCTCATTCTTACTTTCAGCCAATAGCCTTGTCTCTTATTTCCCTCTTGATATGGTTTAGATCTGTGTCCTCATCAAAATCTCATGTTGAAATGCAATCCCCAATACTGGAGGTGGGGCCTGGTGGGAGGTGATTGGATTATGGGGGTGGTTTCTAATGGTTTAGCACCATCCTCCCAGTGCTGTTCTCGTGATACAGTTCTCATGAGAACTAGTTGTTTAAAAGTGTGTACCACCTCACCTCTCTCTCTGTCTTCCTCCTCCTCTGGCCATGTGAAGCGCTGGCTCCCCATTTGCCTTTCACCATGATTGTAAGTTTCCTGAGGCCTCCCCAGAAGCCAAGCAGATGGCAAGCATCATGTTTCCTGCACAGCCTGCAGAATCATGAGTGAATTAAACCCCTTTTCTTTATAAATTACCCAGTCTCAGATATTTCTTTATAGAAATGCAGGAACAGACTAATACAGAAAATTGGTATCGAGGAGTGGGCATTGCTATAAAGATACCTAAAAATGTGGAAGCAGCTTTGAGACTGGGTAACAGGCAGAGGTTGGAAGAGTGTGGAGGGCTCAGAAGAAGACAAGATGAGGAGACATTTGTAACTTTCCAGAGACTTGTTAAATTGTTGTGACCAAAATGCTGATAGTGATAAGGACAATGAAGTCCAGGCTGAGGAGTTCTTAGATAAAAATGAGTAACACATTGGGAATTGGAGCAGTCACTTTTGTTATGTTTTAGCAAACCTAGATGCGTTGTGTCCCTGCCCTAGGGATCTGTGGAACTTTGAACTTGAGAGTGATGATTTGGGGTATCTGGTGGAAGAAATTTCTAAGTAACAAAGTGTTCAAGAAATGATCTGGCTGCTTCTAACAACCTATGCTTACAAGTGTGAGCAAAGAAATGATCTAAAACTGGAACTTATATTTAAAAGGGCACCAGAGTGAAAAAGCTTGGAAAATTTGCAACCTGGCCATGTGATAGAAAAGAAAAGCCCATTTTCAGGGGAGGAATTCAAGCAGACTGCAAAAATTTGCATAAGAAAAGAGAAGGTAAGTGCTGATAGCCAAGACAATGGGAAAAAAGGCCCCAAAGGCATTTCATAGATCTTCCTGGCAACCTCTCCCATCACAAGCCCAGAAGACTAGGAGGGAAGAATCATTTCATGGGCCAGCCCAGGACCCCACTGCCTTCAGAGCCTCAGGACAATGTTCCCTGCATCCCAGACACGCCAGCTCCAGCTGTGGTTTAAAGGGGACTAGGTACAGCTTGAGCCAATGCTTCAGAGGGTGGCTTATAGGTGGTGTTTAGCCTGCAGGTACACAGACCACAAAAGTTCAGTCTTGGGAACCTCTGCATAGATTTCAGAGGATGCATGGAAAAGCCTGGATGTCCAGGCAAAAGCCTGCTGCAGGGGCCAAGCCCTCATTGAGAACCTCTACTAGGGCAATGTGGAGAGGAAATGTGGGGTTGGAGCCTGCACACAGAGTCCCCACTGGGGCACTGCCTAGTGGAGCTGTGAGAAGAAAGTCACTGTCCTCCAGACCCCAGAATGGTAGATACACCAGCAGCTTGCACCCTTCACCTGGAAAAGCCACAGGCACTCAATGCCAGCCAGTGAGAGCAGCTGCAGCCACAGGGGCAGAACTGCCCAAGGTGTTGGGAGCCCACCCCTTGTATCAGTGTGTCCCAGATATAGGAAATGGAGACAAAGGAGATTACTTTGGCACTTTAAAATTTAATGACTGCCCTGGGTTTTGGATTTGCATGGAGCTTGTAGCCCCTTTCTTTTGGCCAGTTTCTCTCTTTCATAACAGGAGTATGTACCCAATTTCTAAACCCCCAGTATATTTTGGAAGTAACTAACTTGTTTCTGATTTTATAGACTCATAGGTGGAAGGGACTTGCCTTGTCTCAGATGAGACTTCAGACTTTGGAGTTAATGCTGGAATGAGTTAAGAGTTTGGGGGACTGTTGAGAAGGGATGATTGTATTTTGCAATGTGAGAAGAACATGAGATTTGGAGGGGTCGGGGGGAAATGATATGATTTGGATCTGTGTTCCCATCAAGTCTCATGTCAAATTATAATCCTCAGGGTTAAGGTGGGAGGTGATTGCATCATGGGGGCTGTTTCTAATGGTATAACACCATCTTCCTTGGTGCTATCATCACAATAGTGAGTTCTCATGAGACCTGCTTGTTTAAAACTGTATGGCACCTCCCCCTTGTCTCTTCCTCCTGCTCCAGTCATGTACGATACGCCTGCTTCCCCTTTGCCTTCCACCATGATTGTAAGTATCCAGAGGTCTCCCCAGAAGCAGATACCAAAATCATGCTTCCTGTACAGCCTGTGGAACCGTGAGCCAATTAAACCTCTTTTCTTTATAAATTACTCAGTCTCATGAATTTCTTTGTAGCCATGCAAGGACAGACTAATACATTTCTCTTTGAATTATTTACATGAGCATACAAACATTCTGCAATATCTCCTTTTTTGCCACCTACTATTATGCAGCCTTCAGCATATTACTTCCCTGCTCTTTGCCTCAATTTCCTCATTTGTTAATGAAGACAACTTTAATATCTGCATCACTGTGAGTGTGTGTGTGCCTGTGTGTGTGTATTTGTGCATAAAATGTGTTAGCATACATAAACTACTTAGAAATATGTCTGGAGCTTAGTAAGTGCTATATTAGTACAGTTATTAATATTATTGTTATGTCAGTATTATCACTATTATTATTTTTAAAAATCTCCCTTGATCTCACATTCTCTTTCATTAGCTGCCTCTTTTGTCTGCTCCTTTTCACAGTAAACTTCTCAAATGATTTTCCTTCACTTGTTATCTTTACTTCCTCTCCTCCCATTTTATCTTTTCATGTTAATATAATGTGAGACCTACTAAAAATACAAGAATAATACAAAGAAGTACCTTGTCTTTTCTATCCTTTACCCAGATTCACCAATTATTAACATAACATTGTTGCCAGATTTGTTTTATCATTCTTCATATAGTGTACACACAAACACACACATTTTTTTTCAAACCACCATTGTTCATTAAGTTGCCAACATTCTGTCCTTTTATCCCAAACTACTTCAATATGCATTTCCTAAGAACAGAGACATTCTCATATATGACCACAATACAATTATCAGAACAAGAACATTTAACATTATAAAATACCATTTTCTAATGCACAGTCCATATTAAAATTTCATCAATTGGCTCACAAACATCTTTTATAGGTGATTCTTCTCTCCATCCCAAGATCCAATCCTGGATCTTATATTGTATTTAGTTGTCATGTCTTTTAGTCTCCTTTTATCTGGAACAGTCCTTCACCCTTACTTAATCTTTATTTGTCTTTACATATTTGAAAAGTTACAGGCCAGCTATTTTGTAGAATTTGTTTTATTTGGGGTTTCCTAATGATTCCTCATGAATATTTCCAGGTTGTGCATTTTTGGTAGGAGTATGACTCTTGGTTAAGGTGGTGTCTGACACATTTTTGATCCATGTAATGCCGCTTCCTTTCCCTTTGTAATTTGACATTTATAGTATTCTCTGTCTTCTCATTGATGGCAAAAAAATGGGTTGTGTGTGTTGTAATTTGCTCTTCTGTTGATTCATAGAGGATTTTTGAGGTATATGGGTACATTTGAATTTATGCAGCTGTAATGGTTAATATTAGGTATCAACTTGATTGGATTGAAAGATGCCTCGATGGCTGGTAAAGTGTTGTTTCTGGGTGTGTCTGTGAAGATATTGTCAGAGGAGATTGACATTTGAGTCAGTGGACTGGGAGAGGAAGACCCACCCTCAATGTGGGTGGGCACCATCTAATCAGCTGCCAGTGCAGCTGGAACAAAAGCAGGCAGATGAAGGTGGGATAACCTTGCTTGCTGAGTCTTCCGGCTTCCTTCCTCTTCCCATACTGGACAATTGCTTCCATTCATTCTGCCCTTGTACATCAGACTCAAGGTTTTTTTGGCCTTTGGGCTCTGAGACTTGCACCAGCAGCTTGCTGGGGGCTCTCAGGCTTTTGGCCACAGACTGAAATCTGCAGTTTCGGCTTCCCTGGTTTTGAGGCTTTCCGACTCAGACTGAGCCACTACCAGCTTCTCTCTTCCTCAGCTTGCAGGCAGCCTATCATGAGACTTCACCTTGTAATTGTGTGAGCCGATTCTCCCTAATAAACTTTCTATCATATGCACATATATCCACTGGAGCACTCTGACTAATACAGCAGCCAACTATGAAGTCTCATTTCTCTTGACCTTATTCCAGTCAGGCTGTTGCCACTCTATTCAGTCTTTTAGGGTCACCAATGAGCTGTATCTTGATAAATAAAATGATTACTTTCTGCTACTCATCAGACTTGAACCTTCAGCCTGGCAGTATAGACACTCCCTCCTTCTTGAACATTTTTTTTTTTCACTTGGTTTTGAAGATTCTCCTCTCTCTTGGCTACCCTACTTTGCCAAATTTCCTTCTTCGCTCTCCTGATGTTCAGACTGGTGTAATCAAATGCTTATTAGATATTTTCACTTGGATATCATATATGAATCTTAATATAACACCTCATTTCAAAGCTGTTTCCCTCTTCCCTATCACAGTAAGTTATATTTCATTTGTCCACTTGCTGAGATAAGAAAGCATGTAGTAATTCCTGATTCCTCTTTTTATCACACATTTATTTATCCTATCAGCAAATCCCATTGATTTTACCTTCAAAATATATTCAGAATGTGACCACTTGTCATTACTCGCATTATTAACATCACAGACCAGAGTGTTAAAAACTAACACCTGGATTTCTTCAATAGCCTCCTAACAGGTTTCCTGCTTTCATTCTTGCTACCCATACATTTTTTCCTCACACAGTAGTCAGAGTAATTCTATTAAATATCACATCAAATAATGTCACATCACTGTTTAAAACATCAAAAGATTCCCTATCTCAGAGTAAAAACTAAAATTGTTCACATGGCTTTACCTTGTTTTATGAATGAGCAATCATTCTGTATCCCCAAAAAACTACTTCTGTGGGCTAATGTTCTTCCACAGTGCTTTAAACTTACTGCATACTATCCATACTTGCCTCTTCAGTATTGCTAGAACACACCAAGCATTCTCTTGCTTCAGGGTGTTTGCACTTAGTATTGCCCTGCCTGGTGTGATCTTTGCCTAAATATCTGAGAAAGAATACAACTAATTTGACAGAAGTCATGTGACAGAAAAATGTGGGAGGTCTTTTTTCTGCATGCTGTTGAGGGGATATGATTAAGCTGTCACTCAAGATAAGATCTGTTGCACATAGAAGATAAATCTTGATTTATCAAAACAGAGGCTCTTTTAAGCACTTAACATGTATTGATCAATGTAATTCTCAAAACAAGCCACTGAACACCTGGCAAAATGTTAGCACTGGGTCAACACCGAAGGGTCAAGGGTCATCAGGAGAAAGGATAGGCTTCTGGTCTGGTAGCAATGCTGCCTGTCTCCAAGCCTTCTTTTCACCCTCCAAGAAGCAGTACCTCACCCTCACTAACTTCTGGATGCCAAAGAAACCACCACGACCTATAGGCATACCAGTTTTTACTGTGCTTTACTTTATTGCACTTTGCAGATATTGTGTTTTTTTACAGCTGGAAGATTTGTGGCAACCCTGTGTTGAGCAAGCCCATAGATGCCATTTTTCCAATAGTATGTACTCACTTTGTTTCTCTGTGTCACATTTTGGTACTTCCCATGACATTTCAAACATGATTATTATTATTATATCTGTTTTGGTGATCGCTGAGCAGTGATATTTGATGTTACTATTATAATTGTTTAGTAGCAACACAAACCATGCCCATTCAAGAGGGCAAACTTAATCAGTAAATGCTGGATCTGTTCTGACTGCTCTGCCAATTGTTTTTCCCCCATCTCTCTCCCTCTCCTTAGTTCTCTTAATTCCCAGAGACACACAAATATTGAAATTAGGCCAATTAATAACCCTACAATGACTTCTAAGTGTTCAAGTAAAAGAAGAGTCACATGTCTCTCACTTGAAATCAAAAGCTAGAAATGATTAAGCTTAGTGAAGAAGGCATACTGAAAGCCAAAATAGGCTGAAAGCTGGGCGTCTTGTGCCAAATAGTTAGGCAAGTTGTAAATGCAAAAGAAAAGTTATTGATAGAGATCAAAATCCTACAGCAGTGAACACGCAAGTGATAAGAAAGCAAACCACCCTCATTGCTGATATGGAGAAAGTTTTATTGGTCTGGATGAAATATCAAACCAACCACAAAACTTCATTAAGCTGAAGCATAATCCAGAGCAATGCCCCAACTCTCTTCAATTCTATGAAAGCTGAGAGAAGTGAAGAAACTTCAGAAGATAAGTTGGAAATTAGCAGAGGTTGATTCATGACGTTTAAGTAAAGAAGCCATCTCCATAACATAAATGTACAAGGTGAAGAAACAAGTGGTGATTGAGAAGCTGCAGCAAGTTATCTAGAAGGTCTAGCTAAGATAATTGATGAATGTGGCTACACTAAATGACAGATTTTCAATGTAGATGAAACAGCCTTCTATTAGAAGATGCCATCTAAGACTTTCCTAGCTAAAGAGAAGAAGCCAATGACTAGCTTCAAATCTTCAAAAAGCAAGCTGACTCTCTTGTTAGGGACTAATGCAGCTGGTGACTTTAAGCTAAAACCATTGCTCATTTACCATTTCAAAAATCCCAGGGCCCATTACAATAATGCTAAAGCCATTCTGACTGTGTTCTATAAAAGAAATAAGAAAGTCTGGATGTTAGCACATTTGTTTATGGCATCATTTACTGAATACTGTAAGCCTGCTGTTGAGATCTACTGCTCATTTTCTTTTTTTTCTTTTCTCTTTTCTTTTTTTTTTTTTTTTTTGGAGACAGAGTCTCACTCTGTCGCCCAGGCTGGAGTGCAGTGGCATGATCTCGACTCACTGCAAGCTCCGCCTCCCAGGTTAATGCCATTCTCCTGCCTCAGCCTCCCGAGTAGCTGGGACTGCAGGCGCCCGCCTCCACGCCTGGCTAATTTCTTTTTGTATTTTTAGTAGAGACGGGGTTTCACCGTATTAGCCAGGATGGCTACAATCTCCTGACCTCATGATCTGCCCGCCTTGGCCTCCCAAAGTGCTGGGATTACAGGCGTGAGCCACCACGCCCGGCCAATATTTCTTTCAAAATATTACTGCTCTTTGACAGTGCACCTAGTCACTCAAAGGCTCTGATGGTGATGTACAAGGATATTAATGCTGTTTAAATGCATGCTAACACACATCCATTCTGCAGCCTATAGATTAACTTCAGGTTTCAGGTCTTATTAAGATACACATTCAGTAAAGCTATAGCTTCCATAGATAGTGATTCCTTTGATGCACCTGGGCAAATTAAATTGAAAATAATTTGGAAAGGATTCACCATTCCAGATTAAGAACCATTAAGAACATTCATGATTCATGAGAGGAGGGCAAAGTATCAACAGTAACAGGAATTTGGAAAAAGTTGATTCCAATCTTCATGGATGACTTTGAGGGGTCAACACCTCAGTGGAGGAGGTAACTGAAGATGTGGTGGCAATAGCAAGAGAACAAGAATTAGAAATGAAGCTAGAAGATGTGACTGAATTGCTGCAATCTCATAATCAAACTTAAATGTATGAGAATGTGCTTTTTATAAATGAGCAAATAAAGTGTTTTCTTGTGAGAGAATATACTCCTAAAAAAGATACTATGAACATTATTGAAATGCCAATAAAGGATTTAGAATATTACATAAACTTAGTTAATAAATTGGCAGCAGGATTTGAGAGGATTGACTCTAACTTTGAAAGAAGTTCTAGTGTGGGAAAAATGCTATCCAACAATATCACATGCTATAGAGAAACCTTTTGTAAAAAAAAAAAAATCAATGTGGCAAACGTCATTATTGTTTTATTTTAAAAAATTACCAGCTGAGAGATGGAGCAAGATGGCAGAATGCAATGCTCCCCCAATCCTCCCCCCTGCAAAGACATCAATTTAACAACTGTCTACACAGGATAACCACTTTCATTATGGCCAAAAATCCAGTGAGCCCTCATAGTACCTGATTACCTGATTTTATTTCTGTATTGCTGAAAGAGGCACTGAAGAGGTTAAAAAAAAAATAAACAGCCTTGAATCGCCAATGCTACCTGTCCCCTACCCTACAGCAGTGGTGGCATGGTGTGGAGAGCATCTCTGGGTGCTGGGGCCTCCGGAGGGAGAGCACAGCAATTGTGAGGCATTAAACTTAGTGCTATCCTGTTAGAGCAGAAAGGAAAGTCAGATCAATCTTAGCTGAAGCCTGCCCACAGAAACAGCATTTAAACCAGCCCTAGCCAGAGGGGAATAGCTAATCCCAGTGGTCCAGACTTGCTACAAGCCTCATCACTGAGGGCTACAGTGCTCTGGGCCTGTAAGCAAATTTGATGGGCAGTCTAGGCCATAAGGAGTGCAACTCTTAGGGTAGTCCTAGTGCTGAACTGGGCCCAGAAACAGTAGAGTGGAGACGCAAGCAATCTAATGAGACACTAGCTGGTGTGGCTAAGGGACTGCTGGCATCATTCCTCCTCTAACCCCAGGCTGCACAGCTCATGGCTCCAAAAGAGACCCCTTATTTCCACTTGAGGAGAGGAGAGGGAAGAGTGGAGAGTATTTTGTGTTACATCTTGGATACCAGCCCAGCCACAGCAGAATAGGGCACCAGTCAGAGTCATGAGGCCCCCGTTCCAGGAAGTAGCTCCCAGACATTTCTAGACACACTCTGTGCCAGAAGGGAACTCAATGCCTTGAAGGGAAGAAGACAGTTCTGGCAGCTTCATTACCTGCTAACTGAACAGCACCTTGGTCCCTAAATAACCAGCAGTGATACATAGGTACTACATTGAGAGCTTTGGGTGAGCCTCTAAAACTCCCTGGCTTCACATGATACTCAGTACATTACCAGATCTGTTGGCTACAAAGAAAAACTTCTGCATGAGAAAAGTAGAGGGAAAAGTAAAAAGGACTTTGTCTTGCATATCAGGTACTAGCACAGCCACAGTGGAGTAGAGCATCAAGTGGACTCTTGTGGTCTCCAGTTCTAGGACTTGACTCATGGACAGTACCACTGAACCTGTCCTGGGTCAGAGAAGAACTCAAGGCCCTGAAGAGTGACTCCTAGGCTAGACAGCATTTACCACAAGCAGATTTAAGAGCGCTTGGGCCTTAAGGGAACATTGGTGGTAGTCTGGCTGTACTTCCCATGGTCTGCAGTGGTGGTGGCCAAAAGTGAGACTCCTCTGCCTTTGAAAAGGAGAGGGAAAAGTAAGAAGGACTCCATCTTGTGGTTGGAGTGTCAGCTCAGCCACAATAAAATAGAACACCAGGTAGACTTCTAAGGTATTTGACTCTAGTCACTGATTCTCAGATGGTACCTCCGGACCCACCTGGGGCCTGGGGGATCTCACTGCCCTAAAGGGAAGGACACAGGCCTGGCTGGCCTTGCCACCTGCTGAATGTAAAGCCCTATGGCCTTGAGCAAATATAGGCAGTGACTAGGAATGGCTACAGCAGGCCTTCAGAGAAAATCAGTGTTGTGCTGACTTCAGATCTGTTGCAGTGCAGTCATAGTGGTGGTGGCCACAGAGGTGCTTGTGTCACTCCACCCTCAGCTTTAGGTGGCTCCAAACAGAGAGACTCCATTTGTTTGTGGGAAAGTGGGAAAGTAAGAAAAAAGAACAAAATCTGTGCCTGGTAATCAAGAGAATTCTCCCAGATCTTGTCCAAGACTATCAGGGCAATACCCCTACAGGTCTGCAAGAATCACAGCATTACTTGGGTTTGGTTGCTCCCTAAAGAAGATACAACTTAGATCATGACACCCAAGTTCTTTCAAATATCTGGGAAGGCTTCCCAAGAAGGACATGTACAAACAAGCCCAGTCAATGAAGACTACGATAAATACCTAACTATGCAATGCCCAGACACCAAAGAACATCTACTAGAATCAACACCATCCAGGAAAACATGACCTCAACAAATGAAATAAATAAGGCACTAGGCACCAATCTTGGAGAAACAGAGATATATGACATTTCAGACAGAGAATTCAAAACAACTGGTTAAGGGAACGCAAAGAAATTAAAGATAACACAAAAAAGGAATTCAGAATTCTATCAGATAAATTTAACAAAGATGCCTGTAATCCTAGCAGTCTGGAAGACTGAAACGGGTGGATCACCTGAGGTCGGGAGTTTGAGACCAGCCTGGCCAATATGGAGAAACCCCATCTCTACTAAAAATATAAAAATTAGCTGGGCATGGTGGCACATGCCTGTAATCCCAGCTACTCTGGAGGCTGAGGCAGGAGAATCGCTTGAACCTGGGAGGTGGAGGTTGTGGTGAGCCGAGATTGCACCCCGCACTCCAGCCAGGACAACAAGAGTAAAACTCTGTCTCAAAAAAAAAAAAATGACAAAGAGATTGAAATAATTAAAAAGTATCAAGCAGAAATTCTACAGCTAGAAAATGACATACAGAAGAATGCACCGGAGTCTTTTAATAGCCGAATTGATCAAGCAGAAGAAAGAATTAGTAAACTTGAAGACTGGCTATTTGAAAATACACATAAGAGCAGCCAAAAGAAAACATAATAAAAAACAATTAAGCATGTCTATAGGATCCATAGCCTCAAGAGGGCAGATCTAAGAGTTATTGACTTTAAAGAGGATATAGAGGAGATAGGGGTAGAAAGTTTATACAAAGGCATAATAACAGAGAACTTCCCAAATGTAGAGAAAGATATCAATATCCAAATACAAGAAGATTATAGAATATCAAGCCTGTCTAACCCAAAGAAGACTACCTCAAAGTATTTAATAATCAAACTCCCAAAGATCAAAGATGAAGAAAGGATCCTAAAAACAACAAAAGAAAAGAAAAAATAACATACATTGGAACTGCAATATGTCTGGCAGCAGACTTTTCCAAGGAAACCTTACAGAACAGGAGAGAATGGCATGGCATATATAAAGTGTTGAAGGAAAAACTTACATCCTAGAATAGCATATCTGGCAAATACAATGGTCAAACATGAAGAAGAAATAAAGACTTTCCCAGACAAAATCTGAGGGATTTTATTGATAAAAACCAGATATGTCCTAAAAGAAATGCTTAAGGGAGTACTTCAACCAGAAAGAAAAGGACTTTAATGAGCAATTAGAAATTATCCAAAGGTATAAAAATCACTGGTAATAGTGAGTATACAGGAAAACACAGAATATTTTAACATTTTAATTTGATGTGTAAACTACTCTTACCCTAAGTAGAAAGACTAAATGATGAACAAATCAAAAATAATAACTATAACAACCTTTCAAGACATAGTAAAATAAGATATAAAAAGAAAAAACAAAAAATTAAAAAGTGGAGTAATGACGTTAAGGCATAGCACTTTAATGAGTTTTGTTTTTGATTGTTTGTTTATGCAGTGTCAAGTTGTTATGAGGCTAAAATAATGAGTTATAAGATAGTATTTGCCAGCCAATATGTCAAAGTCTTACAGAATTCCTACCCAAGGAATCTTGTGTAAAGGTGTTTAACCTAGTGCTTCCTAAGGTTAGAGAAACATGAAACAGCTTGTTCCCCACAATACAGTAGTTGCCAGAACACCAGTTTAGAACAACGTTGATGTCAGCACAGTCTCTTTTCTGTTCCACCAACCTAACACAGGCCAATTATGCAATTTTGGGTTTGTGTGTGTACCCTAAAATCAATTAGGTATAGCACATTCAACATCAGGAGCTGCTTGTTAATCACTAAAACAGTTTAAGACAAATTGAAAATATCTTAGTCTTCTATCATTCTGTTTTAGAAAACCCTGAAAGTAATTAATTTGCTTTTAGAGAGGTTGTGATTCTTCCACAGCAAATAAATTCTCCGACAACCTCATTGGTGCCTTATTTCAAGAAACTGCCATGGTCATCCCCGCCTTCAGCAACCACGATCCTGATCAGTCAGCATCCATCAATATTAAGGCAAAACCCTCTACCAGCAAAAAGGTTACAACTCATTGAAGACTCAGATAATCCTCAGCACTTTTTAGCAATAGTTTTTTTTTAATTAGGGTATGCACATTGCTTTTTAAGACATAATGCTATTGCCAACTTCATAGCCTACAGTATAGTGCAAACATAGCTTTTATATGCATTGGGGAACCAAAAAAACTGTGTGACTCACTTTATTGCAATATTCACTGTATTGCAGTGGTCCGGAACCCCATCAGCAATATATCTGACGTATGTCTGTAATGGCTTGGCCACTACTAATTTGTTATCCTTCCTTTCAAGTACTGGGAAATACTTAAAATTGTTTTCATAGCCTTGTTCTAATTTTGGCTAAGGAATACTTTTATCTCCAAATAAGATGTAATAACAGGGATTGGAAACCTTTATGAGGCAAAAATCTTGTTGAGTACTGGATATTTTTGAATTCCTGACAAATTACCACAAATAGCATGGTGTAAAACTATAGAAATTTATTTTCTCATAGTTCAGGAGTCCAGAGTCTGAAATCAAGGTTAACATGACTGGTTCCTTCTGAAGGTTCTGAGGAGAAATCTGTCCCATGTCTTATTCTTAGCTTCTTGTGCTTGCTAAGAGTCCTTGTTATTCCTTGGTTTATACTTTTATCACTGCAATCTCTGTCTCTGTAGTCACATTGCCTTCTTTCCTGTATGGCCTCATATGGCCTTCTTATAAGGACAGTAATGATTGGATTTAGGGCCCACCCTAATCTTGTATGACCTCATCTTAACTAGTTACATCTGCAAAGGCCTTATTTCTAAATAAAGTCAAATTCTGAGGTACGGGTGAACACAAATTGGGTAGAAAAACTATTCAACACACTACAATCTAAAAGAATCAAATTGTCTTCAATTAACTTAATTGCATCCAAAAACTAACTTCAAAATACTTACAGTAATACAAAAATATCCAGTACTCAACAAGATAGAAATTCACAATGTCTGGCATCCAATCAAAAATCACAAAACCAGGTGAAGTGGAGGGAAAATACAACCCATAATGAGGAGAAAAAATAATCAATTGAACTTGAACTAAAACTTACACAGATGTTAGAATTAACTTTAGGAGGACACCAAAGGAGTTAAATTCATTCCATAAGTTCAAAAATTTAAACACATGAAAATATTTTTTAAAAAGACTCAAGCCTTTTAGAGATGAAAAGTATAATATGTGAAATTAAGATCAAATTAGAAAATCCAGAGGAAAGGATTTGTCAATTTGAAGACCTAACAAATAAAAACTATCCAAATAAAACACAGGGAAAAGAAATAGTTTTTTTTTTTAATTTTTTTTTTTATTATACTCTAAGTTTTAGGGTACATGTGCACATTGTGCAGGTTAGTTACATATGTATACATGTGCCATGCTGGTGCGCTGCACCCACTAACGTGTCATCTAGCATTAGGTATATCTCCCAATGCTATCCTTCCCCCCTCCCCCGACCCCACCATAGTCCCCAGAGTGTGATATTCCCCTTCCTGTGTCCATGTGATCTCATTGTTCAATTCCCACCTATGAGTGAGAATATGCGGTGTTTGGTTTTTTGTTCTTGCGATAATTTACTGAGAATGATGGTTTCCAATTTCATCCATGTCCCTACAAAGGACATGAACTCATCATTTTTTATGGCTGCATAGTATTCCATGGTGTATATGTGCCACATTTTCTTAATCCAGTCTATCATTGTTGGACATTTGGGTTGGTTCCAAGTCTTTGCTATTGTGAATAGTGCCACAATAAACATACTTGTGCATGTGTCTTTATAGCAGCATGATTTATAGTCCTTTGGGTATATACCCAGTAATGAGATGGCTGGGTCAAATGGTATTTCTAGTTCTAGATCCCTGAGGAATCGCCACACTGACTTCCACAATGGTTGAACTAGTTTACAGTCCCACCAACAGTGTAAAAGTGTTCCTATTTCTCCACATCCTCTCCAGCACCTGTTGTTTCCTGACTTTTTAATGATTACCATTCTAACTGGTGTGAGATGATATCTCATAGTGGTTTTGATTTGCATTTCTCTGATGGCCAGTGATGATGAGCATTTCTTCATGTGTTTTTTGGCTGCATAAATGTCTTCTTTTGAGAAGTGTCTGTTCATGTCCTTCGCCCACTTTTTGATGGGGTTGTTTGTTTTTTTCTTGTAAATTTGTTTGAGTTCATTGTAGATTCTGGATATTAGCCCTTTGTCAGATGAGTAGGTTGCAAAAATTTTCTCCCATGTTGTAGGTTGCCTGTTCACTCTGATGGTAGTTTCTTTTGCTGTGCAGAAGCTCTTTAGTTTAATTAGATCCCATTTGTCAATTTTGGCTTTTGTTGCCATTGCTTTTGGTGTTTTGGACATGAAGTCCTTGCCCACGCCTATGTCCTGAATGGTAATGCCTAGGTTTTCTTCTAGGGTTTTTATGGTTTTAGGTCTAACGTTTAAGTCTTTAATCCATCTTGAATTGATTTTTGTATAAGGTGTAAGGAAGGGATCCAGTTTCAGCTTTCTACATACGGCTAGCCAGTTTTCCCAGCACCATTTATTAAATAGGGAATCCCTTCCCCATTGCTTGTTTTTCTCAGGTTTGTCAAAGATCAGATAGTTGTAGATATGCGGCATTATTTCTGAGGGCTCTGTTCTGTTCCATTGATCTATATCTCTGTTTTGGTACCAGTACCATGCTGTTTTGGTTACTGTAGCCTTGTAGTATAGTTTGAAGTCGGGTAGTGTGATGCCTCCAGCTTTGTTCTTTTGGCTTAGGATGACTTGGCAATGCGGGCTCTTTTTTGGTTCCATATGAACTCTAAACCAGGAAGAAGTTGAATCTCTGAATAGACCAATAACAGGCTCTGAAATTGTGGCAATAATCAATAGTTTACCAACCAAAAAGAGTCCAGGACCAGATGGATTCACAGCCGAATTCTACCAGAGGTACAAGGAGGAACTGGTACCATTCCTTCTGAAACTATTCCAATCAATAGAAAAAGAGGGAATCCTCCCTAACTCATTTTATGAGGCCAGCATCATTCTGATACCAAAGCCGGGCAGAGACACAACCAAAAAAGAGAATTTTAGACCAATATCCTTGATGAACATTGATGCAAAAATCCTCAATAAAATACTGGCAAACCGAATCCAGCAGCACATCAAAAAGCTTATCCACCATGATCAAGTGGGCTTCATCCCTGGGATGCAAGGCTGGTTCAATATACGCAAATCAATAAATGTAATCCAGCATATAAACAGAGCCAAAGACAAAAACCACATGATTATCTCAATAGATGCAGAAAAAGCCTTTGACAAAATTCAACAACCCTTCATGCTAAAAACTCTCAATAAATTAGGTATTGATGGGACGTATTTCAAAATAATAAGAGCTATCTATGACAAACCCACAACCAATATCATACTGAATGGGCAAAAACTGGAAGCATTCCCTTTGAAAACTGGCACAAGACAGGGATGCCCTCTCTCACCGCTCCTATTCAACATAGTGTTGGAAGTTCTGGCCAGGGCAATCAGGCAGGAGAAGGAAATAAAGGGTATTCAATTAGGAAAAGAGGAAGTCAAATTGTCCCTGTTTGCAGACGACATGATTGTTTATCTAGAAAACCCCATCGTCTCAGCCCAAAATCTCCTTAAGCTGATAAGCAACTTCAGCAAAGTCTCAGGATACAAAATCAATGTACAAAAATCACAAGCATTCTTATACACCAACAACAGACAAACAGAGAGCCAAATCATGAGTGAACTCCCATTCACAATTGCTTCAAAGAGAATAAAATACCTAGGAATCCAACTTACAAGGGATGTGAAGGACCTCTTCAAGGAGAACTACAAACCACTGCTCAAGGAAATAAAAGAGGATACAAACAAATGGAAGAACATTCCATGCTCATGGGTAGGAAGAATCAATATCGTGAAAATGGCCATACTGCCCAAGGTAATTTACAGATTCAATGCCATCCCCATCAAGCTACCAATGACTTTCTTCACAGAATTGGAAAAAACTACTTTAAAGTTCATATGGAACCAGAAATAGTTTTTTAAATGAAGGGCATCAGTGATCTACAGGACAACTTCAGACATCCTATTATACATATAATTCAACTCATTGAACTAGGGGTGGGGACAAAAAATATGTCAAGAAATAGTGACCAAATTTTCCCAAACTTGTTGAAAAGCATAAACCTATAGCGTCAAGAATCTCAGTGAACCCCAGGCACAAGAAATATAAAGAAAATTACAGCAGGGCGTACCATAATCAAATGGCTCTAAACTAATGACAAAAAAAAAGTTTTAAAGCAGCCAGAGAAAAAAAGAAACATGATGTACAGAGGGGAAAAGAAAGATAAATATTACAGCAGATTTCTGCTAGCAATAATGCAAGTGAGAAGACGGTGGAGCAACATGTTTAAAGTAATGAAAGAAAACAACTTCCAATCTAGACTTGTATATGCAGTGAAAATAATTTTAAAAATAAAAGTGAAAGAAAATATCATCACACATATAATAGCTATAACAATTAAACAACACATCTCTACTATAAGAAATGTTAAAATAAATCTTTAATACAAAAGTAAAATAGCACCAGATAGAACTATAGATCTATGCAAATGAATAAAGAGCACCAGAAATAGTGACTATATGGGTAAATGTAAAATATTTTTAAATTATTTAAATTTCCTTTAAATATAATTGACTGTTTAAACAAAAATAAGAACTTATTATGGAGTTTAAAATATACAAAAGAATCGCATAAAGGCAGGAGGAGTGAAATCAAAATACAGTATTGTAAAGTTCTTATACTATATGTGTAAAATCACAGTATAACTTGAAGGTAGATTACAAAAAGCTAAAGAAGCATACTCTAAACTCTAAAACAACCACTAAGGTAGCAAAACAGAGCTGTTTCTAACAAGCCAACAAGCGTAATAAAAGGGAGTCATCCAAAAAAAAAAAAATCCACTAAGTCTAAAAAGAAGCAGAAAAAAGTAAAAAGGATAAAAAGAACAAACGGGAAAAAGAGAAATCATATATCAAGATGTTAGACTTAAATCTAATCACACCAATAATCACATTAACTATAAAGGTCAAAAACTTGAATTAAAGGAATGAAAGACTACAAATTGGGTATAGTGTACACTGCTTGGGTGACAGATACAACAAAATCTCAGAAATCACCACTAAAGAACTTATCCATGTAACCAAAATCCACCTGTTCCCTAAAATCTACTGAAACAAAATAAAACAATAAAAATAAAAATAAAGCTTTTTGAAAAGTCAGATTTTGTCAGATTGGCTAAAAATGTAGTAACCAACTCTACAGTGCCTATTCCTTGTTACAGGATTGTCAAAGAGCTTTCAAGTAAAACTGCATAACTACCCTCCACTCTGTAACCTAAAACCCTATTTTGCAGAGGGAAGAGAGGCTATCAGTAATTAACTTTCTCAGTAGCTCTCTCTTCTACCTCCAAATTTATTTGTTTATTCATCTGTCCTTATCGCCTGCTTGCCTGCTAGAGAAAGAGATTCCCTTCCTCCCCGGTGTGTCTCTTTTATTGGTGCTCTTTATCCATTTTTTTCTGCTAGTTCTGGATTCTTTCTTTCTTGTATCATTCATATTTTCCTCTTTGTTGGATCCTTCTGTTTATCCTAGAACTTAAATCCTCAATTCTTACCCAGATGCTACCACCCTCCAAATTAGGAGTCTCTCTCCACTTTGCTCTAAAAACATCAAAGAATTACATACACATGTTGAATCTTCATGCTTTCCTGAATTCAATGCAATGAATGCTATTTAAATTGCTATTGCTATGGTCATCAATGATATCATAATCAACAGATGCAGTGACCTCTTTTTCCCTCTCTAAAACTAATATACTGTGAAGAATTACTTGCTTGAACATTATACTCATGTAACATTCCTTCATCCATTAAATTTTTTCTTTGATAAATACATGTTGAAAGACTATTATAAGCCAGGCACTATGCTAGGCACTGGGGCATCCATCATGAGATAAAAACAGACATGGTCCCTTGCCTTATAGAGCTTACTGTCTAGTGAAAAAGATAAAAGATAAATACTAATCACAAGATCTTACAAATAAATGCTAATTCATATCTGTGCAAAGTGCCATGAGAACAGATAACAGGAAGCTCTGACATAGTCATTGAGGAAGTCATGATTCATCTGACCATATGCAAAAAAGTTCAGGTACCCGGAGGGTGTAAAGTGGAGAGTTGTGTTAGATGAGGCTGTAGAGGTAGGCAAAGCTCAGACGGTGGATTCTGACAGAAATTGTTAAAGGTTTCTGCCTTTACCTTGAGAGTAATGGGAACTCATTCCAATCTTTTCAGGAGGGTGGAAGGATTCAAACTGTATTCATTTCCTAATGCTATTTTAATAATGTACCACAAACTCAGTGGCTTCAAACAACAGAAATTTATTATCTTACCATTATGAATGTTAGAAATCCAAAATCCTTTTCTTGCCTCTTCCTAGCTTCTTATGGTTGCTGCTAAAGCTTGACATATCTTGCTTTGTGGCAGCATAACTTCAATCTCTATCCTTGTCTCCACATTCCATTTTCCCTCTGTGCCCCTCTGTATCCAAATTCCCCTCTTTTAAGTACACCAGTCATTGAATTAGGGACCACGCTAATCCAGTATAACTTTATCTTAACTCTACTACATCTGCAAATAATCTAATTCCAAAAAAGGTCATATTCACATGTACTGGGGGTTTAGGACTTAGATATCTTTTGAAGAACACAATTCAACTCCCAATAGTCTGTGCTCTAGTCTTCCAACATTCATGTCTGTCCCATGCGCAAAATCCATTCACTTCATCCCAAAATTTTCAAAATTCTTAACCCACGCCAGCATCAACTCTCAGTTCAAAATCTCATCTAAATATAATCAACTCAATAAGTTACAAATATCGTCTTCTAATCACCTAAATCAGGTATGGGTGAACTTGAAGCAGAGAGGTGGCTATAGGATGGAGACTGGTTGAAAGGTGTGAGAAACACTTAAAAAGTTGAATTGAAAGGACTAAATCAGCGGTCCCCAACCTTTTTGACACTAGGGACTGGTTTCCTGGAAGACAATATTTCCACGAACGGTGGTGGTGGATGGTTTTGGGATGAAACTCTTCCACCTCAGATCAGGCATTAGTTAGATTCTCGTAAGGAGTGAGCAGCCTAGATCCCTCACATGCGCAGTTCACAATACCGTTAGCGCTCCCGTGAGGATCTAATACTGCCCCTGATCTGACAGGAAGTGGAGCTTAGGCAGTAATGTTCCCTAAACTGCTGCTTACCTCCTGCTGTGCAGCCCAGTTCCTAACAGGCTATGGACCGGTACTGGTCTGCACCCGGGGGTTGGAGATCCCTGCACTAAATTATAGATTCAGATATGGGTGGTAGTAATGGTGAATCAAAGACAGGTGTTAAGGATGACTCAAAAGTTTCTTTCCTCCCTTATTTTCTGTTACTCCACTGTAATCATTTTCTTTTTAGTATCTTCTATTCGTTGCTCTTCCTCCTCTTGCCTCTTAAATATTGGCATTCTCTGGGTTCCTTAGTCTTTTTCTTTCTGTGCATGTTCTATCACACTGACCTCATCACTGCTATGGCTTCACATTATTCCTTCATGTTTTTGACTCTCAAACTGTACTCATGGTATAGACCTCTATCCTGAGCTGTAGACTCATAGTCTCATAGTTAGAATTGCTGTCTAGAAATCTCCAAGTGACTATATTTTAGCCAAATGTGATGATTAATTCTATGTGTCAACTTGGTTGAGCCACAGTGTCCAGATATTTGGCCAAACATTATTTTAGACGTTTCTATCAAGGTATTTTTTGGATGAGATTAATATTTAAATTAGTGAACTTTGAGTAAAACAGATTACCTTCTACAATGTGAGTGGATGTGGGACTCATCCAATCAGATGATGGCCTTAGTAGAACAAAGACTGACTTCTGAGCAAGAAGAAATTCTTCCCGCAGATTGCCCTTGAACTTGGCTGCAACTCCTTATTAAGTCTCCACCTTGATGACCTACCCCATCAGATTTTGGACTTGCTGACTCTCCACATTCCTGTGACCTAATTCCTTAAAATAAACCTCTCTTTCTATATATACACACATCCTGTTGGTTATGTTTCTCTGGAGAACACTGACTAATACAAATGTAAGATTCCCTGAATAATTATCTTTCTGAAAAACTTATTTTTCTTGTATCCTCATCTAAGTAAATGTGTATATTTCCCTGAGATATTTCTCCCTTTTCCTCGCCATACTGCCCCCACACACCATCCAATCAGTCACAACTTCCTGTGATTTTCCATCAGAACTGTTTCTCAAATATGACCTTTTCCACTATCACTGATAGTTCTATACTTTATTCAATCATTGCTTCTCACCCAAACTATGGCAAGTAGCATTCTACTCATTTTTTTTCTGTCTCTACTTTTGTCCACCATACAAATCCATTCTTTACAATAGTGCCAAAGTGAGATTTCTTTTTTATTTTTATTTTATTTTATTTTATTTTTATTTTATTTTTTTGAGATGGAGTCTTACTCTGTCGCCCAGGCTGGAGTGCAATGGCACAATCTCAGCTCACTGTAACATCCACCTCCCAGGTTCAAGAGATTCTCCTGCTGCAGCCTCCTGAGTAGCTGCGATTACAGGTGCCCACCTCCACGCCCTGCTACTTTTTCTATTTTTAGTAGAGATGAGGTTTCACCACATTGGCCAGGCTAGTCTTGAACTCCTGACCTCAGGCGATCCGTCCATCAGCCTCCCAAAGTGCTGGGATTATAGGCATGAGCCACCGCGCCCGCCCCAGAGTGAGATTTCTAAAATACAAATTTGGCCTTGTTACTTCTACGCTTAAGAATTTCTATCATTCGGTATTTCCATTATCTACTTGGTGTGACTTCTTAGTCCATGAACTGGCAGCAAATGGCATCACCTGGAAGATTATTAGAAATGCGGAATATCAGACCCCAACACATACCAACTGAATCAGAATCTGAAATGTTCACAAGGATTCCAGGTAATTTTTATGCAGATTAAAATTTAAGCAGCACTCTAGGCCACAGTTTTCTAAACCTGGCTAGTCACTATGATAACCTTGGGACCATTTTTTAAAAAAGATTCCTTCTATTCAAGATGTATTGAATACAAACTTCCAGGAGAAGGATCAGGTAATCTGTATTTTTACAAAACTCCCTATTCAATAGATGCAACTGTAGATTTCCAACAGTTTAGTTACACTTTTTCACCCTACCTTTTTTATCTCACTTTTTTCAGGCTTCTCTGTCTTTTTACATAAAATTATTTTGCCTGGCAGACTGTTCCTCCTTTTCTTATCTGGCAAAAATATCTTATTCCTCATTTAATACCCAACTCAAATACTTTTTTTAGTGAAGCTTTTCCTAATTCTCCCAGAGAAAATAACTTATTTCCTATATGTTTCGGGGAAATGTTGGGGAACATTCCATTATAGCATCTTATTGTATGGTTATAGTTATTTACTCACTTACTTTCTCCTCCACTGGGCTATGAGCTCCAACTTTTAAGCATTGGAGCTTTATCATCTTTATATCTCTCACTACCAAGGACTCTTGACACAATAGATTCTCAGTACATAACTGATAAATGCTCACTGAATAAATGAAATTAGACTCTGTCAAATCACATGCTACTAAGCAAACATGCATTAGTCTTAACAGAATATTTTAGTACTTAAAAAAGAGCTACTTAATAGAATTAAAGAAACAATAATACCATACGTAAATTTCATTTTTGAACAATAAATAGTTAGAACTCCTGGGCAAATTTCTTCTATCATGTTTTTTTAATCACACTTAAATGATCTAGTGTTTTTATAAAAGCATATGCATTTGTCTTTCTTACCCATGTCATGTTTGATACATACAGTATTCTTTGCACTTACCAGGAAGAACATTTAGCCAGAGGGACCCTCTCATCTCACTGTATGGCATTCCTGTGTCCTTCATTTAAAAACCCAAAGTAGAATTGCATCACTCACTCCAAACTTTTTGAAGTCAATTTTGTTTCATATTGCCATTACAGGGAATTTTTAAGCATTGCCTTAAACTGTCAAGTTTACAGGCACCTTCTTCAACAGAATAGACTATTTCAAAGTGGGATTATAAATGTTTAATGACAGAGATTGCCCTAAGAGATACCCTATTATTAATATGATTTGAAATGGACCTGAAACACATTTATTTGGGCCTTTACAATTCTATTTCCCCCAAATCTTCAGAATGGCCAATTAAAACTACCTCTAAGTGAAACATTGATAAAAATATGATGCAGTAAGAAAAAAATTAAATCTATGGGGTTTTAAAAAATACATTTTCAGGCACAGAACTGTATCGGCTAATTTGGTCAACATCCCATTTTCTACTAGTTTTAAAGTTCATTTGGTGCACTGGGGCATCAGCATTCTTTTCATTATTCAATGCCCTCTTCTTTGTTTCCAGGCAACTATTATGATGTTGTCTCATATGCATATTAATGAGGAGCTGTTCCTGTGCCTTTTAAAGGAAGCTATATTGCACTGTAGTCTTCTATATTGCTCTATATACTTCTCTCCTCCCATCTATCCCCCATTTACACACACACACACACACACACACACACACACTAGTTGCCTACTAGTTTTCCTTGAAAGCTGAGAGAAATGTATTTCACATAAGCACTTCAAATGCTGGGATTTTTCAAAAGGTTTCATTTTAAAGAAAATGATAAAGAAAGGAAAAGTTTTCTGGACTAGAGATCTGCAATCAGATCTGTACCATAAGCCTGTGCCCAAACGTTCAAATTATAATTAGTCAATAAGGAAATCAAGGTAACACTTTCAAGGTGGTTTTGATAAACAGTTTAGGTTCATCAAAAATGATTCCACTCTCTCTGAAAAGGAAATGACATCTCTGCTTATTACAAATATGAATTATTCATTTGGTAGTTAGATGAATATGAAGTTCTGTGAGATGGAGTAGTGCTAAGTTTGGGAGATAGTTTCATATGAAAGCATCACAGAATCCCTTTCAAAATTCAACAGAAATAATTATCTTTCACTATTCTTTTGTAGTCAACAAGAAATCAGTGATAAAAATGAAAATTGTATTAATTATAAATCAGAGGCTTTTGCATGGACACAACATCATACGGATAGATACTATCTTAGGGGGAAAATAGATGCAATTTCTTGTGCCGCTGTAAAATAAGAATACAGAAAAAAAGTTTAGTTTTTGAAGAAAAATCAGTGAAGTTCTTTTTATTATGCTCAAGTTTGTGTTCAGAGATCAAGATATGGTCACTTGAAGCATTTTTATTTAAGAAAATTTGTATTTGTTTCACTAGAATTCTTTAAAAACTTGGTTTGTGTTTTAGATGATACAACCAATTACACAGCATAGTTGTTATCTTCAAGGAGCTTCCCATCTACTTAAGGAAATAAGGTACCACAACACAAGATATAACGAGACTTAGTCCCGAATCAGTAGCACAGATTCATAAATACTAAATTAATCTGGAATGACCGGATGTTACTATGTGTTGATATTGTGGAAGGCTTCCTAGCAATAGTGCTTGTTCTGAGTGTTCAAGAATTGGTTGGTTTTACACAGGTTAAGAGGTATAGGGAGGGGACAGAATGATTGGAAAGAGAATGTATATAGCCAGTTGACAATAGATTTCTCTGACTGGAGCAAAAGGATCCTATTAGGGGACTGTGGAACACAGTATCCAAAAAGTATGTGTGGACTAAGAAACAAGTCCTTGAATGCCATCTGAAAAAGTTTTCGATATTGTATCCATGAAGGTGCCTGAGCAAGAGACAGATATAAATGAAAAACGAACAAAAAAAAAGCTTTTCATGAAGATGAAGCTGACTATAATATGAGGAATGGTTTTAAATAGGGGGATGAGAGTTCTGAGCTAGAACTGTGGAAAAAAATGCAAGAAAGTTAATGAAGCAGGACTAGATTTAATATGGGGGCATGGGAGATATAAATGCCACAGATGATTTCAAACTTATAAGTCTGAGTTACTGCAATAATGATAGTTTCATTGATAAAAACAGAAATTTTGTTCCCTAATATAAATTATTTCCATACCAGTTTTACCGTTTAGAAAGAATACACTTGGTGAATGTCACTGCAACAGGAATATTTCTAAGTGACTTCCAAGTTAAGAAACTATAGAAGATTTGCATAAATCCAAAGCCTACTATGCTCTCATCTATGCTCCTGGTCTAATAGCATAAAAATAATAGTTCCAAAGGGTATAACTGACATATTCCCACGTGCTTTCCAGTGCCCATATTCTCTGTTGGCTAATCAATCCAGGACAATTTTAGAGACTTAAGCCAGACCAGACAGTGCTGCATTATTTGATTGTAAAGATCCCAAACTCTTTCTTACCTTTTCACTCATTTATTGAAACTTAAATGTTTTGAGCTCCTTTTAGTAGCCTTTACCAGCATTATGTCAGTGAGAAATAATCTTACATTGTAAGGAATTTCCAAAACTATAATGAAAAAAATGAATTATAACGATCTATTTTAGAAAGGGATCATGGTCAAATAAGTTTTGGAAATACTACATATTTTACCTTACACTTAGATTACTACAGGGTCTGAGAAGTCCCTAACTTGTTACATTTTATTTGAACTATTGTTTCCCAAGCTTATTTGTAATTTGTCATAGAATAACTGTTTACAGCTTGTGAATATAGTGTTCTAAATGACACTTTGAGAAATACAGGCTTGTTATGTTGCCTGCTGTCTTAGTCCATTTTGTGCAGCTATAGAAGAATATCTGCTACTGGGTAATTAATAAACAACAGAAATTTATTCCTCACAATTCTGGAAGCTGGGAAGTCCAAGATCAAGGTGCTAGCATCTCTTGAGAGCCCTCTTAATATGTTCTCACATGACAAAAGGAAGAAGGGCAAGAGAGGACAAACGTTGTGTCCTCACATGGCAGAAGAGCAAAAGAGAAAAAAAAAAAACAACTCGTGCAAGTCCTTTTTATAGTAGCATTAATCTCTTCATGAGGGCAGAGCCCTCGTGACCTAAACACCACCCCGAAGGCCACATCTGTTGCACTAGGGATTAAGTTTCCAACATATACATTTTGTTTATTTAAAACAATTTCAACTTTTATTTTAAATTCAGAGGTTGCATGTGCAGGTTTGTTATATGGATATTGCATGATGCTGAGGTTTGAGGTCCAAATGATCACATCACTCAGGTAGTGACCATAGTACCATCAAGTAGGTTTTAAGCCCTTGAGCCCCTCCCTCTCTACTTTCTCCAGTAGTCTCCACTGTTTACTGCTCACATCTTCGTGTCTGTGTGTACCCAATATTTAGCTCCCACGTTCTAAGTGAGAGCATGTGATATTTGGTTTTCCATTCCCGTGTTAATTTGCTTAGGATAATGGCCTCCAGCTGTATCCAGGTTGCTGCAAAAGATAGGATTTCATTCTTTTTATGGCTGTGTAGTATTTCATGATGTATGTGTACCATATTTTCTTTATCCAATTCACAACTTATGGTCACCTAGGTTCATTCCACATCTTTGCTATTGCCAACATGAATTTTGGAGAGGACACATTCAAACCATAGCACCTGATAACACAGAGTTTTTTATTTTAACAAGGGACAATGCCTAATAAAATGGAATAAATCCTAATAGTATAGTTTATTATTACATATCATAAGCAGAAATCATTTTGGTAGAAAACCACTCCATGTAGATAGTTGGCCAATTATTTTACTTATACATAAGGTTAGACATGCTAATTATTGTTAGCATGAGTACCACTCCACCAGAGCCCCAGGACTGATTCTTCTTGCACTTGTTAATAATAGATATGTGTAAATCCCTAATTTTGGCTTTTTGCCAGGTCCTAAGTCATTATTTCTAATTATCTTCTGGACATTGCAATTTAGGATATAAGCTACTGCTTACAACAATAGATAAATTGTAGGAAAACATTTGATAAGTCTGTTACAGGGTTTGTAAGAACCTGTTATCTGTTTTCTACTAAAAAAAAGTACAACTCTGTATTATAAATGAAGAATAAATTGTGGGTGATAGAGAATTGGTGTTGTGATGGGAAAGAAGCAAGAGAGAAGAGGATAATTTTTAGTATGTTTATGGCAGGGTAATACAGAAAGTTTTCCTCTTTGCTTTTGAATATAATAAAAATTCAAAAAGATAAATGTATAAAATCACACAAATCCTGTTTCATTGAAACTAAGCCATAGCTATAATCTACATATCAAAACATGATGTCTGCATAACACAACTTAGATTGGTGCAGAGTCCCTGCGTGTAAAGTACTACAATAAGTTGTCAGGGATCAGTGAATAGAAGTCCAACAGCAGCATATCTTTGAAAACACTGGCAAGATATACATGCTCAGATGCTAATCAAAGGTCGTAACTCTATCGCTCTTGCTTACAAAAGTTGCTGTCGGTTTGAGATGAGAGGGAGTGCCAAGAGGTCAGCTATGTTACAGAAGCCACATGGAGTGAGGTATCAATAAGACACAGAAAGTAGAGTAAAAGCACCCAGGGGTGGTCAGTATCAGAAAATGCCAAATAAAAGTACATTTCTGAATGAACTTCCTCCAATTAGGTGGGCTTGATTAATTCTAACACATTCTAAAATGAAAGTAGTGATAGCATTAGTATAAATTAAGGAAAAAGGTGGAAAAAAGTAGTAGCACCTTGTGGAACAAGAACATTCACCAACAAATATTGCCATGGAACACCAAATATTCTCCTTCATTAAATATACATGTCATATATGTCATACAGAACATATAATGTATATGACATATACATATGATGTATGATATATGTATGTGATAACATAAAAATGGTACCACTGTAAAACTTTGGAAATACATAAAATGAAGTCTAAATCTGTAAGGTCTAAAACTAGAAAGATCTTAGAAGAAAACACAGGGGTAATTTTTTAGTAACTTGAGTTAGGCAGTGATTTATTGGATATAACACTAAAAGTACAAACAACAAAAGAAACAAATAGCTAAACTGAACTATATCAAAAAGTTTTTAAGATGCGCTACAAATTGTACCATCAACAAAGTCAAAGTACAACCAACCCACACAATGGGAGAAATTATTTGAAAGTCATATATTTAAGAAGGGACTAGTATCCAGATTACATTAAAGACTAATAAACCAATAATAAAAGACAACTAAACCAATACAAAATATGCAAAGGATTTGAATAGACATTGCATATCTCCAAATAAGATACTCAAATAGCCAACAAGTACATGAAAAGATGTTCATCATTAGGCATTAGAAAAATGCAAATCAAAACCACAGTGTAATATCACTTCATACCCACTAGGGTGGCTATAATTAAAACACAAAAACCAAATAGGAAATAGCAAGTGTTGGAGATGTGCAGAAATTATTAAATTCATACACTTCTGGTAAGGATATAAAATGGTGCATCCACTTTGGAAAACAGATTGACAATTCCTCAAAATGGTTAAGCACAGAGTTACCATATGACTCGGTAGTTTCACTCCTTATGTATCTAACTGAAAATATTGAGAACGTTATGTTCATACAAAAACTTGTACATGAATAACCAGAGCAAGATAATTCATAATAGCCCCAAAGTGGAAACAACCCATATATCCATCCATTTATTTATTTATGTAAAAAGTATAAATTTATTGTTTATCCTATGACTAGATAAATAACATGTTCTATATCCATAAAATGGAGTATGATTTCATAATTAAAAAGTTAGGAAGTGCTGATACAAGCTACAGCATCAATGGAACTCAAAAACATTATGCTAAGTGAAAGAAACTAGGTACAAAAGGTCATATATTATATGATCTCATTTATATAAATGTCCAGAATAAGCAAATTCATAGAAACAGAATCTAGATTAAAGGTTTCTAGAGGTTGGGATGGAGGAAGAGGGAGAAGGATTGCTAACAGGTACAGAGTTTCCTTTTGGGATGATGAAGATGTTCTAAAATTAGACTTTAATAATATTTCTAGAACTCTGTGAATATAATAAAATCATTCAACTGTAAATTTTAATTGGGTAAGTTTTATGATAATGAATTATGTCTCAAAAATGATTATGAAAAACAATGAGCAGTCAAAGTTGGAAAGAAGATGGGAAACAGAGTGCCTCAGAGTGTCTCATTGACTGACTTATCTAAAATAATTAGAAGTTACCATTGTGCAGTAATTGATTAAAGCATGTAACAGTAAAAAAGTAAATGTTAATAAAGAGAATAGTTTTGAGTATTGAGTGAAAAGAAGGAAAGAAAGGAGAAATAAATTATTTAATGTTGTTTTCATTTAGATATAGTCTAAATAAATAGAAAGTTAAGCATTGCACATAAAGTTATTATTATAAATGCAAACATCAGAAAAAAATAAAACATTTCCTAAATAGCAGAAAAGCAAATACAAAACGGCACACATACACACAAACCCCAAAAGTAAAAGCGAAGCAAAGCAATTCAGTAAGTATGACACTAGACTCTTATATCCCAACACACACCAAAATTAATTATTGACAATACATATATCTAAATGCAAAACTAGTTTATTATAACATATATTATATTGTTATTATATTACTATATATAATATATATTATTATAGCATATTATATTTATTATATATAAAACTATATTATAAATCTTCTAGAAAAAGTAAACAAATGGGCCAAAAACCTTAACAGACACCTCACCAAAGAAGAAAGAAAGATGGCAAATAAGCATATGAAAAGATGTTCCATATCATATGCTGTCAGGGAAATATAAACTAAAACAACAATAAGATACCACTACACACCTCTTAGAATGGCCAAAATCCAGAACACTGACATGGTGGCAAAGATATGGATATACAGGAACTATCATTTGTTGCTGTTGGAAATACAAAATGGTGCAGCCACTTTGGAAGATACATTAGCAGTTTCTTAGAAAACTTAACATACATTTACCATATGATCCAGCAGTCACACTCCTCGGTATTTACCCAAAGGAGTTGAAAATTTATGTCCACATAACAGCCTGCAAACAAATGCTTATAGCATTAATTAATAATGTGCAAAACTTGGCAACAACCAAGATATTCATCAGCAGGTGACTGGATGAATCAATTGTGGTATATCCAGACAATGAAATATTATTCAGTGATAAAAAGAAAAGAGCTACCAAGGAATGAAAAGACATGGAGAAATCTTAAATGCATATTATTAAGTGAAAGAAGCTAATCTGAGATTATATATTGTGTGATTCCAACTATATGATGTTCTGGTGAAGGCAAAACTGTGGAAATAATTAAAAGGTTTGTGTTTGCCAGGGTTTAGGGGTGAGGGAGGAATCAATAGGTTGGAGCACAAAATTTTTTTTAATGGATCATGGAATTAAGCTAAAAGAAGCTGAAAAGAGAGATTTAGAGGAAGAAAAGGAGAAGAAAGAGAAGATAAAGAGGAAGAGACAAGTACACCCAGCAGCTATTACTCACAAAAGCTTTCTTGGAGAAATATTTTCACTATTTCACCTTTTATGAAACTGTGGCAAAATCTCAGACTCACGTTGTATTTCCACATCTGCATACATGAGTGGAGATAATATCCCTCAAAGTTTGCCTTGTAGACCAAGTCAGAGAATATTAGTCCTGGCATAAAAGGAATGTGAAATCCAGAATACAGGCCACCGGAGGACCTGAAAAAAGTCTACATTTGGAAGTACCTGCCTGAGTTTGCATACTGGCGCCATCTCCTTTAGTTGTTGACTGTGACAAAAATTACTTAGCCTTTCTGATTCTCCATACCCTCCTCCCTAAAGCACTGTTTGTTTTATAATATACTTTAATTTCAAAGCCTCAATTTTTAAGCGTTAGTTTCACAGCAAAACTGAGAAGAAGGTACAGACACAGAGGATTTTTAGGGCAGTGAAACTGCTTTGCACACTATAATGATGGATACATGGCATTATACATTTGCCCAAATCCATAGAATATACAACACCAAGAGTGAATCCTAATGTAAAATATGAACTTTAGGTGACAGCGATATGTCAGTTTAGGTGCATCAATTGTAATAAATGTACCATTGTGGTGTGGGATGTTGATAGTCGTGGATGGAGACTATGCATGTTGCAGGGTGAAAGGGGGAATATAGGAAATCCCTATACTTTCCTCTTAATTTTACTGTGAACCTGAAACTACTTTAAAAAAACAAAAATCTATTTAAAAAACAAGTAAACAAAGGAGAATATTTTTGCGATGTTGGGATAGGCAATTTTTTTTTTTTATTTTTTGAGACGGAATTTTGCTCCTGTTGCCCAGGCTGCAGTGCAGTGGCGCGGTCTTGGCTCACTGCAACCTCCGCCTCCCAGGTTCAAGCAATTCTCCTGCTTCAGCCTCCCGAGTAGCTGGGATTATAGGCATGCGCCACCATGCCCAGCTAATTTTGCATTTTTAGTAGAGACAAGCTTTCTCCATGTTGGTCAGGCTGGTCTCGAACTCCCGACCTCAGGTGATGTGCCCACTTCGGCCTCCTAAAGTGCTGGGATTACAGGCATGAGCCACCGCACCCGGCCAGGCAAAGTTTTTAGAACACAGAGGCACTAGCTAAAACAAAAGTAAATTTGATTTCATCAAACAAAAACTAAAATAAAAACCTTTATTTATTGAAAAACACCATTAGTAAAATGAAAGAGGCAAGCCATATATGAGGGGAAAATATTTGCAATACATATATTTGATAAATAACATATATGCATAATATGTAAAGAACTCCTAAACACCATAATATACAAACAATCCAATAAAAATGGGGAAAGGAGTCTTGAAATGCATTTTTTAAAAAGACATACAAATGGCCAATAAGCACATGAAAAAGAGATCAGTATCATTATATGTAAGAGAAATGTAGATTAAAATCACAGTGAGATACCATTTCACAGTCACTAGAATGGCGAAAATTAAAAATACTTAAAATACTCAACATCAGCATGGAAGTAGAGCAATTGAAACTTTCGTACATTCCTAATGAAATTGTAAAATGCTATAATTACCTTAGAAAACTTATTTGACAATTTCTTAGAGTGTTGAATATATATCTGTTCTACAATCCACTCCTAAGGATTTACTGAACAGAAATGAAAACTTCACACAAACAAACACACAAAATGTGGTGAATGCAAAATTGTTCATAGCAGCTTTATTCGTGTAAACCCCAAACCAGACCAAGTCAAATTGTATCAACAACTGAATGGAAAACAAACTATAATATATTCATACAGTGGAATACTATTCAATAATAAAAAGGAACTTTAATGATGTAAGCAGCAGCATGTATAAAACTCAGAATCACTACATTGATTGATAGAAGGCAGGCACAAAATGTAATTCTTTATAATTCCATTTATATGAAGTTTCAGAAGCAAAACTAATCTATTGTGGTAGAAATAAAAACAGCAGTTGCTTCTGCTACCATTTGGGAAGTGGGAGATTAATTGCCAGGAAAGAGACCCAAGCGAACTTTCTGAGGAGATAAAAATGTTTTATATATTGATTTTGTTGGTGGTTACAAGAGTGTTTATATATTTGTCAAAACTCATCAAACTGTATATTTAAAATCATGTTTGGTATTTTATGTAAATTATACCTTGAAACACCTCACAATGCATAACTAAAACAAACACACAGACACAAAGCATAAAGAAAAATTTCTTGCAAAAGAGCTCTCACTCAGGCAGACTCCTAATAGGAACATAGGGCAAGAGTACAAATGGAGACTCATATATCATATGCCCAAATATTTACAATCAAGCTTACAAAACTGCTGAATAAAATATGTTCTATCCTCCTACATTGACAAGTATACCTTTCTAATAATAAATCTAAAATATGTGTAAAGCTGTGATTTCCATATGACTGAATGTTGACAAAATCACAAAGATGACTAAATTTAGTTGTTATTGCACATGTCTGTATGTCCCTTCATGGTCCAGGAACGTTGGTTGAGTCATAAGATGAACTTGTATAAAAATGATACATCTATATATTATTTATTTCATAAATTATTTTTTTCTACTTTCACTTCAGCAAAATCATTAATTATGACTTTATAATCAAGTTTCTTACACAAGTTGGGTCCTATTGACTGTACTGAATCAAAGGCTTAAAAATAAATATAGAAAGTCCTAACCAAAGCAATCAGACAAGAGAAAGAAATAAAAGGTATCTAAATAGGAAAAGAACAAATCAAACATCTCTCTTCAATGCTATACCTAGAAAACCCTAAAAACTCTGCCAAAAAGCTCCTGGAACTGATAAATGACTTAGGTAAAGTTTCAGGTTACAAACTCAATGTGAAAAATTCAGTAGCATTTCTATACATCAATAATGCTCAAGCTCAGAGCCAAATGAAGAATGCAATCTCATTTACAATATCCACACACAAAAATAAAATACCTGGAAATACATCTAACCAAGAAGGTGAAAGATCTCTACAAGGAGAACTATAAAACATTGCTGAAAGAAATCACAGATGAGACAAACAAATGGAAAAACATTCCATGCTCATAGATTGGAACAATCAATATTAAAATGACCATACTGCTCAAAGCAATCTCCAGATTCAACACCATGCCTATCAAGAAACCATCATCATTTTTCATGGAACTAGAAAAAATTATTCTAAAATTTTTATGAAACCCAAAAGATACCTGAATGGCCAAAGCAATCCTAAGCAAAAAAGAACAAAGCCCAAGGCATCACATGATCCAACTTCAAACTACACTATAAGGATATGGTAATCAAAACAGCATAGCACTGGTACAAAAACAGACACATAGATCCATGGAAAGGGTTAAAGAATCCAGAAATAAAGCTGCACACCTACAGTCATCTTATATTCGAGAAAGTTGACAAAAGTAAGCAATGGGGAAGTGATTCCCTATTCAATAAATGATGCTGGGATAGCTGGCTAGCCATATGGAGAATAATGAAACTGGACTCCTACCTTTCACCATATATAAAAATTAACAAAAGATAGATTAAATAGTTAAATATAAGACCTCTAACTATAAGAATCCTACAAGAAAACCTAGGAAACACCATTCTGGACATCAGCCTTGAGAAATAATTCATTACTAAGTCCTCAAAAACAATTGCAACAAAAACAAAATTGGCAAGTGGGACCTAACTAAACTAATGAGTTTTCGTTTCTTTAAAAACTTTTATTTTAGGGTCAGGGGTACATGTGAAGGTTTGCTACATAGATAAACTCATGTCACAGATATTTGTTGTACAGATTATTTCAAAACCCAGGAATTAAGCCTGGTACCCAAGAGTTATCTTTTCTGCTCCTCTCCCTCCTCCCACCCTCCACCCTCAAGCAGACCCCAGCGTCTGCTGTTTCCTTCTTTGTTTTATAAGCTCTCATCATTTAGCTCCCACTTATAAGCGAGAACATGCAGTATTTGGTTTTCTTTTCCTGCATTTGTTGGCTAAAGATAATAGCCTCCAGCTCCATCCATGTTTCCCACAAAAGACATGGTACCATTTTTTTATGGCTGTGTAGTGGTATATATGTACCACATTTTCTTTATTCAATCTGTCATCAATGGACATTTAGGTTGATTCCATGTTTTTGCTATTGTGAATGGTATTGCAATGAACATTTGCATGCATGTGTCTTTATGGTAGAATGCTTTATATTCCTCTGGATATATGCCCAGTGATGGCATTGCTGGGTCAAATGGTATTTCCGCTTTTAGCATACTGCTTTCCACAATGGTTTAACTAATTTACACTCCCACCAACAGTGTATAAGTTTTCCCTTTTCTTGACAACCTCACCAGCATCTGTTATTTTTTGTTTTTAATAATAGCCATGCTGACTGGTGTGAGATGGTATCTCATCGTAGTTTTGATTTGCATTTCTTTCATGATCAGTGAGGTTGAGCTTTTTTCATATGATTGTTGGCTGTATACATGTCCTCTTTTGCAAAGTGTCTGTTCAGGTCCTCTGCCCACTTTTTAATGGGTTTGTCTTTCTCTTGTAAATTTGTTTAAGTTTCTCATAGATGTTGGATATTAGACCTGTGTCGGATGGATAGATTGCAAAAATTTTCTCCCATTCTGTAGGTTATCTGTTTACTCTGTTGATAGTTTCTTTTGCTGTGCAGAAGCTCTTAAGGTTAATTAGATGTCAATTTTTGCTTTTGCCATGACTGATTTTGGCTTCTTTGCCATGAAATCTTTGCCTGTTCCTATGTCCATCATGCTATTGCCTAGGTTGTTTTCCAGGATTTTTATAGTTATGTGCTTTACATTTAAATCTCTAATCCATCTTGAGTTGATTTTTGTATATGGTGTAAGAAAGGAGTCCAGCTTCAGTCTTCTGCCTATGGCTTAGCCAGTTATGACAGCACCAGTTAACTGAATAGGGAGTCTTTTCCCCATTGCTAGTTTTTGTCAGCTTTGTTGAAGATCAGATGGTTGAAGGTGTGCAGCCTTATTTCTGGGCACTCTATTCTGTTCCATTGGTCTACGTGCCTGTTTATGTACCAGTACCATGCTGTTTTGATTACTGGGGCCCTGTAGTATCGTTTGAAGTTGGGTAAAGTGACGCCTCCAGCTTTGTTCTTTTTTGCTTAGAATTTCCTTGGCTATTTGGGCTCTTTTTGGTTCCATATGAATTTTAAAATAGGTTTTTCTAGTTCTGAGAAGAATGTCATTGGTAGTTTGATAGGAAATTACTTTGGGTAGCATGGCCATTTTAATGATATTGAGTCTTCCTATCCATGAACATGAGATGTTTTTTTCATTTTGTTTTTGTGCCATGTTTGATTTTGTTGAGCACTGTTTTGTAATTCTTATTGTAGAGAGATTTTTCACCTCCCTGTTTAGCTGTATTCATAGGTATTTTATTCTTTTCATGGCAATTGTGAACGGGAGTTCATTGGTAATTTCACTCTCGCTTGCCTGTTGTTGGTGTATAGGAGTGCTACTGATTTTTGTGAATTAATTTTGCATCCTGAAACTTTGCTGAAGTCATTTATCAAGGGTTTCCAGAAATAGAGTTATGTCATCTGTAAACAGAGATATTTTGACTTCCTCTCTTCCTATTTGGATGCCGTTTATTTCTTTATCTTCCTTGATTGTTCTGGCTAGGACTTCCAATACTAAGTTGAATAGGATTGGTGAGAGAGGACATCCTTGTCTTATGACAGTTTTCAAGCAGAATGCTTCCAGCTTTTGCCCATTCAGTATAATGTTGGCTGTAGGTTTATCATAGATGGCTTTTATTATTTTGAGGTTTGTTCCTCCAATACCTAGTTTATTGAGAGTTCTTAACATGAAGCGGTGTTGAATTTTATTGAAAGCATTTTATGCATCTATTGAGATAATCGTGTTGTTTTTGTCTTTAGTTATGTTTATGTAATAAGTCACATTTACTGATTTGCATATGTTGAACCAACTTTGCATCCCAGGGATAAAACCTACTTGATCATAGTGAACTAGCTTTTTGATGTGCTGCTGGATTTAGTTTGTAAGTATTTTGGTGAGTATTTTTGCATCAATGTTCATCAAATATATTGGTCTAGAGTTTTATTTTTTTTGTTGTGTCTCCACCAGGTTTGGTATCAGGATGATGCTGGCCTCACAGAATGAGTTGGGGAGGACTCCCTTCTCCTCAATTTTTTGGAATGGTTTCTGTAAGAATAGTACTAGCTCTTCTTTGTACATCTGGTAGAATTCAGCTATGAATCCATCAGGTCCTGGGCTTTTTTTTTTGTTGGTGGTGGTGGTGGCAGGCTATTTGTTACTGATTCAATTTCAGAGCTCATTATTGGTCTGTTCAGGAAATCAATTTATTTCTGGTTCAGTCTTGGGAGGGTGTATATGTCCAGGAATGTATCCATCTCTTCTAGGTTTTCCAGTTTGTGACCATAGAGGTGTTTGTAGTAGTTTCTAATGGTTATTTTTATTTCTGTGGGGTTAGTGGTAACATTCCCATTGTCATTTCTAATTATGTTTATTTGGATCTTCTCTCTTTTCTTCTTTATTAGTCTAGCTCATAGCCTATCTTAATATTTTTTTCAAAAAACCAATTCCTGGATTCATTAATCTTTTGAATTTTTTTGTGTATTTTGATTTCCTTCAGTTCAGCTCTGGTTTTGGTTATTTATTGTCTTCTGCTAGCTTTGGGGTTGATTTGTTCTTGCTTCTCAAATTCTTTCATTTTTGATATTATATTGTTAATTTGAGATCTTTCAAACTTTTTGATGTAAGCATTTAGTGCTACAGATTTTCCAGTTAGCACTGTCTTAGCTGTGTCCCAGGGATTCTGGTATGTTGTATGTTTGTTCTCATTAGTTTCAAGGAACTTCTTGATATCTTCATTAATTTCATCATTTACCTAAAAGTCATTCTGGAGCATGTTGTTTAATTTCCATGTAATTGCATCGTTTTGAGCAGTTTTCTTAGTCTTGACTTCTATTTTTATTAAGCTGTGGTGTGAGAGTGTGTTTGTTATTATTTTAGCTTTTTTGCATTTGCTGAGAATTTTTTTATGTCAATTATCTGGTCAATTTTAGAGTATGTGCTATGTGTTGATGAGAAGAATATATAATCTGGATTTGTAGGGGGTGGAGAGTTCTGTAGAGGTCTATCAGATCCATTTGGTCCAATATTGAGTTTAGGTCCTGAATATCTTTGTTAAAACTTCTGCCTCGTTGATCTGTCTAATTCTGTCAGTGGAGTGTTGAAGTTTCCCACTGTTTTTGTGTAGGAGTCTATGTCTCTTTGCAGGTCTCTAAGTACTTGCTTTACAAATCTGAGTGCTCCTGTTTTGGATGCATTTCTATGTAGAATAGTTATATCTTCTTGTTGAACTGAATCATTTTTCATTATGTAATGTCCTTCTTTGCCTTTTTTTTATCTTTGCTGATTTGAAGTCTGTTTTGTCTGCAGTTAGGATTGCAACCCCTGATTTTTTCTGTTTTCCAATTGCTTGGTAGACATTCCTCCATCCATTTATTTTGAGCCTATGCATGTAATTACATGTGAGATGCATCTCTTGAAGACACATACCATTGGGTCTTGCTTTTTTATCCAGCTTGCCACTCTGTGCCTTCACTTAGGAAGCTTAGTTTTGGCAGGACATGAAATGCTAGGCTGAATTTTTTTTTTTTTTTTTTGAGTATGTTGACTATTGGCCTCCAGTCCCTTCTGTCTTGTAGGGTTTCGGCTGAGCAGTCTACTGTTAGCCTAGTGGGGTTCCATTTGCAGGTGACCTGCCCTTTTTCTCTAGCTGCCTTTAAAATTTTTTCTTTCATTTTGAACCTTGGAAAATCTGACAACTATGTGTCTTGGGGATGATCTTCTTGTGTAGTTCTCTGTGTTTCCCGAGTTTGACTATTGGCCTCTCTAGCAAGGCTGGGGAGGTTTTCATGGATGATATCTTGAAATATGTTTTCCAAGTTGCTTGCTTTCTCCCCTTCCCTTTCAGGGATACCAGTGATTTGTAGATTTTACCTCTTTACATAATCTCATACTTCTCAGATATTTTGTTCATTCCTTTTCATTCTTTTTTTCTTTATTTTTGTCTGACTGTCTTACTTCAGAGAACCAGCCTTCAAGTTATGAGATTCTTTCCTCAGCTTGGTTTAGTCTACTGTTAATACTTGTGATTGCATTATGTAATTCTTGTGTCGTGTTATTCAGCTGTGTCAGACCAGTTAGGTTCTTTTTTATATTGGCTATTTCATCTTTCAGCACCTGTATTGCTTTATTGTGATTCTTAATTTCTTGGATTGGGTTTTGCCATCCTCCTGAATCTCAATAATCTTTGTTCATATCCATAGTCTGAATTTGTCTTTTCAGCCAGTTCAGCCTGGTTAAGAACTCTTGTTGGAGAACTGGTGCCATTATTTGGAGGACATGTGACAATCTGGCCATTTGAGTTACCAGAGTTCTTGCACTGTTTCTTTCTCATCTCTGCATGTAGGTGTTCCTTAAACTGCAGTGTAGTTTGAGTACAGTCAATAGACTTCTTTTTTGGATGTTTTCATCAGACTGAGGCTTTGTGCAGGGATTTTATTTGACAATGAATTTTTTTATGTTTGTTTTGTTTTTTATTTGTTTTGCTTTGTTTCGTTTTGGTTTTTGAGACAGAGTCTCATTCTGTCACCCAGACTGGAGTGCAGTGGTGCAATCTTGGCTCACCACAACCTCCGCTTCCAGGGTTCAAGCAATTCTCATGCCTCAGCCTCCTGAGTAGCTGGGATTACAGACACGTGCCACCATGCCCAGCTAATTTCCTTTTTGTAATTTTAGTAGAGACAGTGTTTCACCATGTTGGTCAGGCTGGCCTCAAACTCCTGACCTCAGGTGATCCCCCCACCTCAGCCTTCCAAAGTGTGGGGATTACAGGTGTGAGCCACCGTGCCCAGCGATGCTGACTTCTTATCTCTGGTTTCAGATGGACATATGTTAGGAAGGAATTTTTTGGTATTGAAGCTTTGGGGTATGATCCAGTAGGTGGCACTTAGGCTTATTGGTCAGTTGGTAGACTTGCTTGGTTGTGTGGCTCCCCTATGTTTCCTCACAGTTGCAGCCACGTTCCCTCTCAATGCTCTGAAAGTGTGGGTTCCTCTCCTTCTTGAGTGTTGGCTTTAGATCACGGCTCGGCACTCCTGGTCTGCCCGCTGCAGCTCTGGGGCAATCTCAGTGTTAATGCTCCGTCTCCAACTTGGAGGCAGCAGAGGAAGGGGACCTTAGTAGTGGTTGTGGCCAGGGGTCTTTTGCTTGTCTCCTGGGGGCTCCACCCCAGAGAGATGCAGGTCAGCAATCGTTTAATGGAATCAGCCCAGGATGGAGGGTTTGTGCTGTGGGCCCAAGCCAGGGGTTCTCTGTCTAGTGACAAACAGTGGGGTTTTTGTGAGCCTGATAGGAAATGGAGTGAACTCCTCTTCTTGAGTTGACTGCAGCTTGTTGGAGGCGTGGATAAAGCACTTAGTGTCTTTGCTCCTTCATTAGTCCATTGGTAGCAAGGGCAGTTCCACTGCAGAAGCAGTGACAAAGGAGCTTCCAATTGTCCCTGGAGGCTCTGTCCAGGGAATTGCTGAGTTGCTACTGGCTCGATAGCTCTGGCGGGGGATGGCTGGAGGCCCAGACCTGGAGGATCTGCACAGTGAGAAGATATGGAAACAGGCACCCACATAACAGTCTGACCACTTTTCCACAGGGCTGCTGTGATATGCTGGGGGCCCGTTTCAGTCTGTAATCACCTTGGATTTTCCAGTACCTGGAGGTATCACCAGTGAAGGCTGTGATATAGCAAAGATGGCAGACTGCTCCTCCTTCTGGAAGCTCCATCCCAGGGAGATACAGATCTGTGGCCAGCCCTAACACACCTGTAGGAGGTGGCTGGAGATCCCAGTTGAAAAGGCTCACCCAGTGAGGAGGAGCAGGATTGGGGATCCAGTTAAAAAAGCAGTCTGGCCGTGTGTTTGCAAAGCAGCTGTACTGTCCTGGAGGTCTGCTTCAGCCCCCTGTTGCCTTAGACACTTCAAATGCCAAAGGCTGAAACAGCTAAGTCACCCAAACAGCAAAGATGGCAACCCACCCCTCCCTCTGGGAGCTTCATCCCAAGAAAATTTGAAACTTCTCCCAGCTGGAGAACACTGGCGCAGGTAGCTGGGGACCCCAGTTGGGAGACCCCACTTTAAAAAAGCAGTCCGGTCACATTTTCATAAGAGTAGCTGTGCTGTGCTTGCAGTTCACTTCAGCCCCTGGTCACTTTGGACTCTCCAAAGCCTAAAGGCCAAAATAGCTAATCCACCCAAACAGCAAAGATGGTAGCCCACCCCTCCCTCTGAGAGCTCTGTTCCAGGGAGGCTTCAAATCTCTGTGGGCTGGAGAGCACTGGTGGGGGTGGCTGAAGACCCTAGTTGGGATGTCCTGCCCAGTGAGGAGGTGCTGGATCCAGGACCAGCTTTAAAAAGCAGTCTGGTCACATTTATGCAGAGCGGCTGTGCTGTGCTTGGGGACTGCCTCTGCCTCCCAATCAGCTTGGAGTCTCCAAAGCCTGACAGCTGGAATGGCTAGTCACCCAAACAGCAAATATGGCAGGCTGCCTCTCCCTCTGAGACCTCTGTACCAGACAAGTTTCAAGACCCTGTCAACTGGAGAACACCAGCAGGAGTGGCTGAAGGTCCTGGCTGGAAGGTCACACCCAATGAGGAGGAACAGGTTTGTGGACCCACTTAAAACAGGTGCCATCATTTGGAGGACATGTAACAGTCTGGCCAAGTTTTCATACAGCAGCTCTGCTGTGCTGGAGTGCTGCTTCAACCCCCAGTCAGCTTGGACTTGCCAAAGCCCAAAGGCTGGAATGGCTAAGTCACCTAAACAACAAAGATGAAGGCCTGACCCTCATCTTGGGAGCTCCACCCGAGGAGGTGCATACTGCTACCGGTAGCTGGCTGGAATTCCAAGCCAGTGGGTCTTACCTTGTGAGGTGCCCTGGAAGTGGGACATGCAGACTGTCACTGTCCAGCCCTCTGAATTTAGCCTCTTTCTTAGGGGTCTAACCTCCCACTTTGCAGGAGTTGCAGTTACTTTTGCTGAGAAGCCCTGAGAGCCTGAGTATCTAAGACTCCAGGGTCTCCACATGTGCTTGAGCAGCTTCTCTGTTGAGATTCTGTGTAGTTCTGTGTGCCACAGGTACTGGTGGAGTGGGTTCACAAGGGGATCTCCTGACCCAAGCGTAAGAAAGATCAATGTTAGAAACATGGGTTCCTTGGGTCTCACATTCACTCGCCAATTCTCTGGGTGGGGGAGATTCTCCTGGCTCTGTGCTGCTCCCCACTGGGCCATTGTTCTTCCTTGCATTTTTCCATTCTCCATAGGTCGAGTTGTTCCCTTGATTAGTCCCAATGCGAGTACTTGGATGCTTCCGTTGAAGGTGCTATATCTACTCACCCCTTTTGTTCCTCTTTGTGAAAGCCATGCACAGTACCTGTTCCTAGTTGGCCATCTTGGTCACCTGTTTAAAGAGTTTCTGCACAGCAAAAGAAACTATCAACAGAGTAAACAGACAACCTACCAAATAGGAGAAAATGTGTATAAACTATGCATCTGACAAAGGCCTAGTATCTAAAATTTATAAGAAAATTAAACAATTGAACAAGCAGAAAACAAATAACCCCATTAATATGGGCAAAAGACACAAAGACACTTTTCAAAAGAAGACATTGTGAATCCTGAAAAGCTGAGACAGGTCTCAGTTAATTTAGAAAGTTTATTTTGCCAAAGTTGAGGACACACGCCTTTGACAGAGCCTCAGGATGTCCTGATGACATGTTCCCAAAGTAGTCAGCACAGTTTGGTTTTACGCATTCTATGGAGATGGGAGACATCAATCAACATATCCAAGATGAACATTGCCTCAGTCTGGAAAGGCATGACAACTCTAAGCAAAGGCAGGAAGACTCAAAGTGGGGAGGAGACTTCCAGGTCACAGATAGATAAGAGACAAATGGTTGCATTCTTCTGAGTTTCTGATTAGTCTCTCCAAAGGAGGCAATCAGATATGGATTTATCTCAATGAGCAGAGGGGTGACTTTGAGTAGAATGGGAGGCAGATTGGCCCTAAACAGTTCACGGGTTGATTCTTCCCTTTAGTTTAGTGATTTGGTGGCTCCAAGATTTATTTTCCTTTTACGACATACAAACAGCCAACAAACATATGGAAAAATGCTCAACATAACTAATCATCACAGAAACGTAAATAATGAGGCTGTGGATAAAAGGGAATGCTTATACACTCTTGGTGGGAATGTAAATTAGTTCAGCCACTGTGGAAAGCAGTTTGGAGATTTCTTGAAGTATTTAAAATAGAAGTACTATTTGACCCAGAAATCCCATTTATGGATATTTATCCAAAAGAAAATAAATTGTTCTACCAAAAAGGCACATGCACTCATCTGTTCATCATAGCACTATTCACAATAGTAAAGACATGGAATCAACCTAGGTGCCCATCAATGGTAGAATGGATAAAGAAAATGTGGTATATATACACCATGGAATACAATACAGCCATAAAAATGAATGAACTCATGTTCTTTTCAACAACATGGATGGAGCTGGAGGCCATTATCCTAGGCAAATTAATGCAGGAACAGAAGACCAAATACCACATGTTCTCACTTATAAGTGGGAGCTAAACACTGGGTACTCATGGACATAAAGATTGTAACAATAGACACTGGGGACTAGTGGGGATTAGAGGGAGAAGGGAGAGATGGGTGCAAGGATTGAAAAACTATTAGGTAATATGCTCAGTAGTGGGGTAATAAGATCAATTGTACCCCCAAAATCAGCATCATACAATATATCCATGTAACAAACATACACATGTACCTCCTGAATCTAAACTAAAAGGTGAAATTATTTGAAAAGAATATATATGTAATATATATACTATATATATGATCACATTAAATGTGTATAGTATTTGAATTATTTTCATCAATAAATATACAGATAAAATATTTTAAGTAATTATTTTTAATATATATTTTCAAAGTTATTTTTCTATCTATTAAATTGCTAGATATTATTTAAAATTCATGAATTTAAAAATAATTCAAAGCTATTTAAATAAAGCTATAATTCTTATTATCAAAAATTGAACTAAATATATTAATATGCACAAACAAAACTAATGTCTGTCTAATTGCCAATATATACAACTGGTATCAATGATTCATGCATTATATGTCTAGGTCTACCTATATATACTTTGAAGGGTATAAATTGTTCGATAGTGCAAGACATTCTTCAACTACAATGTGCAACTCTTATGAATACCATGCAAATTCATGAGTTCCTCTGGAATCATGAATAGGAACATGAAAAGAATTCAGTAAGCATTTTCAAGGCACTACTGGGGAATAATATCTCATTTGGGGAAGAAATCAGTCATTCATGCCACCTAGAGAAAGGATTTGAATAGTCTTTTCTGTTACCTAACCAGTTCTGTGGCTCAGATCTCCATTGTAGGTTGCAGCACAGTCAAAAATCCTTTGCATATGGCATCACTTTTTTTTTAAGGAATAGGGCAAGAAATGTAGCAAATCATTTCCCTGGAATTGAAATATGTTGGGCATGGAAGGAGATGTTCAGCACTGAGTACTAGACCCCAAGTGCTACAGTCAACCCTGTGTTCCTTAATATACTTATCCTTTGGGTTTCTAATATGCAGTTGTTCTCTAAAGCGCTAGGCTCAGGGCTGCATGCCCTCCTTCATGGTCTAAGGATGAGGGTAGAACCTTGGAAGCCTCCTTGCTTTCAGTTTCTCCCTTCCCCATGATCCCACACATCACTGTGTGATTTTCTTAAATCATGTTACCCTCCTGCTCAAAAGCCTTCCATGGATTTCTATCAGCTACAGAATCAAGCCCAAATTTGTCAGCCTTGCATTTAAGAATATCTGAAATCTCACTTGACCTTTCTTTTCCAGCCCCCTTTTCTGTTGTATAATGGATATGTATGTCTATATGCCTGAAAAAAAATAAAATTAAAAAATAAAGATATAAAAAGATTTTACTTTTTGTCCTCCAAAACACAGTCCTGCCTTCCTACTTTTGGAGCTTGCATGGTCGTTTTAATCCTTTCTATCTTGTTTACCATTAAGAATTCTTCCAGATTTAGTCCAAATCCTACTTTTATAGGGAAACTTTCCTTGCAAATTAAGCCTACCGATATTCTTTCTCTTCTGTGAGTCTTAAACAATTATTGCCTACGCATATTACTAAATTATATTCTGTCTTCTCCAAAATATGTTATACCTTGCCTGAGGTCAGGGGCTATGTTTTATGCCTCTTTGTTCCTCTTTGTGCCTTGCACATACTAGGTAATTAGTTAGTTTTTGCTGATAGCATGCTTACGTGGTAGTGTAGCTTACTGGGCAGTAAAGATTTAAAGTGCAGGTCCTCTTACATCCCAAGGGATTGAGTCATACTTTGGAAACATTTTTATCTCAGGGTAACCTTTTAGTCTCACTACAAGTAACTAATATTAACCACTGTTTGGTGTTAAGATGCCCAGGAAATGCCTACCTTCAAATTCTATATGCAATTTTAAAATAATTGATGTTAGATAATTATAAATAAGAAAGATAATGTAGAGAAATAAGCCAAACAAACATTACACTGTTATGAATATGTCCAGTGAAAGAAGCCATGGAAAGCTGAATGGGCTGTTGTCATAGCCTTAAATGTTTTCTTTGTGAGTTCATTTTTCTTTAATCGCATTTCTGAGCAGCATCTAAGTTTACAGTAGGAGATAAAAGTATGGAAGAAAATAGTATAGTGTTAGGACTGTTTTTACAGCCATCCTTTATTGGTTATTCACAATAAAAAGCACAGCATATTCAGGGTGCATTAATAAAAAATGGAGACTATAAAAGCTATTAAAAGAGAATGTACATTATGTTCACTGAGAACACTATAGGATTGAGGTGCCATTTTTTTCCTCACAAAATAAGGTGTAAAGTGTTCAGAACCCAGAAACTCAAAACCAAACTTTAATTCGTGCTCCCTGTCATCAATATCAGATGATGACCGCAAACCTTGGAAAGAAAGCCCCCCCCCCACACCTTATGGCACTACAATGTGAATTCACATGGGCATTTGATAAAAGATCAGTTTATTTAGCAAGACTTACCATATGTTAGGTGTCAGTATGTGTGGCCAGGGGAATTCAAGGATTCATCAAATATAGTAGTTCATTTTCCCAAATAGGTAATAACAAGGAATTTCTACTTCCAACAAACAACAAAAATAATGTAATAATCAGAATTGTGAAACTCCTGTTCTATCAGGGTTTCTATACAGAAGAATTATTTTTTATCAAGATGGCATACCCATGTGGTGAATACTTTGTATACATTTTGTATCAACTTCCCTTGCATGGGCTTCCCACAGAGGCATCAAAAATCTCTGGTGCTTTTTAAATTGCATTATATGTTTCTGAAACCAAATAATTAAACATTTTTATAGCTTTTGTCCTTACAAATTCTTTCCAAACAGGTGAAGGACAGGAAATGATTCAACCAACTAAGGGACTTGTTCATAGAAACTGACACAGACAGAAGTATCAGCCAATTCTTTTTCTTGGAACTAAGTTCTCAACATTGCGTTTTGGAGATATTCCAAGGGGTCTTATGTCTGGAATCTGGCCTTCATGTCCAAGGATGATCCCATTTTAAATTCAAAAGTGAAATCAAAGTAATATAGTTTGCCTTTACATGTTTGCAAACTTTCACAGACCTTACCTGATTTATTGAGGAAAGGGAACTTGGAAGCACATGAAAAGTTTACCCAAGGCTTTCTTTGCAATGTAAAGGCACTTTCATGGTTGTTTTAGATTTACTCTTGAAACTCTATAATAGATTATAAAACTTTCCCAGGTAAAGCATTCCAGGCTGGAAGAGAATTTATTTGAAAAGCTTCAATGTTTTTCTAGCTGGCAGTGAGGCTGGGAAAAGGCACTACAATGATCAGTCTTTTTATTGGGAACTTTGTATTACACTATGGGGGGGGGGGGAGTTTAAAACAAACAAACAAAAAAAATATCTAGAGAGTTCCCAGGGAGCAAAAGATTCCCAGACTTCAGAGAGACCACTTACTGCAGAGAAGTCTTCCAGCTGATATCATCATTCCCATCCTGAGTGCTGATGCAAACTTGTTCAAAATTAATACACCTTAAATGTTTGGATAATTCCCCCTCTCTCAGTATTAGGGAAATCATCACAATAAGACAAATATATCAACAAGCATAAAACCCAATAGAGGTGCTATACTCAGACTATTTATAACAAAATGAATTATAAACTCTCCGGGTCTCCATGGTTTCTGGGTTACTGCCTAGTGACAAGCACTCTGCAGGAATTCAAAGACATTGTATGTTTAGGTACCTTTGTAACTTTTTTACTTTGATTAAATTACAAACTGATAGAAAAGTTGCAAGACTAGTATAAAGAACTTCCCTTCTTCCAGAGCCACTAATTGTCAACATTCTCTATATTTGTTTTATCATGCTGGGCTCCTGTTGAACAGCATCCATGGCTTTATTAAGTGCCTAAAGCTATAATTTATTATAACATATTACTTAATTATGAGGGACAGAGCTGATCTATATAGAATGATAATAGTAATGACAATAAGGGCAATAATAATATTAGTAATTTGCATATTAAGTAATCACAAGAACTTTATAAGGTATGTATTATCATGTTTAGGTTATCAGTGACTAATTTGCGGTCACAGAGCTAGGAAGTGGCATTCAAATTCAGATCTATCTGACCCTAAAGCTAGGGCTTACAAACATTATTGAATACTGCCTGTTATCAAATATGGCAAGGAGACTCATTTTCCTCAGTCTATCTAATCCCCAATGGGTTAGCCCTTCACTTGGGAATTCCACCCATATTCTTTAGGGCTATACAATGTAATAAGGGAACATTAGTCAGAAGCCAGAATGCAGCTCTGACAATTATCTCAAAATATAAAGTTTAATTGAAAATAATGTAGCTCTGGTTGGAGAAAATTCCAATATTTGTCCTTAAGGTTATCCTTTTTAATCTGCAAAATTGAAACATTCACATTTTTCTGTTTGGGAAGAACCAGTATGATCACAAGCCTTTTTCAATTTGTAGTTGCCTATTCTCAGAGTAAGCTTATTTGAATAAGCAATTCTTAGAGAGGGGCTTCTATCTACCTAATACCATGCCATTTCCTATGCTAATAACAGTTTCACGTTTGCTACTGTAGAGATCGTTGAGGAGGCGGCCAAAGTAATGAGAGCGAAATAAAATAGTTTACTTCAGTGACTCAATCTGGAAGTTCAAACTACTAAAGCATTGGAATATTCTGAGTCTCTGCCAGATTGCTTGATGACTGTTGAAAACATTAAGTAATTCCAGCAGGAGCTGTCAGTCTGTGTGTGAATGTGAGTGTGTGTGTGAGTGTGTTTTTGCACACATCTTTGAATAAATGTGTAAGCAGGTATTGAGTATGTGTGTCTGTTTTTAACAAGATCTTAGCCTCCTTTGATTCTAAACTCTATTCTCCAACAAGACTTTATTTCTAAGAAATAAGAACACTCTTTGTAAAGCTGAACAATTGATTTTTCATTTTCCATTCTCAGTCTTTTTGCTTTGACCAGGTGTTTCATAGCAGGTTATCAAAGAACCTTCTTTATTTCCATTAGACAATAGGAAAAGATCAAGAGCTGCAAATGCTCCTGAATACACACCAAGGCCATGACAGGACCACAGAATTTTGGAAGTTTTAGTCATTGTCTCTGGAGAAGTAAGTTCTAAAACTGTTTCTTAATGTGTTAGAGAAATAATGGAATCTATGACTAATTTTCTAGATTTTGAGCCAAGATCGTTCAATTTAATTGCTTAACAGCAGTAATTCTAAGGTTTCCATTTTGTGAAAATTTAAAAGCTTGAAAAAATTTATACATATCTTATCTAGTGAGCCTTATACTAATTAATTCAATAAAATATATTGAAAGCCTGCAATGCTAGGCATAAAGAATACAAAAATAATAATAATACTTTATTAATAAAATTAATAATAATGGAAAATACTATTTATGGAATGCTAACTAGTGAGAGTGTACTAAGTGTTTTAATATAAATTTATATGTATGTATATATACATACACACACACATACACACACACACATATATATATATATGTATATATCTCTTACAAAACACTGTAAGGTAGAGATTATTACTATCTTCTTTTTTTTTTAGAGAGTCTCGCTGTGTCGCCCAGGCAGGAGTGCTGTGGCACGGTCGGCTCACTGCAAACTCTGCCTTTCTAGTTCAAGTGATTCTCCTGCCTCAGCCTCCCGAGTAGCCGGGATTACAGGCACATTCCACCACACCCCGCTAATTCTCGAATTCCTGACCTCAGGTGATCCGCCTGGCTCCACCTCCCAAAGTGTTGGGATTACAGGCATGAGCTACCATGCCCAGCCTACTATCTTCATTTTAAATATGAAGAGAGTTAAGAGACGTTAAGAAATTTGTCAAGAGACAGATCTGGAATCACAACCCAGGTCAGTTTGACTGAAAACTTTGTGCCTTGTTATGCCGTATCTTAGAGGGACATATATTTTCTCAATAAATTCCCTAAAGCTTTACGAATGGTATAATAGAAGTATGTCCAGTGGGGCATAAGAGGGCATTTAAAAAATGACTCTTGGGGAGTTAGAGAGATAGTAAGGGACTGGAACAGATTTTTTTTTTTTTTTGTAGGAAGCCTTATTGGGATTAAATCAGGAGACCTTATCCAATTGAACTAACAAGCTCAAACTGACAGCTGAGAAAAAGTTCATCTTTGGAGTCATCTAAAAGACAAGCTTCAGAAAGAATACAATAGATTCAAACTCACAAAGCAGTTCAGGATGAGCATGAACTAGACCTGTGTTATCCAGTATAGTAGCCACTAGCTATTAATATATATGGCTGGTATGCACTTGAAATGTGGCTAGTGGAAATACAGGTGTTTGGTAAGTGTAAAATACACATAGGGTTTCAAAGATAGTACAAGAAAAAAGAACACAAAATATTTCATTAATAATTGATATCAATTATATGTTGAAATTATAATATTCTGGTATTATGAGAAACAAAAATATTATTTAAATGAGTGTTTCCAGTTTGTTTTTACTTTATTTAATATGACTACTAGAATATTTAAAATTACACATATGTAACTGCATTTATGGCTTATGTTATATTTCTTGAATAATGGTGGATTAGAGTTTCTTTTCCTGACCTCTAAAACCAAGAGCAGTTTAGATTTGTATCCTTAATTTTAATCCAGAAAGAAAACAGCATTTGGACATGCCGTTTCAGCATTCACTAGCTACTTTGTTCAGTAGCTGGCAAATCATCAACATTCTTCAATCATCACTATACTAAATCTAAACTCCTTCAGGATAGGTATTGGGTCTTAATTTTCATCAGAAGTGCTTAACCCAATGCCTTACACATAGTGTCATGCAATAAATGTTGAGTGAATGACTTAAAACACTTTAGCTCAGCCATGGAGTATGATTTCTTTATCAACAAACATTGTGGAACAACTTAATTATTTTAACAAATTTTTCTCTCTTTTAAAAGAATCATCATAGTAAGCTCTACATTTACTACAACAAACAATACTTCTGCTGTTTATGACCATTTTGAATCTCCTGTTGTGGACCTGCTCTCTCAATCTGTTGGAGTATTACAATGGATATTCTCAATAGCAGCATAACTTTGAACTTGAAGGCTAGATTAATAGAGTAACAGAGCTTTTAAAGGCCAAGGCTCTCAAAAAAGTTAAAGCCTCTTTCCTCTTTCCTGAGCATCATTTCTCTCATAGCAAGTTTCCTTCTACTTTTTACAAATCTGTAGTAACTTATTTTGACAGACAAGTCAAAGCCAAAAAAGGAATGGACCCAGTCAGTTTTCTGTGTCAAATTAGCTACATGGCAATTCAGTGAATCCTCATCTTTTGCTCTTACTTTAAGCATGGATTCTAGTTTTGAAAATTAACAAGTATGGCACTGATACTGAATCATCGGAATAGTCCCTAGAATAGTTTCTGTAAGCCAAAATGGCTGTACCTGTGCTTGGCTCCAAGTACAACCAAAACAAACAAAAAATAGTATTTTCTACGTTTAATATTTTTTAAACCTTTGGTGCCACTCTTTTGTATTTGTCCTTATATATGAGCATTTCCTCCAATTTAGAAAAATATTTTTTAAAATAGAAGCTCATTGTAAGTTTTTCTGCATAGATACATAACTTCCTTCTTTCCTTCTTTACTAGGATCAATAGAAAAAGTGTTGTATTTTATGGCTGTCTTGAAGAGAATTTCTGGACACCTGTTCTGGCATGCTTCCACCCATCTTTAAGGAATGTGATTCTCAGTTTGAACTGGTTAAAACTTTGAAGCTAGCAGGCAGTTGGGGACAGTGACTTTGTCCACAACAAATCCTATATATTAGTCAGCTCAGGCCACCATAACGAGATACCACAGACTAGGTGGTTTATACAACAAACTTTATTTTCTCTCAGTTTTGGAGGCTGGAAGTCCAAGATCGAAATTCCCTAGTGTTACTTTCCAGTAAGACCTTGCTCTTTCTGGCTTTCAGATGGCTGTTTTCACATTGTTTTCATTTGTGTGTACAGAGAGAGAGAGAGAGATCCTTGATCTCTGGTGTTTCTGCCCCTTCTTATAAGAATACCAGACCTATTGGATCAAGACTTCACTCTTATAATCTCATTTAAGCTCAGTTACCTCCTTAATGGCCCTATCTCCAAATACAGTCACATTGGGGGTTAAGACTTTAACATGAATTTGGGGTAGGAAGGACACATTTCAGCCTATAACATTCTGGATGGGAGCATCATGACTGTTGTGATAGGTGCTTCCTGGCATTATGCTAAAATATGGACATGCTGCTTTCCTCACTGCAACATTCCTTTTTTAATCAAAGTAAAAACTTTTCTAGAAAACAGAAAGCTGCACCCACCTTCCCCTCCAGAAGGAAACCAAGTTATCAACTATCTACAGAGAAAAAACACCTCCATAAGAACTAAATATTAGGTGAGCACTCACTGTATCTGGTGTTAACTTCATATCACAGAAAGGCACTGAAGAGATAGAAAAAACAGTCCTGAATCACAGACGCTACCCCTCCCCTACCACAGGTAGGGGAGACATAGTGTGGAGAGTATCTTTGGGTGCTGGAGAAGAAAGAACACAGCAATTGTGAGGCATCAAACTCCGTGCTGTTCTGCTAGAGCAGAAAGGAAAACCAGACCAAACTCAGCTGATGCCCATCCACAGAAGGAGCATTTAAGCCAGCCCTAGCCAGAAGGAAATCCCTGATTCCAGTCGGCAGAACTTGAGTGCACGCAAATCTTGCCACTGAGGGCCAAAGTGCTCTCAGTCTCTAAGTAAATTTGACAGGCAATGTAGGCCATAAGCACTGTAACTCTTAGGTGAGTCCCAGGGCTAAACAAGGACCAGGGACAGTGGACTAGGGAGGCAAATGGCATTCTGAAATACCAGATGGGGCAGCCAATGTAGTTCTGGCATCACTCATCCCCTAACCCAACGCTTCACAGCTCACGGCTCCAAAAAAGGCCCCTTCCTTCCACTTAAGGAGAGGAGAGGGAAGAGTGGGGAGGAATTTGTCTGGTATCTTGGATACCAGCTCAGCCACAGCAGGATAGGCACCTGTCAGACTCACAAGTTCCTGATTCCAAATCCTAGCTCCCAGACAACATTTCTAGACACACCCTGGGCCAGAAAGGAACCCATTGCCTTAAAAGGAAGAACCCAGCATTCTGCCAGCATTCATCACCTGCTAACTGGAGAGCCTTTGGGCCCTGAATAACCAGCAGCAATACCCAGGTACTACACAGAGGGCCTTGGTAAGCCTCTGAGACATGCAGGATTCAGGTGAGACTCAGCACCCTACCAGCTGTCGGGGCTATAGAGCAAAATTCCTTCTGCATCAAAAAAGCAGAGAGAAAAGTAAAGGGGACTTTATCATGCACCTTAGATACCAACACCACCACAGGAAGACAGAGCACCAAGTGGGGTGCCTGATTCCAGGACTTGACTCTTGGACACTATTTCCAGACCTGCACTGGGCCAGAGAGGAGCCCACTACCCTGAAGAGTGAGTCCCAAGCCAGACAACATTTAGCACAAGCTGACTTAAGAGACCTTGAGCCTTAAGAAAATGTCATTGGTAGACTGGCAGCACACCTCATGGCCAGGGGTGGCAGTGGCTACAAAATGAGGCATCTCTGCTTTTGGAAACAGGAGGGATGAGTGGAAAGGACTATATCTTATGGTTTGAATGCCAGCTCAGCTGCAACAAAATGGAACACCAGGTAGACTTCTAAGGTTTTGACTCTAGACCCTGACTCCCAGACAGCACTTCTGGACCCACCCAGGGCCTGGGGGACCTTGTCATCCTGAAGGGAAGGACATAGGCCTGGATGGCTTTGCCACCTGCTGAATGTACAGCCCCAGGGCCTCGAGCAAACATAGGCTGTAGCCAGGGAGTGATTACTGCAGGCCTTGGGCAAGACCCAGTGCTGTGATAGCTTAAGGTCTGACCCAGCAGAGTCACAGTGGTGGTGAACTCAAGGGTGGTTGTGCCATTCCACCCCCAGCTTTAGGTGGCTCAGAACAGAGAGAGAGACCCTGTATGTTTTGAAGAAAGTAAGAGAAGAGAACAAAGGTTTCTGCCTGGTAATCCAGATAATTCTCCTGGATCTTGTCCAAGACCATGAAGGTGGTACCTCTGTGAGCCACAAGAACCACAGCACTGGGCTTAGGGTGCCTGCTAAAGCAGAAATAGCTTAAATCACAATACCAAGTTATTTCAAATATCTGGAAAGCCTTCCCAAGAAGGATGGCTACAAATAAGACCAGAGAGTGAAGACTAGAATAAATACCTAACTCTTCAATGCACAGATACCAAAGAACATCTACTAGCATCAACACCATCCAGGAAAACATGACCTCATCAAATGAACTAAATAAGCCACCAGAGACGAATCCTGGAGAAACAGATATGTGAGCTTTCAGACAGAGAATTCAAAACAGATGTGTTAAGGAAACAAAAAATTTCAAAGGCAACACAGAGAAGGAATTCAGAATTTATAATTAAAATTAAAAAGAATCAAGTAGAAATTTTTGAGCTGGAAAATGCAATTGGCATACTGAAGAATGCATCATAGTCCTTTAGTAGCAGAATGCACCAAGCAGAAGAAATAATTAGTAAGCTTGGAGAAAGGCTATTTGAAAATACACAGAGAAGACAAAAGAAAAAGTAATGAGAAACAATGAAGCACACTTACAGAAGCTATAAAATAAACTCGAAAGGGCAAATCTAAAAGATATTGGCCTATAAGAAGAGGTAGAGGAAGATATAGGGTTAGAAAATTTATTCAAAAGCATAGTAACAGAGATCTTTCCAAACCCAGAAAAAGATATCAATATCCAAGTACAAGAAAATTATAGAACACCAAGAAGATATCTCAAAGCATTTAATAATCAAACTCCCAAAGGTCAAGAATAAAGAAAGGATTCTAAAAGCAGCAAGAGAAAAGAAACAAATGACACACAATGGAGCTTCAATACACCTGGCAGCAGGCTTTTCTGTGCAAACATTACAGGCCAGGAGAAAAAGGCATGACATGTTTAAACTGCCAAAAGGAAAAAAATAAAATTTTACCCTAGAATTGTATAACTGGCAAAAATGTCCTTCAGACACAAAGGAGAAATAAAGACTTTCCCAGACAAACAAAAGCTAAGGGATCTCATCAATACCAGAGCAGTCCTACAAGAAGTGCTAAAGAAAGTACATCAATCAGAAAGAAAAGTACATTGATGAGTAATAAATAATCACCTGAAGGTACAAAACTTACTGGTAATAGTAAGTACAGAGAAAAATAAAGAATACTATAACACTGTAATTGTGGTATATAAATTACTCTTATCCTAAGTAGAAAGACTTAAGGAAAAACCAGTCAAAAATAATGAATACAACTTTTCAAGACACAGTCAGAACAATAAGACACAAGTAGGAATAACAAAAAGGTAAAAAGCAGGGAGATGAGGTTAAGAAGAGTTTTTATTTTTTTCTTTTTGCTTGCTTACTTACTTGTTTGTTTATGCAAACAGTGTTAAGTTTTTATCAAGTTAAAATAATGGGCTATAAAATATTATTTTCAGGACTCGCAGTAACTTCAAACCAAATAATATACAATAGATACACAAAAATAAAAAGAAAGAAACTAAATAATATTACCAGAGAAAATCATCTTCATTAAAACAATGGAAGGAAGGAAAGAAAAAAGTAAGAGAAGGCCACAAAGCAACCAGAAAACACATAACAAAGTGGCATGAGTAAGTTCTTATTAACAATAATAGTATTCAATGTAAAAAACTAAATTCTCTAATCAAAAGACATACACTGGCTGAATAAATGAAAAAACAAGACCCATTGATCTATTGCCTACAAGAAACACACTTCACCTATGAAGACCCACATAGACTGAAAATAAAGAAATAGAAAAAGATAGTCCATGCCAATGGAAAGCAAAAATGGGCAGGAGTCACGGTATTTATATCAGACAAAATAAATTCCAAGACAAAAACTATAAGAGGAGACAAACAAGGTCACTATACAATGATAAAGGGGTCAGTTCAGTAAGAGGACATAAAAATTTTAATATATATCCACTCAACACTGAAGCACCCAGATATAAAAAGGAAATATTAGAGCCAAACAGAGAGGCCCCAATACATTAATAGCTGGGGACCTTGACACTCTACTTTCAGCATTGCACAGATCTTCCAGACAAAGAATCAACACAGAAACATCAGATTTGGTCTGCAATACAAACCAAATGGGACTAATACATGTTTACAAAACATTTCATCCAGTGGTTGCAGAATACACATTCTTTTCCTCAGCACATGGATCATTCTCAAGGACAGAGCATATGTCAGGTCACAAAACAAATCCTAAAACATTCAAAGCATTGAAATAATATCAAGCATCTTCTCTGCTTACAATGGAATAAAACTAGAGATCAGTAACAAGAGGAATTTTAGAAACGATGCAAATACATGGAAATTAAACAATATGCTCCTTAACGACCAGTGGATCAATGAAGAAATTATGAAGAAAATTGAAAACAGAGATATAGATCAATGGAACAGAACAGAGCCCTCAGAAACAATGCCGCATATCTACAACTATCTGATCTTTGACAAACCTGACAAAAACAAGCAATGGGGAAAGGATTCCCTATTTAATAAATGGTGCTGGGAAAACTGGCTAGCCATATGTAGAAAGCTGAAACTGGATCCCTTCCTTACACCTTATACAAAAATTAATTCAAGATGGATTAAAGACTTAAATGTTAGACCTAAAACCATAAAAACCCTACAAGAAAACCTAGGCATTACCATTCAGGACATAGGCATGGGCAAGGACTTCATGTCTAAAACACCAAAAGCAATGGCAACAAAAGCCAAAATTGACAAATGGGATCTAATGAAACTAAAGAGCTTCTGCACAGCAAAAGAAACTATCATCAGAGTGAACAGGCAACCTACAAAATGGGAGAAAATTTTCACAACCTACTCATCTGACAAAGGGCTAATATCTAGAATCTACAATGAACTCAAACAAATTTACAAGAAAGAAACAAACAACCCCATCAAAAAGTGGGCGAAGGACATGAACAGACACTTCTCAAAAGAAGACATTTATGCAGCCAAAAAACACATGAAAAAATGCTCACCATCACTGGCCATCAGAGAAATGCAAATCAAAACCACAATGAGATACCATCTCACACCAGTTAGAATGGCAATCATTAAAAAGTCAGGAAACAACAGGTGCTGGAGAGGATGTGGAGAAATAGGAACACTTTTACACTGTTGGTGGGACTGTAAACTAGTTCAACCATTGTGGAAGTCAGTGTGGCGATTCCTCAGGGATCTAGAACTAGAAATACCATTTGACCCAGCCATCCCATTACTGGGTATATACCCAAAGGACTATAAATCATGCTGCTATAAAGACACATGCACAAGTATGTTTATTGTGGCACTATTCACAATAGCAAAGACTTGGAACCAACCCAAATGTCCAACAATGATAGACTGGATTAAGAAAATGTGGCACATATACATCATGGAATACTATGCAGCCATAAAAAATGATGAGTTCATGTCCTTTGTAGGGACATGGATGAAATTGGAAATCATCATTCTCAGTAAACTATCGCAAGAACAAAAAACCAAACACCGCATCTTCTCACTTATAGGTGGGAATTGAACAATGAGAACACATGGACACAGGAAGGGGAACATCGCACTCTGGGGACTGTTGTGGGGTGGGGGGAGGGGGGAGGGATAGCTTTAGGAGATATACCTAATGCTAAATGACGAGTTAATGGGTGCAGCACACCAGCATGGCACATGTATACATATGTAACTAACCTGCACATTGTGCACATGTACCCTAAAACTTAAAGTATAATAACAATAAAATAAAATAAAATAAAAAAAGAAAAAAAAAATTTCTAGAGACAAATGATAATGGAAACATAACATACCAAAACCTATGGGAAACAGAAGCAGCACCACTAAGAGGGGAGTTTATAGGTATAAGGGACATCAAAAAAACAGGAAAAAATTTCAAATATACAATCTAACGATGCATCTTAAAGAACTAGAAAAGAAAGAGCATGCCAAACCCAAAATTAGTAGAAGAAAAGAAATAATAAACATCAGAGCAGAAAAGAAATTTAAATAAAAAAATACAAAAGATCAATAAAGCAAAAAGTCAATTTTTTGAAAAGTTAATATTGACAAAGCTTTAGCCAGATTATCTAAGAAAAAAACAAAAGATCCAAATAAATAAAATCAGAAATGAGAAGGGAGACATTACAAATGAAACTGTAGAAATTCAAGGTTCATTAGTGGCTAACATGAGCAACTAAATGCTGATTAATTGGAAAAATAGAGGAGAAATGTATAAATTCCTAGATACACACAACCTACCAGGACTGAACCAGGAAGAAATCCAAACCTGAACAGACCAATAACAGGTAATGACATCAAAGCCATAATAAAAAGCCTCTTAGTAAAGAAAAGTTTAGGACCTAATGGCTTCACTGCTGAATTCTACAAAGAATTTAAAGAAGAACTAATACCACTCCTACTCAAAGTACTCAGAAGAATAAAGGAGGAGGGAATACTTACAAAGTCATTATACATGGCCAGTATTACCATACTACCAAAACCAGACAAAGACAACTTAAAAAAAAAAAAAACTACAGGCCAATATTTACGATGAATACTGATGGAAAAGTCCTCAACAAAATACTAGCAAACTGAATTCAACAATACATTAGAAAGTTCATTCATCATGACCAAGTGGGATTTATCCCTGGGATAAAAGGATGATTCAACATATACAAATCAATCAATGTAATACATTATACCAAAGAATGAAGGATAAAAACCACATGATCATTTCAACTGATGCTTAAAACGATTTGACCAAATTCAACATTCTTCCATGATAAAAACCCTCAAAAAACTGAGGATAGAAGGAACATACATGAACATAATAAAAGCCATATATGACAGACACACAGCTAATATCATACTAAATGGGGAAAAACTGAAATCCTTTCCTCTAATATCTGGAAGATGACCAGGATGCCCACTGCTGTCACTGTAATACAACACAGTACTGGAAGTCCTAGCTAGAGTAATCAGACAAGAGAACGTGCATCCACATTAGAAAGGAAGAAGTCAAATTATCCATGTCTGCAGATGATATGATTTTGTATTTGGAAAAACCTAAAGGCTCCACAAGAACTGATAAACAAATTCAGAGAAGTTGCAGGATACAAAATCAATATACACAATTTAGTAGCATTTCAATATGCCAAAGAGTGAACAATCTGAAAAAGAAATTAAAAAGTAATCTCATTTACAATAGTCACACATAAAATTAAATATCTAAGAATAAATCAACCTATTTCTCCACATCCTCTCCAGCACCTGTTGTTTCCTGACTTTTTAATGATCGCCATTCTAACTGGTGTGAGATGGTATCTCATTGTGGTTTTGATTTGCATTTGTCTGATGGCCAGTGATGATGAGCATTTTTTCATGTGTCTTTTGGTGGCATAAATGTCTTCTTTTGAGAAGTGTCTGTTCATATCCTTCGCACTTTTACACTGTTGGTGGGACTGTAAACTAGTTCAACCATTGTGGAAGTCAGTGTGGCGATTCCTCAGGGATCTAGAACTAGAAATACCATTTGACCCAGCCATCCCATTACTGGGTATATACCCAAAGGATTATAAATCATGCTGCTATAAAGGCACATGCACACGTATGTTTATTGCAGCGCTATTCACAATAGCAAAGACTTGGAACCAACCCAAATGTCCAACAATGATAGACTGGATGAAGAAAATGTGGCACATATACACCATGGAATACTATGCAGCCATAAAAAATGATGAGCTCATGTCCTTTGTAGGGACATGGATGAAGCTGGAAACCATCATTCTCAGCAAACTATTGCAAGGACAAAAAACCAAACACCACATGTTCTCACTCATAGGTGGGAATTGAACAATGAGAACACATGGACACAGGAAGGGGAACATCACACACCAGGGCCTGTTGTGGGGTGGGGGGAGGGGGGAGGGATAGCTTTAGGAGATATACCTAATGTTAAATGATGAGTTAATGGGTGCAGCACGCCAACATGGCACATGTATTTATATGTAACTAAACTGCACGTTGTGCACATGTACCTTGAAACTTAAAGTATAATTAAAAAAAAGTATAAATCAACCAAAGAAGTGAAAGATCTCTAAAATGAAAACTACAAAACACTAATGAAATAAATTGAACAGGACACCAAAAAATGGGAAAATATTTTATGCTCATGAATTGGAAGAATCAATATTGTTCAAATGTCCATACTTCCCAAAGCAATCTACAGATTCAATGCAATCTCTATCAAAATGCTAATGAAATTCTTCACAGAAGTAAAATAAAACAGTCCTATAATTTATGTGGAACCACAAAAGACCCAACATTGCCAAAGCTACCCTAAGCCAAAAGAACAAAACTGGAAGAATCACATGACCTGACTTTAAATTATACTACAGAGCTATAGTAAAGAAAACAGCATGGTACTGGCATAAAAACAGACACTTGCACCAATGGAACAGCATAGCGAACCTGGAAACAAATCCATACACCTAAAGTGAACTCATTTTTGACAAAGATGCCAAGAACATACACTGGGTAAGATACAGTTTCCTCAATGAATGGTGCTGGGAAACTGGATATCCATATGCAGAAAAATGAAACTAGACCCCTATCTCTTGCCATATAAAAAATCAAATCAAAATGGATTAAAGACTTAAATGTAAGACCTCAAACTATGAAATGACTACAAAAAAACATTAGGGAAACTCTCCAGGACATTGGTTTGGGCAAAGATGTATTGAGCAATACTCCACTAACACAGGCAACCAAAACAAAAATGGACAAATAGGATCACATCAAGTTCAAAAGCTTCTACACAGCAAAGGAGACAATCAACAAAGTCAAGAGACAACCCACGGAATGGGAGAAGATATTTAAAACTACCCATCTTAGAAGGGATTAATAACCACAACATAAAATAATTTCAAACAACTCTATAGAAAAAAAATCTAATAATCCGATCTAATAAAAATAGGCAAGTAACTTGAATAGACATTTCTCAAAAGAAGACAATACAAATGGGAAGCAGGCATATAAAAAAGGTGCTCAATATCATCGATTATCAGAGAAATGCAAATCAAACCTACAATGAAATATCATCTTGCCCCAGTTAAAAGGGCTTGTATCCAAATGACAGGCAATAACAAATGCTGGCAAGGATGTGGAGAAAAGGGAACCCTAGTATGCTGCTTGTGGGCATGTAAATTAGTACAGCCACTATGAAGAACAGTTTGGAGGTTCCTCAAAAAACTAAAAACAGACAATCCCCCTGCTGTGTATGTTTCCAAATGAAAGAAAATCAGTATATCAAAGAGATATCTGCACTCCTATGTTTGTTACAGCACTGTTTACAATAGCTAAGATTGGAAGGAACCTAAGTGTCCATCAACAAATGAATGGATAAAGAAATGCACATGTAGACAATGGAGTACTCTTCAGCTATAAAAAGGAATATGATCCAGTTATTTGCAACAACATGGATAGAACTGGAGATCATTAAGTTAAGTGAAACAAGCCAGGCACAGAAAGACAAACATCACATGTTCCCACTTATTTGTGGGATCTAAAAATCAAAACAATGAAACTCATGGACATAGAGAAGAGAAGCATGGTTACCAAAGCTGGCAAGAGTAGTGGGGGCAGCGGGGGAGGTGGGGATTAATGGGTACAAAAAATAGAACAAATGAATAAGACTTACTATTTGATAACACAACAGGGTGACTCTAATCAATAATATCTTAATGGTACATTTTAAAATTTAAAAAGTGTAATTCAGTTTGCAACTCAATGGATAAATTTTTGAGGGAATGGATACTCCATTCTTCATGATGTGCTTATTTCACATTGTATGCCTGTATCAAAACATTTCATGTACCCCATAAATATATACACCTACTTTGTAACCACAAAAATTAAAAATTAAAGTAATGTAATTTATTTTCTCAAAAGCACAAGCATTTTGACAGTAGAGACTTTGACATGAATAATGCATACAATTCTTATGATAATTTAAATAAAAATATGTAGTTATTGTGTTATGAATGCTATCATGATAAGAGATTATAAAGAGAAGTTTAATAAAACCCCATAGGGACCAGGTTACAATATTAAATTATTCCAATATAGTATGTCTCCATGATAATGAAGAAAATAACCAAAAATCAAAACCCCAAACAATAAAATACTAAGTGTTGAACTTAATTATACTACAAGCTGGGGTTTCTGAAGATGCATATTAAAGAGCTTTGAAAAATGCCATATAGGCTCTCCTATTTTCATAGAAGAAATATTGATCATTTAGAAACAAATGTTGTCATTGTGCTTAAGTTTGCTTTTACCATCATTGTCACATTTATTAAGTGTTCTAATGTTCAAGGCACTGTTAGATGCTTTACAGGACATTGCCTATGACCCCAAAATAATGTACCATGGCACAGTCAATTCAATGTTTTGCCCATTTTAGCAATCAAACCGGATCAAAGCACATTCAGTCTGATGGATTGCCACGCAATCACTAAGATAGTCCAAACTACCAAATTGACAGTGTCATGGCCAATTGAGTAACTTTGTACAGACTTGGACGTAGAGAAGGCAAAGCCTCTGATCTTGAGGCAATTACCTTCTAAATCACTAAAACATTATTGTCATAACACCAAATCAAATTGATGATGCATAATGGCACTCAATATTTCTGGCTCTAGTGGAATGCAAGTATTGTCATATCTCATAAAGCATGGCCAGAAGTGGCCAAGTGTTGAAGGCCCAAACCACAATTAGTTGCTTCAGAAGTTTAAGCTACAATAGAAATAGCCTTACAGATATGCTTGTAGAAATAGTTTTGACCTAAGAGTCAGACAACTTGGAGTAAGGTCACTCTCAGTCATTCACTCAATAGATACATAGTGAGTGCTTACTATGTACCCAGGTACAGATCTTGCACAAGTCACTTAATCTCTCAATCCTTGTTTCATTGTATCTAGAACATATATAATAATTTCAATAATACCCATCTCACTGTACTATTGGAAGTATCATATGAGGCAATTTATGTGAAAGTTAATTAATGTTTTGCTTTCTGATTAGTTTTCAAACAATCAATTGATCAATAAAATTATGCAAATCTCCACTCCAAAAAACAACTGTTGTTAATATTGTGGTATACTTCCTTCCAGTGTTTTATTTACACTTTTACATGATAGCTTTCTGACCTTTCAAAATTTTTTAGATAATAAATACTCTGGAGGGCATTTTTCCCACCATTAAAAATTTGAAAAATGTGATTTTCATAACTAGAAAATATAGATCTACCATAATTTATTTCACCAAACCCTTGTTGTCAAATATTTAAACAGTGTAATTTTTTGCAGTTTGAATAATGCTGTTATGAACGACTCTGTATATAAATCATTGTCTCCAGTTCTTATTATTTCCTTAGGCTATATTCTTAGAATTGGAATATATAACCACTAGGTTAAGTGATATAAACCCTTTTGAAAATCTTGATACATACATATTTTCAGTTTACACTCTCACCTCAGTACCTCTGAGCACTAATATGAGACAAAAAAATCTAATTTGATAGGTCAAAAAATGACACCTAACTATTTCAATTTATATCTTGTCAACACTTCTAGTAAGGTGGAATGTAATTTCTCATGTTAACTGGTCACTTTTTTATTTCTGTGAATTATCTATTTGTATTTATTACCTACTTTTCTACGAGTGTTACAGGTTTTTTTCCTTAAATTGTATGAGATTTGTCTATGTTATAGATATTAACCCTTCATCTGTCTCTGTTGTATTCCTAATTTGTCTTTTGCCTTTTGAGTTAATTTATGCTGTTTTGATGTTCAGATATTTGTAATATTTTACATAGTGCACTCTATCAATCATTCTGTTTAGAATTTTTTCTTGGGTTTTATGCTAAAAGTTCCTATTCATTCTAAACTAACCTATGTTTAATTAATTTTTAAAATGTTAGATTCTTTTGGAATCTGTTTGAATGCAAATATGTGGTACAGGTGAAGATCTCACTAGATTTATCTTTTTGGCCAAATACGTGGCCAAATTTTCACTCTTGACTAACCTTACTAGTAGTTTATGATATTTCTTTTATCCTATGTTAAATTCTTGTCTATTATGACAAGAATCTGGTCTATCATGACAATGACTCTCTATTAGAGGGTCATTGGGTCATTTATTATAGTCTATTTAACTGTAGATTGTGGCATTATCATGCCACCATTTTAATTATTGTAATTTAATAAAGGGTTATATCATGTGGTAAGATAGATGACTCTCTATAAACTTATTTTTCAAAATTCCTTTAGGTATCCTTCCCTGTTTCTTCTTCAAGATTAACCTTAGAACAATTTTAGAGATTGTGTTAACTCTATAAATCTTATAAATCAATTTGTTTATTATACTAAATCTTCCTGCCAAAGAACATGGCAAATTTCTTTTCCTCAAATCATTTTTTTCTCTAAATGTATCTTAGTTAAGTATTGTCATATTTTTTCACTTATTTATTTTGCTTGGTCTATTCATAGGCATGCTATGCTTTTGACATTTTTGTGAATATGGGATTATTCCCACTAGAATTATTATCTATTTTTTGGCATACAGGAAAGATATTGATTTCTGTTTATATATTTTATAATGGACCTATTTACTAAAATATCTTATTCTCAATTTCATGGATTAGTAGGTGTATAATTACATTTCCTACAAATAATGCTACGTTTTCTCCTCTCTACCAGTTGTATTTCTTATCCTTGATATGATTCTTCTTTTAAGCAAATGAAAGACACTCATCACAAAAACCATTTTTAGTTCCATGAGCACATACTTCCCCTGACCCTTTAATTTCCCCACCCAAAGACTTAGTTTTGTCTTTTCTTCAAAATAAAACTTTACCATCAGATATAATTTATCTTTTCCCAGCCTTTTCATGATCCTGTAATCGTATATTCTCAGCATAAGGTTCAGTTACCTTTCCAATTATAATTCCAATATCTCAGTACCTGGGCTTTAGAAATCTGTAGGTTATTCACTCAACTATTGTAGGTATAAAAATCTACCTCTCCTCACACTGTACACCCTAGAATGTAGAGGGAAAGAGTAAATTCTTGGTTTGTGTCTGTGTGTATGTCTGTATTGGAAGACCAAGGGTAGGGAGATTCAGGAAATGGAATAATGAAACTTTGCCCTTCTCTCTAGTTCCTTTTTCTCAGATTCTCAAGTTATATAACAACTCCCATTTCCTGTAGTCCACAAATCAACTTTCCTTCTCATAACCCTGTACTGAAACACCACTCTGCACACACACACACACACAAATCACCAAATGCTCACGGCAAATCTTCCTAGACTCTTCCAAAAGGTCAGAAATCTCACTCTTTGTATTTACCACTGAATGTACAACATATAGCAAAGTCCCTGTTACAAAGTACATACTATGTAACATTTATTCCATATTTTTAGATAAACTAAATCATTCCACTTCTCCTACAGCTACTATTTGGTAATGATTGATGATCCTGTTGATTAAATTGTTATGACCCCATAATCCTGAGATCTATCTAGGAAGTAATGTTGAAGCACCTAATGCAGTCAGTAATACAGTCACTCCATTCATTCAATAAATACTAACTGAGAACCTATAATATGTGAAGCCCTCTGCTAAGTATCAAAGATAAAGCATTAAACAAGAGATGCACAGTGCTTTCCCTTATGGAGTTGACATTATAGTGAATGGAACACGCAGAAACAAGAAAGCATTGTTAGAGTGTTTAACTAAAATTGTTGTAAAGTTGTGAGGGATATGAAAAAGAGGGCTAAATTGGGGAATAAGAGGGAAAAATACTTGAAATTGGGTGGTTTAAGAAGTCATGCTAAGATTTGGGGTAGAGGATTTTGGCTGATGATTGCATACATGCAGTGAGGGTTGTTAGTACAAATGTTCTAAAGCAGGCAAAAACTTGGCATTTTTCATGAACAAAAAGAAGGCTACTGTGACCAGAATATAGTCAGTAAGTGGGATCATGGTGGATAGGTCAGAGAGGCAGTCGGGGCCAGATTGTGGAGGTTCTTTTAAGCCACATTAAAGACTACAACATCTATTATAAGTTCAATGTGAAGCCATTGGAGAGTTTTAAAGCAGAGGCATGGTGCAATTTCATTAAAAATTTCAAGAAGAATTCTCTGACTTCTCTACATAGAATAAACTACAGGTGTATAAAAGTTGAAGCAGAGGGACCATTAGATGGCTGTCAGAATAGTACAGGTAGGAGATGTTATTGCTCTGAATTTGTATGGTGATGTGTAAATGTAAATAGTTGGGTAGAAATGGACTGAAAGTATATTCTGAAAGAAGACTATATTGTACTTAGGGAAACATTATATATGTGTGAAGGGAATGGAGCAATCAAAAACAGTCTAGTGTCTGCCTTGTGCAACTGGGTAGACACAGATTTATTGGTTGGAGAGATAAGCTTAAAGGGAAAAAGAAGAATTATATTTTGGACAAAGCAAATTTGAAATATTTGCAAGATGTGCAAGTGGAAATGTCAATAGGCAGTTGACTATATGCTGGAACTCAGACATTATATCTGAGTAGAGTATATGCATCCAGCACAATATTTAAATAATAAATAAGAATTAGTAAGATCAACTTATGGGAGAATATGGATAGAAAAAGGACCCAGGGCAATTCCCTAAGTTATTCTGACACTTAGAGGTTGGGTAGAGGAGTATAATACAGCAAAAAGACTGAATATAAGATTTAGAATATGATCATGACAAAAGGCAACTGCAAATGAAGGTAGGAAAAGTTTACTGAGCATGAGTAGAGATCAAGGAACAGAGTTGCCAAGGCATTAAATTATTTAATTATTCACAAATATGGTTAAATCACAAGGAATGGTAGAAGCACTAGGGATAAAAAGGAAGAAAGTGGGCAGGTTTCTACAAGTATCCATTAATTAGGGAGTTTGATAAGGACATCAACAGATGATAATGACAAAAAGAATGAGTAGGTGACAGCCCAATGGCATGAAAATAAAAAGAATACAGAGGGTATCAAGCAGGAGGAAGGATAAGTAATGGTCTAGAAATGGGAATGGGCCTCAAAGAATACACTTACTGTGTGCTGTCCCTGTGCTTTATACTGCATAATAACAGTTTCTGTCCATTTAAGAATACTGAAGAGAAGATCTAGGTTTCAGTTAAAACAAGGAAGTGAAAGAAATGTTTCAAGATAAGAGGAAATTTTTGCTCATAAAAAGGGGAGTATCAGTTTTCACTACTGCCTAACAAAACATCCCAAAACTTAATAGCTTAAAATAATTATTTTATATATTTATGATGCTGTAGGATGGACTCAGTTAAGCAATTGTGCTAGTCTCTACCACAGCCATTCACATGGCTGAAATTCTCTGTTGGCTCAACTGGGGATGAATCATTCAATGTGGTAGTTGATACAATGTGGAAAAGTGGACCACTTTTTCCATATGGTCTCTCATCATCAAAGAGACCATCCCCTAAATACTTGAGGAGAGGGATACCCCATTCTCCATGATATGATTATTTCACATTGCATGTCTGTATCAAAACATCTCATGTACTCCATAAATATATACACCTACTGTGTAGCCACAAAAATTAAAAATAAAAATATTTTGAAAAAATGTAGACCATACCATCTTTAAATAAATAAAAAGATTATTAACACAAAAGTCTCAGGCAGAACTATGGTGAGAGGAGAAACTCATGGATAATCGGGTCCTACCCATATCTATTAAAGAAATTGAATCAATAATGAGTAATTTTCCAAAGAGAAAGCACCAAACACAGACAGACAGTTCCACTAGGGAATTCTATCAAACCCCTAAGGAAAACAATGAAACCAATTCTGTACAATCTCCTCCAGAAAATGGAAGCACAGTGAATATTTCCTAAATCATTCTATGAGGCCATTACTACTCTGGTTAATACTGATAAAAAATATCACAAGTAAGGAAAATTACAGACCAATATCTCTCATGAACACATAGATGCAAAAATTCTCAATAAATTTTAGCAAATTAAATCCACAAACATACAAAAATAATTATACACTATGGCAAAGTGAGATTTATTCCACGTGTACAAGGCTGGTTCCTCACTTGAATTTCAAATAATGTAATCCATCACATCAACATGATATGAAAGAAAAATAATACAATTCTATCAGTAGATTTTAAAAAGCATGTGACAAAAACTAACACCCATTTATGATTAAAAACTCTCAGCACACTAGAAATAGAGGTGGATTTCCTCAACTTAATTAAAAAGTCTACAAGAAACATACAACTAACATTATACATAATGGTGAAAAACTACATGCTTTCTCATTAAGATCAGGAACAAAGCAGGAACATTGTTTTGGAAGTCCTAGCTAATGTAATAAGATGAGAAAAGTAAATGGAAGATATACAGAGTGAGAAGGAAGAAATAAAACTGTTTGTTCACAGATGGCTTGTCTGTGTAGAAAATCCCAAAGAAGCTATTTTAAAATGCACAGAATTAATAAAGGATTATAGTAAAGTTTCAGGATACATGGCTAATATATAAATTAAGTCAATTGCTTTCTTATATACTAGCAATGAACAATTGGAATTTCACATTAAAAACACATTACCATTTACATTAGCATCCAAAATTGAAGTACTTAGGAATAAATCTAACAAAATATATCCAAAATTTCTAAGGAAAACTACAAATTCTGTTAAAAGAAATCAAAGAAGATTTAAATGCATGGAGAGATTTTTATGTTCATGGATGAAAAGACTCAATACTATTAAAATATTAATTATTCCCTATATGATCTATTGATTCAAGGTGATCCTGAACAAAATCTCAGTCATTTATTTTGTCAATATCAACAAACTGATTCTAAAATTTATATGGAAGCCACAAAACCCAGATAGCCAACACAATACTGAAGAAGAACAAAATTAAAGAATTGACACTATCTAACTTCAAGACTTACTATAAAGCTACAATAATCAAGAGAATGTGGTATTGGTGAAGTAATAGACAAATAAACAGAAGAAAACAGAAAGCCCAGAAATAGGTTTCCACAAATACAGACAACTGATCTTTAACAAAGAAGAAAAGGCAATTCAATGGAGAAAACAAATGTCTTTTCCCAGCCTTTTTTTTTTTTTAATTAGAGACAGGGTCTCACTATGTTGCCCAGGCTGGTCTTGAACTCCTGACCTCAAGTGATCCTCCCACATCAGCATCTCAAAGTGCTGGAATTGCAGGCATAAGCCACTGTGCCCAGTCAGAAATAATAGTCTTTTCAAGAAACGATGCTGCTTAGTTGTTTTGTTGTTGTCGTCGTTGTTGTTGCTGTTTGTCTTTCCAAGATGGCAGATTAGAAGCATTGCTAGCATACCGCTCCCAATTGGAAGGACAAAATAGCCTGTAGAGATTCACACTGTGAACTTTTTTTCCAAGAAGCAATGCAATAACTGAACAAGAAAACTGAAAAAAATCTACAGATCCTTTGAAAGAAGCAGGAGGCTGCAGTCTACACTGTAAGTCAGGCAAAGGGTTGCTAGTACCCAGAGTGTGAGAGGAGAATTTGCCTCTGTGATACACACCCCAACCAGCCCCTGAAAGTCCAGGCCAAGGGGGAAGGCTCGAACCCAACCCAGTGCAGGAACCGACTTGAGGGTCATGGAAGGTAAAAATAGGAGAAGCAATTGGAAGACCATTATATGCACTCCCAAATTCCCAAATCCCAGTGCGGATGGAGGGCAGCCATTCCTTACTGTTCCTCACTGTTCCTCACAGGGAACACAGAGAGAAGTCAAAAAGTTCGCATGGTGATTGCAGGTTGAAAGAAGCTCCCAGTGAGTTTTCACGATATAACCTCGGATGGGAACGAATTCCCTTGGCCAGGGTTGGGGCAGGAGAGAGTAAAAAGCGGGCGGTGAGTGCAGGAGCCACGGGTAATATCACAAAACAGGGTGCTATAACACCCCCAGAAGATCACACTAGCTCTCCAACAATGGACTCAAAGCAAGATAAAATCTTTGACATAGCAGGTAAGGAAGTCAAAAGGTTGATTATTAATCTTCTTGAGGAGATATCAGAGAAAGGTGAAAACCATCATAAAGAAATTTAAACAGCAGTTCAGTATATGAATGGAACATCTTCTTGAGAGATAGATATCATCAAGAAAAAACAATCGGAACATCTGGAAATAAAAGACACATTGAGGGAATTACAAAATGTTGTGGAGAGTTTTAACAATAGAATGAAACAAGTAGAATAAACAATTTCAGAGCTTGAAGACAAGGCTATTGAATTAACCCAATTGGACAAAAAATTTAAAAAAAAATCAAAAGAAATAAACAGTCTCCAAGAAATATGGGATTATGTAAAACAGACAAACCCAAGAATAATTGTGTTCCTGAGAGAGAAGAGAAAATAATAAGTCTGGAAAACATATTTGAAAGAATAATTGAGAAAAAATTTCCCTGGCCTGGCTATAAATCTAGATAACCAAATCCAAGAAACTCAAAGAACTCCTGGGAAATAAATTGTGAAAAGATCTTCACCAAGGCACAGCACATAGTCATCAGACTATCTAAAGTTGAGATGAAGAAAAAAATTCTAAGAGCAGTAAGAAAAAAAAGTAAATAAAGGAAAACCTAATAGACTAACAGCAGACTTCTCAGCACAACCCTTACAAGCCAGAAGGGATTGGGGTTCTATCTTCAGCCTCCTTAAACAGAACAACTGTCAGCCAAAAATTTTGTGTCCTGCAAAATAAAGTTCCATAAATGAAGGAGAAATAAAGACATTTTCAGACAAACAAATGCTTAAGGAATTTTTCACTACTAAACCAGCACTACAAGAAATGCTGAAAGGAGTTCTAAACTTTGAAACAGAAGCCTGATATGCACCAAAATTGAATTTCTTTAGAGCTTAAAAATGACAGGGCCTATAAAACAATAATAGAACAAAAAAGCTACTTAGATAACAATTAACATGATGAAGATAATAGTATCTCACATCTCAATATTAATGTTGAACATAAATGGCCTAAACCACCCACTTAATGGCAGAGTGTATAAATATAAAAAAATCACAATCCAAATACCTTCTGTCTTAAGAGACACATCTAACACAGAAGGACTCATACAAACTCAAGGTAAAAGGGTGAGAAAAGGTATTCCATGCACATGGAAACCAAGAGTGAGCAGGGGTAGCTATTCTTATATCAGAAAAGCAGACTTCAAAGCAGCAATCGAAAAAAAAAATTCCAGTATATAATGATAAAAGGATCAATTCAACAAGAAGATAATTTATATGCACCAAACACTTGAGCTCCCAGCTTCTCAAAACCATTATTGCTAGACCTAAGAAATGAGATAGACAGCAACAAAATAATAGTGGGAGAATTCAATACAGCACTGATAGTACTAGAGAGATCTTCAAGATAGAAAGTAAAAAGAGAAACAATGGACTTAAATGACACATGATAATAGACAGACAATGAATATTTATAGACTATGCTAACCAAAATCTTCAGCATATACATTCTTCTCATCAGTGCATGTAACATTCTCTAAGAGAGACCATATGATAGGCCACACAACAAGAATCAGTAAATTTTAAAAATTAAAATCATATCAAGTATTTTGTCATACTATACCAGAATAAAACAGGAAATCAACTTCAAAAGGAAGCCTCAAAACTATGCAAATACATGGAAATTAAAGAATATTCTCTGGAATGATATCTGGATTAACCATGAAATCAAATAGAAATTTAAGAATTATTTTATTTATTATTTTAATTAAACAGTAATAATGACACAAGTTATCAGAACCCCTGAGATACAGCAAAAGCAGTGCCGAGGCAAGTTTTTAGCACTAAATGCCTACATCAAAAAGTCTGAAAGAACAAAAAGTGACAATGTAATGTCACACCTTGAGACACTGGAGAAATAAAACCAAACTAAACCCAAAGCTAGAAGAAGAAAGGAAGTAACAAAGATAAGAGCAGAACTAAATGAAATTCAAACAAAAAACAATATGAAAAATCAATGTAACAAAAAGCTGAGATTTTTTTGTAAAAACAAACAAAATGAAGAGACCATTAGCTAGACTAACCAAGAAAAGAAGAGACAAGACCCAAATAAGCTCAATTAGAAATGAAGGTGGAGACATTACAACCAACACCACAGAAAAACAAAAGATCATTCAAGACTATTATGAACAACGAACATCTTTTATCGAGACTACCACAAACCAGAAAACCTAGAGAAAATGAATGAATTTCTGGAAACATAAAACCCTTATAGATTAAATCCAGAAAAAAATAGAAACCTTGAACAGAGCCACACGGTGTGGGGGAGCCCCCTCCCCCAAGCCAAAGGAGGCAGTGAGTGAGTGTGCCACCCAGCCAGGGAAACTGTGCTTTTTCCACGGAACAATGCAGTCCATGGATTGGAAGATCCTACCTGCGAACCCACACCATAGGGCCTAGCGTCCCAACCCTGGAATGTGCAGACTCTTAACAGTCTCTCAGTTGGAATCTGCTTAAGCCCACCAAACTCCCGAGGGGAAGGGCTACCAGCACCATGGCTGGCTGTGGCTGCCATATGCAGCCGTATAGGGTGTCTGACAACTCTATTGATGTCTAATGATGTCTAAGCTGTTATAGCTCCTTGGGGGAGTGGCAGCAGCCAGCACTGGAACTCACAACTGCCTAACACAATAAGCTCCCTGGGTTGGGGAAGGGTGGCACCCATCTCTATAGCCCCAGGCTGTGCTTTTCCCCTGCTGGAGCCAGGGAAGCTGGATGGATTGGTCCCAAGACTTGCCCTTCACAGCCCAACACACCAGCTGTGGCAGTCTGCAGCCAGAGTGCCTCTTCAGGACTAACCCTGACCCATCCTTCCTCATTGGGTGAGGGCTTCCCTGCAGGAACTCCAATAACTCGAACCAGAGGCTTAGAGACAGAACCTGGATCCCCTTGGGCCTGAGCCCCTAGGGGGAGGGGTGGCCACAGTCTCTGCAGACCAGCAGACTTAGCCTTTCCTCCTGGTAGTTCTGAGGAATCTGGGTAGCTCAGACAAGTGGGTTTTCCCCCAGCGAGGCACACCCCCTCCACTAAGAGACAAAGTGCTTCATTAAACAGGTCCTGTTTCTGTGCCAACAAACTGGGTGAGACCCTCCAACAAGAGTTGTCAGACACCTTATATGGGAGTGATCCTACTAGCATCAGGTTGGTGCTCCTCGAGGTCAGAGGTCCCAGAAGAAGGAGCAGGCACCCATCTTTGCTGTACTCCAGCCACCTTGAGTGACATCTCCAGGCACAGGAGCAAATCAGATGAATAAGGCTTGAAGTGAACCCACAGCAAACTTCAGCAGCCCTATAGAAGGGGGACCTGACCATTGAAAGAAAAGCAAACAAGCAGAAAGCAACAACAACAGCATCTTCAACAACAACAACAACAAAACCCCCACAAAAACTCCATGCAAGGGCCAGCAGCCTCAAAGACTGAATCTAGACTAACTCATGAAGATGAGAAAGGATCAATGAAAAATGCTGAAAACCCAAAAGGCCAGAGTGCCTTTTCTCCAGATGATCACAATGTCTCTCCATCAAGGGCACAGAACTGGATGTAGGATCAGATGGATGAATTGACAGAAGTAGGCTTCAAAAGATGGGTAACAAAAAACTACATTGAGCTAAAGGACATGTTTTAACCCAATGCAAAGAAGTTAAGAACCTTGATAAAAGGTTAGAGGAATTGCTAAAAACCAGTTTAGAGAGGAATATAAACAACCTGATGGAGCTGAAAAACATAGCACGAGGACTTCGTGAAGCACACACAAGTACCAATAGCCGAATCAACCAAGCAGAAAGGATATCAGCGTTTGAAGACCACCTTGCTGAAATAAGGCATGCAGACAAGACTAGAGAAAAAAGAATGAAAATGAATGAACAAAGCCTCCAAGAAATATGGGACTTCATAAAAAGACCAAACCTATGATTGATTGGAGTAGTAGGAGGAGATGGGGAGAATGGAAACAAGCTGAAAAACACACTTCAGGATATTATCCAGGAGAACTTCCCCAACCTAGCAAGACAAGCCAACATGAAAATTCAGGAAATATAGAGAACACCATTAAAATACTCCACAAGATCAACCCAAAGACGAATAATCATCAGATTATCCAAGGTCAAAATGAAGGAAAAATTGTTAAGGGCAGCCAGAGAGAAAGGCCAGGTCACCTACAAAGAGAAGCCCACCAGACTAACAGTGGACCTCTCACCAGAAACTCTACAAGCCAGAAGAGATTTGGGGCCAATATTCAACATTCTTAAAGAAAAAATTTTCAACCCGGAATTTCATATCCAGCCAAACTAAGCTTCATAAGCAAAGGGGAAATAAAATCCTTTCCAGACAAGCAAATGCTGAGGGATTTCATTACCACCAGGCCTGCCCTGTGAGAGCTCCTGAAAGAAACACTAAATATGGAAAGGAAAAGCCAGTACCAGCCATTGAAAAAACACACCAAAATATAAAGACCAATGACACTACGAAGAAACTGAATCAACTAGTGTGCAAAATAACCAAATAGCAGCTTGATGACAGGATCAAATTCACACATAACAATACTAACCTTAAATGTAAATGGCCTAAATTCTCCAATTAAAAGACACAGATGGGCAACTTGGATAAAGAGTCAAGACCCATCGGTGAGCTGTATTCAGGAGACCCATCTCATGTGCAAAAACGCACATAGGCTCAAAATAAAGGAATGGAGGAAAATGTGTCAAGCAAATAGAAAGAAAAAAAAAGGAGGGGTTGCAATGCTAGTCTCTGACGATGCAGACTTTAAACCAACAAAGATGAAAAAAGACATAGAAGCATTACATAATGGTAAAGCATTACATAATGGTAAAGGGATCAATTCAAAAAGAAGAGCTAACTATTCTAAATATATATGCACCCAATACAGGAGCGCCCAGATTCATAAAACAAGTTCTTAGAGACCTACAAAGAGACTTAGACTCCCATACAATAATAGTGGGAGGCTTTATCACCCCACTGTCACTATTAGACAGATCAACAAGATAGAAAATTAAGAATAATATTCAGGACTTGAACTCAGCTCTGGATCAAGTGGACCTAGTAGACATCTATAGAACTCTCTACCCCAAATCAACAGAATATACATTCTTCTCAGTGCTACATGGCACTTATTCTAAAATCGACCACATAATTGGAAGTAAAACACTCCTCAGCAAATGCAAAAGAACTTACGTCATAACAAACGGTCTCTCAGACCACAGTGCAACCAAATTAGAACTCAGGATTGAGAAACTCACTCAAAACCACACGATTACATGGAAATTGAACAAGGTTCTCCTGAATAACTCCTGGATAAATAATGAATTTAAGGCAGAAATCAAGAAGTTCTTTGAAACTAATGAGAACAAAGAGACAACATACAAGAATCTCTGGAAGATAGCCAAAGCAGTGTTAAAGGGAAATTTATATCACTAAATGCACACATCAGAAAGCTTGAAACATCTCAAATCAATACCCTAACATCACAATTTAAAAAGCTAGAGAGTTGAGAACCAAATCAATCCAAAAGCTAGCAGAAGACAAGAAATAACTAAAATCAGAGAAGAATTGAAGGAGATAGAGAAACAAAAAACCCTCTAAAACATCAATGAATTCGAACGCTGGTTTTTTGAAAAAATTAACGAAATAGATAGACCACTAGCTAGACTAATAAAGAATAGAGGGAAGAATCAAATAGACACAATAAAAAATGATAAAGGAGATATCACCACTGACCCCACAGAAATACAAACTACCATCAGAGAATAATATAAACACCTCCATGCAAATAGACTAGAAAATCTAGAAGAAATGGATAAATTCCTGGATGCATACACTCTCCGAAGATTAACCAGGAAGAAGTCAAATCCCTGAATAGACCAATAACAAGTTTGGAAATTGAGGCAGTAATTAATATCTTACTAACGAAGAAAAGCCCAGGACTAGAAGAATTCACAGCTGAATTCTATGAGGAATTGGTACCATCCCTTTTGAGACTATTCCAAACAATTGAAAAGGAGGGACTCCTCCCTAACTCATTTTATGAAGCCAGAATCATCCTGATACCAAAACCAGAAAGACACACACACACAAAACTTTCAGGCCAATATTCCTGATGAATATGGATGTGAAAATCCTCAATAAAATACTGGCAAGCCGAATCCAGCAGCACATCAAAAAACTTACCCACCATGATTAAGTCAGCTTCATCCCTGGGATGTAAGGCTGGTTCAACATATGTGAATCAATAAACATAATCCATCACATAAACAGAACCAAAGACAAAAACTACACGATGATCTCAATAGATGCAGAAAAGGCCTTTGATAAAATTCAACATCCCTTCATGTTGAAAACTCTCAATAAACTAGGTATTGATGGAACATATCTCAAAATAATAAGAGCTATTTATGACAAACCCACAGCCAATATCATATTGAATGGGCAAAAGCAGGAAGCATTCCCTTTGAAAACTGACACAAGATGAGGATGCCCTCTCTCACCACTCTTATACAACATAGTATTGGAAGTTCTGGCCAGAGCAATCAGACAAGATAAGGAAATAAAGGACATTCAAATAGGAAGACAGGAAGTCAAACTGTCTCTGTTTGCAGATGACATGATTTCATATTTAGAAAAAACCATCATCTCATCCCCCAAACTCCTAAAACTGATAAGCAACTACAGCAAAGTCTCAGGATACAAAATCAATGTGCAAAAATCACAGGCATTCCTTTACACCAACAATAGACAAGCAGAAAGCCAAATCATGAATGAACTCACATTCACAATCGCTACAAAGAGAATAAAATACCTAGGAATATGGCTAACAAGGAATGTGAAGGACCTCTTTAAGGAGAACTGCAAATCACTGCTCAAGGAAAAAAGAGAGAATGCAAACAAATGGAAAAACATTCCGTCATCATGGATAGGAAGAACCAATATCATGAAAATGGCCATACTGCCCAAAATAATTTATAGATTCAATGCTATTCCTGTCAAACTACCATTGACATTCTTCACAGAATTAGAAAAAAACTATTTTAAATTTCATATGGAATCAAAGAAGACACCATATAGCCAAGACAATCCTAAGCAAAAAGAACAAAGCTGGAGGCATCATGCTACCTGACCTCAAACTATACTACAAGGCTACAATAACCATAACAGCATGGTACTGGTACCAGAACAAACATATACACCAATGGAGGAGAACAGAGACCTCTGAAATAACACCACACATCTACAACCATCTGATCTTCGACAAACCTGCCAAAAACAAGCAATGGGGAAAGGATCTCCTATTCACTAAATGGTGCTGGGAAAACTGGCTAGCCATATGCAGGAAATTGAAACTGGACCCCTTCCTTACACCTTATGAGAAAATTAACTCGAGATGGATTAAAGACTTAAATGTAAAACCCAAAACCATAAAAACCCAAGAAGAAAACCTAGTCAATACCAATCTGTACATAGGCACGGGCAAAGATTTCACGACAAAAATGCCAAAAGCAATTGCAACAAAAGCCAAAATTGACAAATGGGATCTAATTAAACTAAAGAGCTTCTGCACAGCAAAAGGAACTATCATCAGAGTGAACAGGCAACCTACGGAATGGTAGAAAATTTTTGCAATTGACCCATCTGACAAAGGTCTAATGTCTAGAATTTACAAAGAACATAAACAAATTTACAAGAAAAAAACAACCCCATCAAAAAGTTGGCAAAGGATATGAACAGACACTTCTCAAAAGAAGACATTTATGCAGCCAACAAACATATGAAAAAAAGTCACATCACTGTTTGTCAGAAAAATGCAAATCAAAACCACAACGGGATACCATCTCATGCCAGTCACAATGGTGATTATTAAAAAGTCAGAAAACAATAGATGCTGGCAAGGCCATGGAGAAATAGGAATGCTTTTACACTGTTGATGGGAATGTAAATTAATTCAACCTTGTGGAAGACAGTACAGTGATTCCTCAAGGATCTAGAACCAGAAATACCATTTGACCCAGCAATCCCATTACTGGGTATATACTCAAAGGAATATAAATCATTCTACTGTAAAGACACATGCACACATATGTTTATTGCAACACTATTTACAATAGCAAAGGCATGGAAACAACCCAAATGCCCATCAATGATAGACTGGATAAACAAAATGTGGTACATATACACTGTGGAATACTATGCAGCCATAAAAAGGAATAAGATCATGTCCTTTGCAGGGACATGGAAGACGCTGGAAGCCATCATCCTCAGCAAACTAACACAAGAACAGAAAACCAAATACTGCATGTTCTCGCTCATAAGTGGGAGTAGAACAATGAGAACACACATGGACACAGAGAGGGGAACAACACACACTGGAGGTGTGGGTTGAGGGAAGGGAACTTAGAAGATGGGTTGGTAGGTGCAGCAAACCACCATGGCACACGTATACCTATGTAACAAACCTGCACATTCTGCACATGTATCACATTTTTTTAGAAGAAATAAAAAAAATTATATAAGACAACACTGGAAAAACTCTTCTAGACATTTGCCTAGGAAAAGAATTTATGATTAAGACTCCAAAAGCAAGTGCAACAAAAATAGAAATAAATGGGACCTAATTAAACTAAAAAGCTTCTGCACAGCAAAACAAGTAATTGACAGAGTAAAAAGATAACCCATAGAGTGGGAGAAAATATTTGCAAACTATATATCCAGCAAAGGACTAGTATCCAGAATCTATAAGGAACTCAAACAAATCACCAAGAAAAAAACAATTAATCACATTAAAAAATGGGCAAAAGGACATGAATAGACATTTCTTAAAAGTACATCAACAAATGGCCAACAAACATAAGAAAAAAATGGTCAACATCAGTAATCATCAGGGAATTGCAAATTAAAACCAGAATGAGATACCACCTTACTTCTGCAAGAATGTCCATTATTAAAAATAAAAAAAAATTGATGTTGGCCTGAAGGTGGGGAAAAGGAAATGCTTATACACTGCTGGCAGGAATGTAAATTAGTATAACCTCTTTGGAAAACAGTATGGAGATTCCTGAAAGAGCTAAAAGTGGATCTACCGTTAGATCCAGCAATCCCACTACTGCGTATCTACCTAAAGGAAAAGACACACGCACACGTATGTTTATAGCAGCACAATCTACAATGGCAAGGATATGGCACCAAACTAAATGCCCATCAACTAATGAGTGGATAAATAAAATGTAGTTATATACACCATGGAATACTACTCAGCCAATAAAAGGAACAAAATAATGTCTTCTGCAGCAATTTGGATGGAGCTGGAGGCCATTATTCTAAGTGAAGTAACACAGGAGTGGAAAACCAAAAACCATATATTCTCATTTACAAGTGGGAGCTAAGCTATGAGTAAGCAAAGGCATATAGAGTGATCTAATGGAATTTAGAGTCTCAGAAGGGAGAGGGTGGGAGGTGGTCCAGGGATTAAAAAAACATACATTAGGTACAATGTACACTACTCAGGTGACAGGTGTGCTAAAAATCTCAGAATTTACTACTATACAATTCATCCACGTAACCAAAAACTACATGTGCCAAAAAACTACTGAAAGTTTTTTAAAAAAGATTTCTCCACTTAAAAAAAAAATGATTCTGAAACAATGGTATATCTACATGCAAAAAAATAACCTAGACACAGACATCACACCTTTCACACACACACACACACAAAACCCAAAATAAATAATAAGCCTACATGTAAATTGTAAAACTATAAAGCTCCTAGAAGATAACAGAAGAAAATCTAGGTGACTTTGGTTTGGCTATAACTTTTTAGATAAAACACCTTAAAACATCATGAAAGAAAAAAACTGACAAATGGACTTCATTAAAATTAAAGATATGTGCTCTGCAAAAGACACTGTTAAGAGAATGAACTCATGCCTGTAATCCCAGCACTTTGGGAGGCTGAACCAGGCTGATCACTTGAGCGCAGGAGTTTGATATCAGACTGGGCAACATGCCAAAACTCCATCTCTACACAAAATATAAAAAAATTTGCCAGGCGTGGTGGCATGCCCCTGTGGTCACAGCTAGTCGGGAGGTGAGGCAGGAGAATCGATTGAGCCTGGGAGATTGAGGCTGTAGTGACCCATGATAGCCACTGCACTCCAACATGGGCAATAGAAGGAGACCTTGTCTCAAAAAAAAAAAAAAAAAATGAGAGAGTGAGAGAGAGAGAGAGAGAGAGAATGAAAAGACAATCAACCAACTGAAGAAAATATTTGCAAAACACATTGATAAAGAACTTATATCCGAAATGTACAAAGAACACTTAAAACTCAGCAATAAGAAAACAACCCAATTAAAAAGTGGACAAAAGATTTAAACAGATACTTCCCTAAATAAGACAATATGAATAAACAAATGAATGCATGCTCAATATCATATGACATTAGAGAATTGTAAATTAAAGCAATGACATTATCACTACACATCTATTAGAATGGTGAAAATCCAAAAAGCAGACAATACCAAATGCTAGTGGAGATGTGGATCAACAGATACTCTTATTCATTGCTGGTTGGTGTGTGAAAGCTAAACCAACTTCATCTTGGCAGCTAATCTGTCATGTTGGTTTCTGATTAACTCCTGTTCCAGGAAGGCCTCTAAGATTTCCAGTTTATTGTTCCTTGTGTAAGAGCAGGTACTTATCGTAAATCCTGCCCTTAGGTCAGACAATCTTGATGTTATCATACTGCAATTGTGCTACACATTCATTCTCAACCATCCCTCCTGATGATATATAAGCCCTGGGTATGGAGGGTAATTGCAGTGATCCACTATCTTGTCTTGCCTCCACCCAAGACACAGACATGACTTCTGTTTGTAAGTTCTCATTAAATGTTTCTTTCTAAGAAACTAGGTTTATCAGGCCCTTTCTTCATTCTCTCAGCTTCCTTGGACTTTGGGGTAGATTTGCAAGGATGTGGCCACCACGAAACCCAGTGAGAATGCACAAATGATACAGCCACTTTGGAAGATAATTTGGCAGTTTCTTACAAGCCTAAATATAGTCTTACCAAATGATCCAGTAATCACATTCTTAGGTAATTAGCCAATTGAGTTGAAAATGTATGGCCATGCAAAAACCTGCAAACAAGTATTTATAGCAGCAGCTTTATTTATAATTGCCAAAAACTGGAAAGAGCCAAGATGCCCTTCAAAAACTGAATGGATAAACTGTGCTGTAATGAAACATTATTTAGTGATAAAAAGAAATGAAGCATCAACCTATGAAAAGACATGCATATTACTAAATGCATATTGCCAGGTGAAAGAAGACAATGTGTAAAGGCTACCTACTATATTATTTTCATATAACATCCTGGAATAGACAAAACTATACAGACGGTAAAAAAGGTCAGTTGTTGGCAGAGGTTTGCAGGTGGGAGTGAGAAGCAGAATTTATAAGTGAAGCACAGAGGAGTTCAGGTTACTGCAAATATTCTATATGATACTCTAATGGTAGGCACATGAAATTATACGTTTGTTAGACCCATAGACTATACAACACACAGAGAGGATCCTAATGTAAGCTATGAATTTTAGTTAATAATGGTATATCAATGTTGATTAATCAGTCATAGCAAATAATTGTATTAGTATTACAACAAATTAATAATTGTATTAGTTTGCTGAGGCTGACAAAACAAAGTCTACTATGGGCTGGGTGGCATAAACAACAGAAATTTATTTTCTCACTTTTCTGGAGGCTAGAAGTCTGAGATCAAGATGTCCACAAGCTCTGGCTACTATTACAAAATACCAAAAACTGGGTGACTTCTACAGCAGACATTTATTTCTTACAGTTCTGGAGGCTGGGATGTCCAAGATCAGGATGACAGCATGATCAAGTTCTGTTAAGGGCTCTCTTCCTGGCTTGCAGACTGCCATCTTCTTGCTGTGTCCTCACAGAGAGAAGAGAGAGAGTTCTAGAGTCTCTTCTTATACGAGCATTAATCCTATTATGAAGGTTCAATCCTCATGAACTCATCTAAACCTAATCACTTCACAAAAGTTACACCTTCAAATGTCATCACATTGGGGGCTAGGGCTTCAACATATTAATTTTGGGGCAGGGGCAGGAGAGTGACACAGCTGAGTCCAAAGCAATTGTTTTTTTTTTATTCTTTCTTTTCTTTTCTTTTCTTTTCTTTTCTTTTCTTTTTCTTTCTTTCTTTCTTTTTCTTTCTTTCTTTCTTTCTTTTTCTTTCTCTTTCTTTCTTTCTTCTTTCTTTCTCTCTCTTTCTTTCTCTCTCTTTCTTTCTTTTTTCAGAGTTTCACTCTTGTCACGCAATGACACAATCTCAGCTCACTGCAACCTCTGCCTCCCAGGTTCGAGCGATTCCCCTACCTCAGCCTCCCGAGTAGCTGGGATTACAAGCGTGCGCCACCACACCCGGCTAATTTTTTGTATTTTTAGGAGAGAGCGAGTTTCACCATGTTGGCCAGGCTGGTCTCAAACTCCTGACCTCAGGTGATCCTTCTGCCTCGGGCTCCCAAAGTGCTGGGATTACAGACCTGAGTCACCGCGCCTGGCCAGCAATTGGTTTCTTATGAAGCTTTTCTTCTTGACTTATAGATGACCATATTCTCCCTGTGTATTCATAACATCTTCCTCCTGTACCTGTCTATGTCCAAAGTTCCCCTTCTTATAAGGACACAAATCATAACAAATTAAGAACCACTCTAATAACCTCATTTTAATTTAATTACCACTTCAAATACCCTATTTACAAATATCATCATATTCTGATGTAATGGGGGCTAGGACTTCAACATATGAATTTAGGGGAAATACAACTCAGTCCATGATAGTAAATAATGCAAGATATTAATAACAAGGAGAACTATAAGTGGTAGAGAGAGGTAGTGTGTGGAAATCCTCTGTACTGTCTGCTCAATTTTCTGTAAATCTAAAACTACTGCACAATTTATCCATGCAACAAAAGTGCACTTGTATCCCTTAAATTTATAAACATAAAAAAATTATGTTAATTTTAAATAATGGCATGCAACAGGAATGGAAAGAAGCCATCTTTAGCAACCATCTACCATATAACATTAGATTTATTGCTCATTGGTTGAATCACGGTACCCAGTTACTGCCTAATAATGAATCATTGTCAACGTAAAAGGGAAACCCTGATGGTATTCTTCACTTCTGACTCAAGTTCTGCCCGTGCCAACATTTTTGTTGACTTGTATTAAGGATGCTTTTTACATGTCTATCAGAGACAAAACAAATACAAATATTGGAAGAATGATAAAATCTGATTAGGCCAAAATAGGAACCGAATGCACTACGTGAAATTCTAACTGGAAGAAAAGTAAAGCCCAATACTCAAACGTTATATACTGCTTAGGCAGGCAAAGAAATACTTGGGAATCTGAACTCTGCATTCATGGTAATAGTTACATATGGAGCAAATAGGAGGGGGATGTAAAGGGGCAGGAGTGCACAGGGAATTATTCCATGAGAACATGGTTGCTTATGAATTTTTTTGTAGCTTTTGGTACATCTTAAATATTTCAAAATACAATAAAATGTTAAAGACCACTGTAGTAGGCAGAATGGTGAGCCCTATGAAATTTCCAGGCCCGAATCTTTAGAACCTGTGAATATGTTACTATACATGGCAAAAAGGACTTTGTAGATGTGATTAAAGTTGGGGACTTTGATACAGAGATTATCCTGTAGTATCTGGGTAGGCTTTATGTAATCAAATGGGTTCATAAAAGTGGAACTGGAAGGTAAAAGGCTCAGTCATAGATAAGCAATGAAAGAATAAAACGAGCCTATTCTCACCACGTGAGAGAGTTGTCTCATCTTTCCTGGCTTTGAAGTTGGAAACGCCCTTCAGCAGACAACCAGCAAAAAAAGAGAGCCCTCAGTTCTATAGCTGGAGTCTGCAAACAACCTAAATAAGGAAACAGATTCTCTCCTAGGTTTCCCACAAAGGAATGTGGCCTTGTTGACACCTTGATTTTAACCCAGTGAGACCTGTGTCAAACTTACAAAACTATAGATAATAAATTTGTGTTGTTTAAGTTGCCAGGTTTATAGTAGTTTGTTATCAAAGCAATAGAAAACTAATATAACCACAATTTGTGTGTAACAATGAAATTTAAAAATGTGTAAGTAAAGGATAGGGCAAGATATTATGTTTGACCTGAGCATAAGAGTAAAGACTAGATATTTTGACTGATCAAGTAAGAATCAACATGAGATGTGGATGGAATTTTTGAATGCATGGTAAGAGGTGGAAAAGAAACAAGTTTGAAGTAACAGTTCTGTGTTTCTTGACAGTGTGGGCCTGAGGGCAAAATAACATAGTAAGGTAGATTGGGTCAACTAAACCTCCAATAGAAAATCTGCCATTTTTCTGCCCTAAGCAAATGGATAACAGAGTTTGGGGCAACCTCAACTGCAAGAAAGTGAATATTGAATCCTGGGAGGGAGAAAGGAAAAGGAAAAAGAGTTCCAATTCTGTGTATAACATCTTCCTGTCTTTGACTGACTCTGAACCATGCATGTGTAGTGTAGGGCAGACTCAAACCAGCTTTCAGTTAAGCCTAAGAGCTGAAGTAAGATTTTTTTCAACTGATGTTTTCTTATTAACAAATTAAGATTATTTAATTGACAAATTAAAAATGCATGTATGCAAGGTGTACAATGTGATGCTTTGATAGACATATAAATTGTGTAATGATTACCACGATCAAATTAACACATTACCACCTACAGTTACTCTTTGTGTGTATGTGTGTATGTGTGTGTGTATGATGTGGGCATTTAGAATCTGCTCTCTTATTGAATTTTAAGTAAATAATAGAATATATTAACTATAGTCACCATCCTATATGATAGATCCCCAGACCTTATTCATCTTATAACTGAAAGTTTGTACACGTTGACCAACATCTCCCCACTTCTCCCACCCCAGAAGCTGGCAACCATTGCTATACTCTCTACTTCGAGGAATTCAACTTTTATAGATTCCACATGTAAGTGAGATTATACAATATGTGTCTTTCTGTGTCTGATTTATTTCACTTAGCATAATGCCCTCCGGATTCATCCATGTTGAGACAAATGGCAGAATTTCCTTCATTTTTGAGGCTGAATAATATTTCATTATATATACATTATATGTAAAACGTATGCATACACATACACACACACCACCACTACCAGCACATTTTCTTCATCCGTATATCCATTAACAGACACTTAGGCTATTTCTATATCTTGGCTATTGTGAATAATGCTTCAGTGAATGTAGGGGTGCAGATATCTCTTCAAGAAACTGATTTCATTTTTTTTTTGGATATATGCCCAAAAGAGGGATTACTAGACCATAGGGTAGTTCTATTTTGAATTTTTTGAGGAAATGTCATACTGTTTTCCATAATGACTTCACCAATTTACATTCCTGCCAAAAGTGTAATCTTCTTTTCTCCATACCCTCACCAGCACTTCTTATCTCCTTTTTGATAATAGCCATTGTGATAGGTATGAGGTGGCGTGTAGCTGTGGTTTTGATTTGCATTTCCCTACAGATTTGTGATGCTGAGCACCTTTTCATGTATCTGTTGGGCTTTTTTATGTCTTCTTTGGAAAAATATCCATTCAGGTCCTTTGCCCATTTTTTAATTGGGTTATTTGTTTTTTTTTTTTTTTTTTTTTTGTTATTGAGTTTTGTGAGCTCCTTGTATGTTTTATATTTGGCAATTACTCAAAAAATTGAACACAGATCTACTATATAATCTGGTCATTCCATTACTTGATATTTGTCCAAGAGAAATAAAAACATATGTCCACAAAAATGTTTGTACATGAATGTTTAGAGCAGCTCTACTCATAATGCTTAAAACTGGAAACAACTCAAATACCCATCAATAAGTGAATAGATAAACAATGTTAGTACTTACTTATCAGTAAAAATAATGAATTATTGGAATATGCAAAAACATGCATAAATTTCAAAATAATTAGGCTGATTGAAAGAAGCCAGACACAAAAGAATATGTACTGCATGATTCCATTAATATAAAACTCTAGAAGATGCAAACTAATCTATAATGACAGAAAGCAGATCTGGCACCTAGGGCCAGTGGCAGAAGGAGGAGCGCAATGCAAAATGGCATGAGGAAGCTTTCGGGGTGTTAGAAATGTTTCCTATCTTGATTGTCATGGTGGCTTTACAGATGTAAACATATGTGAATCCACCAAATTGCACATTTTAAATAAATTAATTTTATTGTACATAAATCATCTCAATAATGTTGATACAAACAAAACTTGGAAGCAGCATGTATTCTATTTTCTTTTTTTTTTTTTTTTGAGATGGAGTCTCACTCTGTCGCCCACGCTGGAGGGCAGTGGCATGATCTTGGCTCACTGCAACCTCTGTCTCCCAGGTTCAAGCGATTCTTGTGCCTCAGCTGCCCTGGTAGCTGGGATTACACGAGTGTGCCACCACCCCAGCTAATTTTTGTATTTTCAGTAGAGACAGGGTTTCACCATGTTGGCCAGGCTGGTCTTGAACTCCTGGCCTCAAATAATCCGCCCCCTTTGGCTTCTCCAAGTGCTGGGATTACAGACGTGAGCCACTGCACCCAACTAGAAACAGTAAATTTTCTACACAGAACACAGATCTTTCATTTGTGGGCTAAAGCTAATCTAACGGGAAAACCGAGTGGGATATGCTTTAAGTGGCATTGAGATATCTGCTTTCCAACAATAGCTCTCCCGCAGGCCTGCATCAGTTTCCTGGAGAATCTATCCAAAGAGCTTCAGGAAAAAATTAATGAGTAAAGTTAAACCTAAAATTCTCACCAGTAATTAGAGTCACTGTCTTGGCATATTGTACCATGACAAATTTCTTGGGGAAGTAGGCAGAATATAAATTATCAATAGACAAATGACTTCAGTCATTGTGCTTCTGGAAGGCACATTCTAAAATTCAAAAATATTACTCAAAAAAGTGATAGTAGTATAATTCTGTCACCTTTTAATTCTCATAGCATGATCCTAAGTTTGACAAAAGTTTATTTTAGAAGCAGGTTGAGCAGATATTCATAACTCTGGAAGTAAAAAGATTCATAGGAAGGATTGCTCAGCAGTATAAAAGTACTGGGAAAAGGCAGCACAGAAGAACAGGAGAGGACTTCATTATCAAATAAAATCATTTGCTTGTTTGTTAAAGCTCTTGATTGAGGAAATGTCATTGAATATTACATAAGATTTTACTATGAGAAAATTGTTGTCACTCATTTGAGATCTCAGAATTCTCGGCGAAAGAGTAATTCCCTTACTCTACTTTGCTATTCCCTCCTGCTACTGTCCTCTCTCCTTTGTTTCATGTTGATTTCAGCACTTACACCAAATGCTGTGATACTTGCCTACACAGAGTTTCTCATTCAATACCATAATAGTTATAGTTACTTTCATTCGCCTTATTACATAGATTGGAGCACAGAGAGATTAATAGGTTGCTCATATTCACACAGCTTGTAAGGAGCAAAACCAGGGTTGAAACCCAGGACCGGATAGCTCCAGATACCTGATACTCATCATAAAATTATTTGAAAGGAGAAATTTTATGTCTATTTCTTCATATCTATCCCAATCTTCAGTCTCTTGCAATCTGCTGTTCACCCTCAGCATTTCATTGAACCTGTTGTATAAAGTAACGAAGGACTGGCAGCCAAATCTAATAGTCTCTTATCCACACTTTAAGACCCAATTCAAGTGTCATCTCAGCCCCAGTATCTTTCCTGGCATTCCTACCACTCTATTCTCCAAGTTGGAAATAATCTTTTCTTCTTCTACTTCCCTATATCCACTGCTATACTGTTGACTAGATTTTTTTCCATTCCTACACTTACGCATTTATTCATATAACCACTCACATATTCACTATTCGTTTATTGGGAAGTTATCTTTCATTCCTTTTGCTGAGTCATGAGAGTATACAGATGATTAAAACATAATCTCTTTCCTTCTAGAGAACACAGTGTAGCCAGGGAAAAATATTGGTAAACAATAATTATAAATCAATATGATTAGCTGCATAACAGTGGTACATGTTAGACACAAAAAAATATTTGTGGGCTAAATGCATTGTTCTTCTATTTTCAAAAATTAGGGAGAAGCATATATTTAAAGATCAGTCATTCAGATAACCATGCTAATTGTTACCATTTTTCTGGGCTTGGAAATACTATAAGTAGACTGTTTTAGTCAAATTGTATACAATAATTACGTTAAAACTTCTGGGGAGGCAGGTACAGACGCCCAATGGAAAGCATAGATTTGGAGAGTAAACATGTAATTTAGAATATTCCATATATCCACCCTCTCCTCCAGCCCTATATCCAAATTCACTGACCTGGCATATGAAAGCAGATTTTCTTTTCCACATACAGTATAGATAGCTATAGGCATTAATAAAATATTTGTATAGAAATCTTATCCAGATCTGAGATAAGTACAATCTTGATGTCATGAATTCTTCAGACAGTTCTGAACCAATCATAATAATATAGGTTTTCAAGTATAGCCATTTTGTGAAATGAAACATTTAATGATCATACACACCTTGGCTGATTGTGTATTGAGAGTATATACTAGTAAACATCACATCTGTGGCCCATTTTTTCATTTATTATACTCATAAACCTTGACAACATTTAATATCTGCTTGCTATTTAATAACATATACAATTTTTCATGATATTAAACCTGTAATCTGGATTCTCCGGCCCTGACATCTGAAACCTAAGTGCTTAGATACCTGGTGTTATATGGATACAGTGAAAAATTGAACACAGCTTCTTGAAAGATCTATCAAAAAAGGATTCATTTTGAAATAAGTAGTTATGGCATGGCAGATAGGAAGAACATCAACTTTTGCCTCTTTAATCTTGGCATGAAATAATATAATTAAAGTGATAAAGTACAAAATGTAATTCTCTTGCTTTCTTTAAAAGTATTATTTTTGTTGGAAACACCACAAAACAAATGTTTATAAGATAATTATGTGTTCACCAAATGTTCATACGCTCATTAAATATCTGCCTCTGTGGAGGAGTATAAACATGTGCCGTTCTCATGGATAACTGCCCATTTTAGCCCTCACTTGGCAAACAGAATACAAACAAAGTGTTTCATGCTTAGCAGGCAAAACAAAAAAGAACAGAAAGTTATATAGGCCTACAAGCAATGGATTTAACCTTTTAGTTTAAATAGCCTTAAACTTCCCTCTTTCAAAAAACAAAGGTTTGATCACAAGGAAAAAGTGATGGATAGACAGATACCACAGCACCTTAAATTCATTTTGCGTGCATAGACTTTCTTCTCTTCAATGATTCTGTTCTATCCAAATTGGGACAAACATTCCGTTAAGACAAACCATGCTCTTATAGAAATTATCTACACTAGTTGACTTGATGGCCCAAAAATGTTCAGCTCATGTACAAAAGAGTTTTACAATTTGCTTCTAGTTGAACTTCACACACATAAAAACAAAACCAAAATGAGGAAGATTGAAATCTGTACCTTAAATGTTTTACTTATTTTAATGTATGAATTTTTAAAAAGGTAACATTCAGCAACAATATAGTTGAATTTCAGTAAAGCAAGAATATGAAAGTAGATGCATTCTCTATGTACAACCATCTTTTTTGCATTTTTTGCATTTTTAAATTTGAATGTCCCAAAAGGCATGGCTAACTAATAATACTATCAATCTCATTTTACCCATTTCATTTGACACTATATATAGCAGACATTGTCCATTTATCTCCTTTGTGGGCCTCTTTCTCTTTCTAAATTCATTCCATACTCAAGGACAATGATATACAGCTGTTTTCCTCCCACATAAAATTACCACGCCCCATGAGGCTACACTGACAGAGCCAAGAAAAGCAGAGGGCTGTGTACTCATTGAGTTAAATGAATGACATCACACTATCAGTCAAGACAATTCAGGCAAGGGCGAAGTGTTGGGATTTTCCAAAACCAACAAAAAGTGTGCAACTGTTCTATAAACAAGGCTGGGCAGAGTTCAAAAGTTGAATTGTGCTGGCAATGATTACTGTAATCACAAGGCATTCCTCAGCACTCGTCATAGAAATAAACCATAACAGTCACAGCATCTAATGTCTCTGGCCATCATCTAGTGAAAGATTTCACTTGCCATACGTGCAGAAGCAGAAAACCCATCAAATGAGTGACCAGGAAGCTGGGCCACTAACTTCAATTTTCTCTGTTTCTTTGAACCACATGCTCCCAAGAGTTCCTGACTGGTGACTGAGTTAGACACTTAGTTGTAGAGTATCTGCTCTGACACTAATATCTTATACATTATTGAGAGCTGATTATTAAAAGGGTACTGATTCTGAGTTTTAAGCTATTGTCCATTGACCAGAGTTAGGCAGTCACTTCAGACAGAACTATGGGCAGGTTCTTATAATTTTAATGCAGTACCTATTTAAAGGTATCAAATTTATTCCTCTATCAGAACAATAAAGCCAAATTAATTTTGCCCACTGATTAAGCACTTAGCAGTCATGCTCTGTTTCACCACAAACACAGACACATAAAATGCATTCATATCATCACAAAAGTGTAATGGCACAAAGGGAAAGAGTACATATTATAGCTGTTAACAATATGACTTTGAATTTACTCCCAGCTCCTCCCACATGTAACCTTGAGCAAGACATTTACTATCTCTAAGCATCATTTTCTGCATTTTAAAATGGGTACAATGCCTCTGCCTCTGTGGAGTAAAAACATGTGTTGTTCTCATGGATTACTGCCCATTTTAGCCTTCACTTGATAAACAATATGAAGTGTTTCACGCTTAGCAGTCAAAAAAAAGGACAGAAAGTTATACAGGCCTACAAACAATGAATTTAATCTTTCAGTTTAAATAGCTTTAAACTTTCCTCTTTCAAGAAACAGAGGTTTGATCAAGAGGAAAAAGTGACGGACAATAGATACCACAGCATTTTAAGTTCATTTTGCATGCATTGGCTTTTTTCTCCTCAATGATTTTATTCTAGGAATTTTTCTGTCTAAATTGGGACAGATATTTGTTGGGGATTAAATTATACAATGCAATATAGTACCTACTAAATTGGAATGTACTAAACACTCAAAAAATGCCACCTAGTAGTAGTGGTGGTAATATACGTGGTGGTCTACATATACTATGATACTCCGCTCACCAAAATGTGGAAATTGATCTTTCTTTCCTTGAATATGCGTGAGCCTTACTGATTCGCTTTTGTTAAATAGTATATGGTAGCAATGATGCCATGAGATTTCTGGTGTTATAAGAGGCAAATACAGCTTCTACTTTGCTCTCTCTCTCTCTCTCTCTTTCTCTCTCTCCCTCTCTCTCTCTCCCTCTCTTTCTCTCTCTCTCTTTTACTGCATGTCCTTGGAATGTACACACTGCCATATATATATATGTTCCAGCTGACAGCCCCATCTAAGGTTTCAACCTACAGCCAACATCGACTGCCAGACATGTGAATGAGACATCATATGATTCTAGCCTTCATTCAGCGTTTAAACTTCCCTTAGCTGACACCAAGTAGAGCAGAAATGAGTTGTTCTCTCTAAGTCCGTCCAAATTGCAGATTCATGAGAAAAATAATGTTGTTGCTGAGGTTAAGCCACTAAATTTGAGAGTTGTTTGTTAAATAGCGAAAAACAAGTGGAACATCATCTAAACAACGTGGGGACTTAACCATATCTCACTTGATGCCTATAACAACTCTAAAAGACAGATATGATCAGTAACGCCTTTTATAGATTTGGACAACTGAAATTCAGAGGCACTAACTACTTTATACCACATCACTTAACTAGTAGGTGATGGAGTGAAATTTGGACTGAATCTTTGTCCTATGTGACAATACATAGGATTCCCCTGAGATTTTATTTTCTTTCCTAAGACAAGTTGATATCATATTTGGTGATCACATCTACAGGACTCCCTTACTTTTCTTCCCAAAATATTTATTGACACTCTGCAGAGAGTTTGGGATACAGAAAAAGATCTACTCCATCAAATAGCTAATTATCTAATAATAAAGATGGTTAGAAACTTATGATTAATTGAAAGCCATAGTTAGCAAAAAATGGCAATGACACAACACAAACCAATAGCAAATATTACTCTTGGAGAATCACTAAAGAACTGGCAAAAATAGAAAAATAGTACAACTACGTGGTAGAAGTGTTTGTCAGGCATGAGGAGAGTTGCTTGGAGCAGATCATGGGTCAAAGGATGAAATACTAAAAAAAAAGAGCTTTCATTACTTCTATCCCTGGGCAATGGGAACAGTATAGAATGGACAATTTTGAACTATACAATGGGAAACAAATGGCCATCCGTGGGAATAAATAGACATTTTATAATTGGGGGTGGTAAGTAAAGTAATATTAATAATTCAGGAAACTACACGCAGTGGAAAAGACATAGAGGGCAAAGACCAGAAACTTATCTAAAATCCTATTAATATACTAAATACACACATAGCAGTATAATATTTTTTGAATATGAACTACTGCTTTCTTTTCTGCCTCTCCCTCCTCCCATCAGGTTTTTGACCTTATGCAATTTTGACCCAATGAAACAGTGAGAGTTAATAAAAGTAGCTATCCTTTATGGAGAACAAACTATTAAGCAGGCACATCCTTAGTGGACTTTACATTCATTATTTTATTTAGCCCCAATAACAGTGTTCTGATGGAGGTATTGCTAGTGTCCTCATTTTACAGACGAGGGAACTGAGCCACAAAGGTTCAGAACATTGCCAAGGTCAAATTGCCCTTGGTGCTTGGTGGAGATGGGATTGGAACCCAGGCTGTCAGTCTCTAAAGGACATCTTCTTAATCTCTAATTTATATTGCATTATATAAAGTATTTACTCTAGTGTTAATATCATTAGAGGACATCACGAAAGAGATTTTTTAATATTCTTCTAGATATTTTATGGAAATCATGCCAGAAATTCTTTATATTCTTTCTCAGAGTGAGCATGGATTATGTCCATGTCTTTTTTTTTTTTGAAGCAGAGTCTTGCTCTCTCGCCCAGGCTGGAGTGTAGTGGTGCGATCTGGGCTCACTGCAAGCTCTGCTTCCTGGGTTCACGCCATTCTCCTGCCTCAGCCTCCCTAGTAGCTGGGACTGCAGGCGCCCACCACCACGCCCAGCTAATTTTTTTGTATTTTTCTAGTAGAGACGGGGTTTCACCGTGTTAGCCAGGATGATCTCGATCTCCTGACCTCGTGATCCGCCCGCCCCAGCCTCCCAAAGTGCTGGGATTACAGGCGTGAGCCACCGCGCCCAGCCATGTCCACGTCATTTTATCTGTACTTTGCTGAGCGTATAATCTCAGGCACCTGGTATTTGAAAAGTACACTTTCATAATGATAAATGGATGTTAGCTATAATCAATACTGCTAATCTAGGGTATCTTGTTGTATAATTAGCAATCTATTTATGTGTAAAATAGTTTCTTTATACCTCTACTGTTAGAATACATAAATATGAAAATAATAAGCAGGAGGTAATTTTAAGTCATACTACATCAATCCTGGAAATATTTTCTTTAGGGAAATGTTGCATTTTGCCCATTGAAAGCCAAATGACTTTGTGTTGTCAGTGCAATACAAAGAGTTATTCTTATTTCGTATTTTTTCTCAATATGTTATCAAGCATAGGAGTGTTTATAAGGCAGAGATTTACAGAGCTCATTGTCAGCTGGATTTAAGCTTATATGTCAACTGGATGCATTTTTATCACTCTAGTGTCTATATAGTTGATAGTTGTAGTCAGATAACAATAGAAAAGTAATAGTGCTGGCAGGCATACGATCAAGCTAGGCAAGTTAAATCTATCTAATGAGAAAGAATTGTCCTCTGTGAAGTACTTAAAACATTAAACCCAAAACAATGAGTTTTGTTAGTTTGAAAACCAAGCCAGCACTGCAGCAAAGTGGCTTCACAACAACAACCCACAAAACAGAGTCTCAAACCTTTGACCTACCTAGAACAACTCACTCTGCACCTCTGCCAACATAGGGCTAGCTAGGGTGATGTCAGGCAGGGTGGTAACAATCCCTTAGCATTCTGTGACCATTCCACTCCCACTGGGCTCCACCTCAACCACAATTACCATAAATAGGTGTGACATCCTTGTCCTTTTATACTGAAGAATCAAGCTTCTTGGCCACAAGGGTAAGGCAGGGCAGAGACCGCAGTGGGAAGGGCAGGCACAGCAGACTTCTGATTTTTCACTCCAACCCCTTGTCTTGACTGTAGAAAGCTCCTTGGTGCAGGAATAATAAAGGTAACTTTGAAGAGTTCAAGCCCCACTCCTAGTCGTCCAACAGTCCCTTTTGTAAATGCTCTGGGAGTTTTCTTGTTATTCATGCCTCCAATAAGCTTTCTTCTCTCCTAGAATATAAGCATGGTACATCTTTTCTTTTTTTCTGAGCCTGCATGGGTAAGAAGTTTACTCTCTGAGAGGATAGATTAGAGCTCAGCAAGCAAATGGCCGCTTATTCTTTGCTAAAGACAGTAATCGCAAAAAGAAAGCTTCCTGTGGCACTGGAAAGAGAATGGTGAAAGAGGTGGTTAAATTTAGGAAAAGGGGTATAAATAGCAAACAACCAACTGCAATATAACAAAAGATTAATATGCTTTTCAGCAATGTAACTATTAGATTATATACATATCAATTATTCTCTGTGTTTCTTAACAGGAATTAAATGTTAATCCCCAAAGCATGATTTTTCCCCTGTCTATCTTCTTTTCTAGCTACAAGTCATAAAGGCTATAGCAAATGGATAGCTGTTTTGCTACTGTATTTTTAAATGTCTATTACACATTATATATTAAAAAGCTTTCATTTAAAAAAATAAACTTTATGCTGCATTTTTCTTTCAGTCTCAACCAAGATTCAGCCTTTTACATTCCCAAACATTATCTATATCATTGCATCTGGTGATTACATTTTATTAACTAGATTTTTTTCTTTTTACATTTCTGTCCTACCAGATCAGCTCAAGTTATTTCAAATGAGAGGTTTAAGCATTGCCGGTACCAGTGACATCATGGTTACCATAGAAATAAAAATCTAGCAACAATAATACTAGGTTTCTTTCTTTATCAGCCATGCTGCATTGCTGGTGTTCAAATCTTCCACCCAGGGGTAAAAGCTCAGAAGCTCCCTGTCATTACATAACCTATACTGTTCCAAACATTTTCAGAGTTTAAAAGGGAGAAGGAAAAAAGCAGAATATGGGGTTATTTATATCAAATCTGTCAACTTACATAATTAGTCACAGGTACTTCAAACCTCTAAATGAAGATAAGATAAACTAAACATACACTTGAAACCTAGAGACAAATAAAATCTCCATTACATGGTATAAATGACAAAAATCAAATACTGTATCATAAATTACATGAAAAATTACAAGATTCCTAGGCATGAAGGCTTTCTGCCTTTTACAAACTAGTTATAGATTCCTTTTTATACCATTTTCATTAATGTCAGAAAATGGGACTATACCTTTAGAAATTTCCATTTTGAAAGCAAGAAAAGGGCTTACTCTGGGCTGTTTTTCACTTGCTGCTTGAATTCTTATGGCAAACCATCTGCTTTTAGACTGAATAGCTAGGTGTTTTCTGTCAGCTAAATTTGAGAGACTAAAGATTACTGTCAGAAACCAATTACTCAACCTGACTGTGGCCTGGTAATAGTCAGGTTGCTGCTGACCTTGAAATAACCACATATTAATACATACTCTTCACCTTACTCTGTTTAACAAAATGCAACATCGAATCATTTTTGAAATTTTAAAATTCTAATTTATTTTTTCACTGTCTCCTTCCCCATCTCCCTTGCTCTCTCCTTCCCTCTTATCCTCACTCTCTCTTTCTCTCTCTTCCCAAGAAAAGTTGTGGCTAGGATTAAGAATGATTTTGAAATAAGTTTTAAACTTGCCAAAATCTCCAACCAGCTTCCATAAATTAATGACTCTTTTAGTAATCAATAACAAGACATGATTTACCACTGAATTCCAACACTTTTGATCAATCTTCGGTTGCCGCTATCTCTACAACTTAGTGTTGCAAAGATTTACGGCAGTGGCAAAACTGCTTTATTGAAATACAACATGAACTTAATTGAGTACAATCCTGTGCAAATTACAAAGGTATGTAATGCTATAATTAATGTAATTAGAGGGAAAAATTGATTGTCATTATAAATACAATCAGAGACACTTACATTATTATATTCACCACACTGATGGGCTTGTTGTTTATCAAACAAGTGCCCATTTTAACAGCAAAATTGGCCAAAAATCACAATAAAGCAAAACAAACAATAAACGGGGTGTTGTTTGAATGATTATGACAAACTCTAGGTAGCAACAAACATATCACTGTCAATCCATTAATTTCAGCCATCTTCCTGATTAATTCTGATCACCACAACTGGATCAATCAAGTAGTGATCATCATTGATCACTGAGGCAATATAAAATGAATGAATTGTTATTTCCATAGACCATTTATTTTGTGCATATTGACAGAATAATACTCCCTCCGATCCTCTGGATACGCAAGGCTAGCAAACAAATGGTTTGCCATTCAAAACACCATTTTACTTTGTCAAAGCCAGACCGATCAGTTGCCACATTAGTATAACCATATTAAAAAATCTCAGACTATTTCTATAAAACAGCAAGCCTGGCTGTGAAAAAAAATGAAAATTTTACTCACAATTCTAGTCTGAATCATGTAGAAAAATCCAAAGCATTTTTCTTAATTCAGGCAAAAGCAGTGGTTGGTTTAGGAGTTGTATGTATCTGGAAGTCAGGAAATATATATACTTGAATGGAGGGTTAGAAAAGATAGCTCATAGATAAATGGACTCTAGCACACATGGTGCAGATGAGACAAACCTGAATGATTTTGAGGCATGGATATTGAAAATGAATAAATCATCAAATAGTCTACTAAATTTTCTCATTAAAATGAAAGTAACTGAAGACCAAAGTAGCTTGAAGTATGCTATGTGTATCTGCACCAACATCAGTTTGAAGAGGCCTCAAAGGAATAAAGAAATACCACAGGATCCTTAGGAGGGTCACAAATTCTACTGGAACTGTGGGTTTGGACTGGAAACTTCAGAGTAAACACAACCACCTAGTTTGTCTGTGTGTGTGTGTGTGTGTGTGTGTGTGTATGTGTGTGTTGGGGGAGGAAGGCGGGATCTATTTCTGCTTCAGGTATGCTCCTAAAGTTGGAAAATACCAGATGTCCTAAAGTACTCCTAGAGATTCAAATTTAACTAGATTCTTGTTGTTTATTTGTTTCCAAAATAAACAGCTTTTCTAGAAAGATGATTTGAAACTTATCAATATACTCAGACATATAACTCTTACGTATGAATTAATTAAAAGATAATAAATTTAGAGCACTCAATATGAGAGCATTTTGATATTTTCAATGCCTTGAAAAGAAAATTCATAATTCATCTTAACATGTTAATACTAGTGGTTTTCAGCCCCTTTCAAATTAGGAGAAACTGCATCACCATTTATTCCGACAAAATTGAAAAGGGTAGACAATGGCATTTAATCTATCCCTAAATCAGAGGATTTCAAACTTTCTTTTTTAACCTCAACATACAGGAAGAAATATGTTTCACATTGTGATCTAGAACACGTGTGTGTGTGTGCGCACATGCAAAACTAAGTTTCATAAATCAATATTTACCCTAAGTATATGTGATGCATACTGATGTTTTCTATTCTATCCTATTTTACTCTTTAAATATGGTAGTTGTGATGTCTAAATTGATTATATAACCCACTAATAGTCTTCAATTGCAGTTTGAAAAGCACTAATCTAGATCATAGTGGTTGTTAAGTTTCCAAAAGCCTTAGCTGCCACTGCCACCCAGTTGCAACATCCATGGTTTCTTATCTCTTCCCCAGGAAGAACTACAACCTTACATAAAAAACAAAACCAAAGAACACACACAGTAACTGATCCTTAGAGATGACAAATGTCCTCAATCACTTCAGCTAAGTTTCAAGTGTTAAACTATGGTAGCTGCTTTGCTTTTGTTGTCCCATCACTGTAATTTCTCAAGATACTTTCCCTCATACCCCAAGTTATTATTGAGGTGCTGCTAAATCTCAGATGACACACCAAATAATTTTTAACAGCAACCTTACTTATTGCATACAGTGGGATTCTTCTATTTCCACCATTTATTTTCTTCCTTGGTTTAATTAAAATGTGAATCACTTAATCTTTTGCTCCTATAAATATAGTCATAGATTCAAGAGGGCTGTTTTGCTTATGAGTTCAGACACAGGCAATGTTAAATACTGGCAGATGGAAAACTTGATGGTAGCCACGGAAACACACTTACAGATGGCTCCCAACTAGCCTACCAAAACTTGGAGAGGAAATTTAGCAATAGCAAAGATTGGAATGGCTCTGTGGTTATCCTTGCTGGCAAGGAGTGCAATGGATTGCAGTGTAACATGATGCAGCCAAGGATATCACATTAGTAGGAATGAGACCAGATTTGGAGCTATGATTCTAAATTGCTGATGTCGACATCCAACTGGCAAGTAGCTAATGGGAAAGTTCATCAAACAAAAGAGAAACTATGTTATTAACATTGCATAGGCAAGCTATCATTATAAGTAAGGCTTTTTCTCTTTATGAAACAGATTTGTTTCCAAAAATGTGGCTGTAAAACTAATTAATGTAAAAGCTTATTAAATCTTTTCTATTGGTTCCCATGATAAAATTTGAGATGAGTCTCCATAAAGAGATATTCCAATAGATTGAATTGAAAAGTTTTGGCGGCTAGCTGAGTTAGTGCCATGCTTATAGACCAAATAATTTGTTACCAGAATAGTATGATTTAGAGGAGCTCAAAAAACTCTGCCTGCTCCAAAGAGCCTATCCCATTGCCTCCCAGTAACTACCATTATAGAGAGGCTTCAATAGCATTAGAAAAGGTCTTTAATCAAGAAAATAAATATAAAATAACTATGAAAAGTTATGTCTCCAAGGAGTGAAAGGTCTTTAATTTGAATGTTTAATTCAACATTTATTTATTAAGCACCTAATATGTTAAGCCCTTTTCTTGTCACTGAAAATAGAGATTTTAAAAGTCCTCTTCTTATAAATATGCAGGATTATCCAATAATAGATAAGAAATGTCTGTATGTAATTGTGGAAAGTAACTGGCTTAAGAAGGAAACACATAACCTCTTTATTATGCTTCCTCAAAGTTTGAAAGCTCATTTAAGAACAATTCAATGCCAGAAAGATGGAGAACTCCAAGCTTGTGGACAAAGGAATGTTGAACTGGTTATCTGTGGGATACAGTTAGAGTGCGCCTATGGGAAATGGGCATCGGAAGGAGAGCTACATGTAATGTTTTATCATTAATGAAAATGAAGAAGCTCTAATGTACATTTATTAGGTTACAGTTTTCTAAACCTTTTTAAATATACTTTTTTTTAGGTGTCAATTCTGGACCTAGATAACATTGGGCCAGTTATTTAACATTTCTGTGCCTAGCTTTCCTAATCTGTTACATGAAGATAATATTATGTATTATCCACCTAATAAGATTATTGTGAGAATGAAATTGATAGAAAATGATTAGATTGTTCTGGCACAATAAGTGTCATGTAAACATTTCTTCTTATCATCACTACCACTGCCACCCACATCATCAAACAAGTAAGAATGTTGTGGCTTTTAGAAGAGTTATGAAATTTGACCAGAGTCATAGTATTAGCAAGAGGTAGAGCTGGGATTTAAATTTCAGTCATTACAAATTGTTCTTTTTAATTCTTTATTCCTATTTATTGAAATATAATGCACTTATAAAAAGTGAAAACATAAAAATGGTACAGACTGACACTTTTTCACAAATTGAATCAAGAAACACAACATTGTCAGTAACCCAAACCCTCCATATGCTCTGTTCAGTCACTTCCTCCCCTAAACTATATTGATTCTAAAATAGAGGTTACTTTCGCTTGTCCTTGAACTCAATTTAAATAAAATGACATAGTATCTATCCTTTAGTGTCTGCCTTCTGAGGTTTATCCATATTGTTGATTATAGTCTAAATAATTTATTCTTATTGCTCTAGAGTACTGCATTATATGGCTATACTACAATCTATTGATCTATTCTACATTCAGTAGGCATTAAGATACTTTCCAGTTTGTCTGTTACAAATAAATCTGCTTTGAATATTCTATTATAAATCTTTTAGCAAACATGGGTATGGATTTGCATTGGTGATATGTCTAAGAGTGGAATGGCTGGGTCATCGCTGTGTATATGTTTATATATGTTCATATATAACGGCAAAAATGCTTCCAACAATTTGTGCTTCCACCAGCAGTATATGTGATTTATAGCCACCCCATATCCTTTCCAACACCTGATAATTTCTATGTTTTTATTTTAGTTATTCTGGTGGGTATGTACTGGATTGCAGTGTGGTTTTAATTTACATTTTATTGGTGTAGGTCTCCTTGACATGTAAGTCTCTGTTTTAGCTGCTGTAGTATACCATCTCAAGGCCTCTTCTCCAAATTCATAAGCCATGTTGGGAGGCAACAGATGGATTATGATTTAGAATCAGCTTAAATTCTACCAGACAACTTGACTGCTAAGCAGGAAAACTGAGATTGAATCTCAACTATATTCAGTCATGCGTCACTTAACGATGGGAATATGTTCTGAGAAATGCGTTGTTAGGCAATTTCCTCATTGTGTGAACATTATAGAGTGTACTTATACAAACCTAGAAGGTACAGCCTACTACTCACCTAGGCTGTGTGGCATAGCCTATTTCTCCTAGGCTACAAACCTGTACAGCATGTGACCGTACCAAAAACAATAGACAACTATAACACAATGGTAAGTACTAAACATATCTAAACATAGAAAGGGTACAGTAAAAATACAGTATAAAAGATAAAAAATGGTTCACCTATTCAGGGAAGCTTCATTATAGGCTTATAAGACCACAGTCGTAAATGCAGCCCGTTGTTGACCAAAACATCATTATGCAGCACATGACTGTAGAGTGGACCAATTGAGAGACTGGTAATTGGTGATACTGAGTGTTGGAAATCCAGAGGATTGGAAGCTACATTGCCACCCAGATCACAGCAGATATTGAATTTAGGGCAACGAGATTTTAAGCCTCAAACTAAGTCTCTTGCTACATTTTCTGCCTTGGTCAAGTTTAGGTCCAGGACTGAAGTTGCCCTGGGACCTCTGGATTAACATTAATATATACAGCTGGCCTGTTATCAGCATAGAACTGGCTGGGGATCCCAAGAATATTGGAATAAGATGAGATTGAAAGATTAACTGGGCATGATGCTTTTAACCAGAAACCTAGCAGTTAGAAGAATATGCCACTGGCACAGCTGATATAGGCTATCAAGAAAATAATATTGAATAATGTGCTATTCATTCATTTTCCCCAGAAATCCAGATGTTTGCCCTGATAGGGCTCAGCAAGCACAAAGTAATTGACCAAAATACCTTATGCTGAAATTTGGGTTAAAAAATTATTTAATGTTTTTATGATTATATATTTGTGTATGTGTATCTAAAAAAATCATCCAGCTTCCTTGAAATATTCAAATATTTTGTAGATTCAGTGTATTTTTTTAATTTTTGAAACATGATTTAAAGCAAGAAAATCCTGACAGGTATGTAATAAAATTAATAAAAGCATACATGCGTTATTAAAACATTTAATGCAAGTTTTCATAATACTCTGCTGGTAGAAATCTTTTTGGGAAAAGAAATTAAACCATTTAATAAACTTTGATTTTGGAAAGTAAAGGACTTATATTTAATGAAACCAACAATCTACGTTTTGATACACGTGACTTCCCCACCTTTGAAATGTTCAAAGATGTGTGTTAAGGTTATTTCCAACAGGAAAACCAAATGCAACAAGATAGCCACACTCTCAGTTAAAATGAACATCAACTAAAATCTTAGGCTTTTCTGACACGAAATCTGGGCTGAGATCCTAATTTGTGCATTATAGGAGACCAGCTGGAGCTGAGGCTAATTGGAAGTACTGGCAATTTATATTTCTATGTCCAAATATCGGTTTTGAAGGACTATTTTCAAGTTATTAGTAAGTAAAAAGTGCTCTTTCCTATCTCACACATGATTATTGAAAGATAATTCTGAATATATTCCTTGTCTGAGAATTATCAAGCCTGGAGGAAGTAAAATCAAAGAAGTAGATCAAAGGCTGAGCTACTGCATGTGGGATACTGGTAACTTAAGGGTGTTTCCTTTAGGAGGCAGTTCACAAACTAATTAGAGGCATGGATTCTAGAGTCATACTGTCTGGATTTAAATCTCAATGCTGCCACTGGAAGCTTTGTGACTTTGAGCTAGTCACATACCTCTATAAACTTCAGTTTTCTCATCTGCAAAATAGGAATGATAATGACCTTTTTTTCATAAAAGTTTGTCACAAAGATTAAATGATTTGTTGAGAAGATTTAGTGAGTTAATACAAGTAAATGATTTAGAGTAGTGTCTAGATGATAACCAGTTCTAGGTAACCGTTAGCAATTATTATCGTAAGTTGAAAAAGCAATATAATCGAAGATGTACAATGGCTTGTGCCATTCTGAAGACACCCAGGTCAGATTTAATCAGGCTCACGCAATACAGAGTAAAAGTTATCAAGCATGCAAGATTATTCCATATTTCCAGTTTACAATCAAGATGGTAAATTTCAGTGTTGTATGTGTAGTATTTATCTTTTGTTAGCTTCAAAAGCAGAGGTTAACTACTATTCCTACATAAATTGTATTCAATAAAATCTTTGCCATTACTATGTAGACCTAAGCTATTTTATATGAAGAAACTGAAGAATCAAAGTAAATATTACCTTTCCTTGCATAAATTCACATGGCTACCAATTTATCTTGCAGCAGCACATGGGTTAGACCTTTAGGCCTTATCACCAAGAGAACATTAAATCAAAATATAAACAGCAGCTTCTGACCAGACTAGAAGTAGGCCAAAGCAGTGACTTCCTTTTTTCTTTCTTTTGGCTATGAGATTACAGAAGATAAATTTCTTAACCAGAAAGTGGATTTGCTTGTGGCTTGTTCTTTTACATGTTGATTTCTTTTAAATTAGCCTTCTTTAAAGCAAGTTTTAATGCAGCACAGTCAACAAACATTTCAACACCGTATTTATTAAAATTAGAGAACTTCTATGGTAAATACAATGGAATATTTCTGCTACTGAACATTTTTAACGTAAAAAAAGGGCAGGAATATCTTCCTCTGATTCCTAAGTTTTAAAAACACATTTCATTGCTTGAGCCCAGGTGTTCAAGGTTACAGTGAGCTATGACCATACCACTGCACTCCAGCCTGGGTGACAGGGTAAGACACTGACTCAAAAATTGCATTCAGTGTTTGCAGAAAATTTACAGCAAAAAAGAAAAACACTGTTCTGGGAATCTGAAGATCAGAATTCAAGTTCCATCTCTCCTGGTAACACATTTAGAACATCGGGCTTTTCCAATAATTAAATTCTTCAACTCTATGGAAAAGTAAAATTCATTTACTCTAAACTCTTCTTTCTATAGCTGAAATGGCTATAGCCCAGGGTAATGAAGGTCCTAAGGCTAGTTAGCAACACAACAGAGAATAAGAGTCAGGTCTCCTGATGCTCAACCTATAAAGCTTTCCTTTAGAACTGTTTGTCAAAAGATTCAATTGGTATGTATGGACCACTTCCTATTAACTAAGCACTGTAGTAGATATTTTTACCTATGTTATCTTTCATGGCTTCCTTTTACAAATCAAGCTGCCTCTGTAGTTGTATTAGTTTGCTAGGGCTGCCATAATAAATATCACAACCAGGTAGCTTAAACAGCAGAAATTTACTTCCTCACAATTCTGGAGGCTGGAAGTCCAAGATCAGGGTGTCAGCAGGGTTGGATTCATTGTGAGGTCTCTCTCCTTGGCTTGCAGAGAGCCACCTTCTCTCTGTATCCTCACATGGTTGTCCCTGTATATTTTTTGTGTCATAAATTCTTCTTCCTCTAAGGAATCAATCAGATTGAATTAGGGTCAGCCTAACAACCCTTCGTTAACTTTATAACTTCTTTAAAAGTCCTTTCTCCAAATACAGTCATATTTTTAGGTACTGGGGGTTAGGGCTTCAGCATATGAAGTTGGAGGGGGGGCAAGTAAGCCCATAACACTGGCTTTTATGAACTTACTCTCGTTTAATCTGTTATAATTGTTAAAAACAAATTTTAACCGAATTAAATTCAACAGTGTTTAATTGAGCAAAGAAAGATTCACGAATTGGGCAGCCTCTTGAGCCAGAGTAGGCTCAGAGACTCCAGCAGAGGCATGAGGTGGAAGATGATTTATGGATAGAAAAAGGAAAGTGAGGCACAGAAAATGGAAGTGAGGTACAGAAACAGCCAGATTGGTTACAGCTCAGTGTTTGCCTTATTTGAACACAGTTTGAACATTTGGCCACTTCTGATTGGCCAAAACTTCAGTGATCGGGACAAGAGTAGGCTGCAGAATTTACCACTCCATTTAGGTTATAGTTCACAATGGACAGAGAAACCTTTAGGCCAAACTTAAAATATGTTAGGAGGCAGCTTTAGGCTAAACTTGATTTATCATGTTTTAACTTGTTATAGTTTAATTTGTTGTGCCTCCTCCTACTTCAGTAAGTGCTTACTCAACTCATCCAGCCAGCCCTGTTCCTAATACACCACTTTCTTTCATCTTTTTCTTTTGTTTAATATCTGTCCTATTTTTTTTCTTTTCCGCTTGCTTCTCATTTGTAATAATAAGAGCTACAGGCGATCACATAAAATGACAGATTCTTTTTCATATAATCTCTCGTACTTTTCACAAATAACAGGCAAGGCAAATATTAATAAACCCATTTTAAGGCTGGGGGTGGTGGCTCAAGCCTGTAATCTCAGCACTTTGGGAGGCCAAGGTGGTGGGTCATCTGAGGTCAGGAGTTCAAGACCAGCCTGGTAAACATGGTGAAACCCCGTCTTTACTAAAAATACAAAAATTAGCCAGGGATGGTGGCCCATGCCTATAATCCCAGCTACTCGGGAGGCTGAGGCAGGAGAATCGCTTGAACCCAGGAGGCAGAGGTGGCAGTGAGCCGAAATCACACCACTGCACTCCAGCCTAGGTGGCAGAGAGAGACTCTGTCTCAAAAAAAAAAAAAAATTAAATTAAATTAAATTAAAAAAACCCATTTTATAAATGTAGAAACTAAGGTTTAGAGAAGTTAAGTAAGTTTCCCCAAGTCAAATAAGCGAGCAAAGGATCTTTGTTTGAACTCAGATCTGATTCCAAATTCTGTGCTTTTATTTCCTGTACTTACCACTTGTTAGTTTTTTTCGTACTACCTGCTAATACCTCAGGTCAGTTAGAGTTTTCAGTGTGTTAATAAGCAGTGCATAGCCATGCTGGAAAAACACATGCTAATGAGGCAAATGCATTCTGTGTTTTTTGCTTTTTAATATCAGGTGTCCTCCTATTTCTTGTTGCTGCAAATTTAATTAATATACCGAGAAAATAAATTACATTAGATGAGAACTAGGCTTAAGCTGAATGGGAACAAAAGGTCTTAAATGTTTTAAACACTTTCATAAAATTGGCTCTGTTATAAATTAAATATATTATTCATCCCTTCTACTTACTTACATTTGCCCACATCACATGAATGTGAAATTAAGACTTTACCACATAAGCACAGAGGATGACAGAAAATCTCTCATTAAGGCAGTACCCTTAATGCAAATTATATTTGTACTTTTGGAAACAGCAGATACCCTGAGTATAAACCTAAGGGCAGTGGAGTAAACTGCAGTTGTTCCAATGCCTCATTCATTCATTTAACAAATGCTTATTGAAAACCTACACAAGTGGCAAGCCCTGTGGTAGCTGCCTGGGATAAAGTCATGACTATGCCAGTTGAGAGTCTCTGCTTTCCTGAAATTGGGACTTTAGTTGGGGAGAAAGACATTAGACCATGACTCACACAAAGAGCAAAATAGTTACTATTTTGGTTTATGAGGGAAAATAAAGCTATCTGGGTAAGTAATTAACCACGAATTTTTCTCCATTCTGAGGGCTCAAGGAAGGCCTCTCTAAGAAAGTGACTTTCAAGTTGAAACAAAAAGGAAGAGAAGATATTAGCTAGATAAAGAGGGAAAAAATATTGCCAGTGGAGGTAGTAGCATTTACAAACGCCCTAAGGACAAAGGGACACAGGTCACTGAAGGTACAGAGGTTGGCCCGAGAGGCTCTAATAAAGAAGTATGGAGGTAAATGAAGAGAGTGGCATGGGCCAGAAGTATAAGACCTTGCAGGTGAAAAGGGGGAATCAGAAAGAAAAATGTAATTCTGATTACTTTTGATGGAAATTTATTTTGATATTTTCATAATGAAATACAAAAATATATCAGTACATCTTCTTAAAAAATCAAAAAGGAATTCTGTATCATTTCCATGGTAATGCAGCTGCTTGTAGCATATCAGAGGGAGGTATATTTTCTGGGCTCCAGTGAGCATTGTTCTGAGAATCACCCAGAGGCATGGAAATGGATAATAGCAAGGGTGGTAACAACTGCCACAATGAAACCTTGCTATCATCATGAAAACCTCCAAACAAAGCCGACGAAAGCAAAATGTTTTTCTCTGAGATTTAGCAAAGCAGCCTAACAAATGTTGCTAATTTTTAAAGTGACACCAATGAACCAATGAAGTTTACAGGATTTTCCTAGGATTAAGTAAAGGCTTAAACATTCGCTGACTTTTCTCTACCTCTCTCCTCCTTTTTTTTTTTTTTTTTTTTTGAGATGGAGTCTCGCTTTGTCACCCAGGCTGGAGTACAGTGGCACGATCTCGGCTCACTGCAACCTCCACCTCCAGGGTTCAAGGGCCTCTCGATTTCAAGCAATTCTCAGGCCTCAGACTCCCGAGTAGCTGGGATTACAATTGTATGTCACCACGCCCAGCTAATTTTTGTACTTTTAGTAGAGATGGGGTTTCGCCATGTTGGCCAGGCTGGTCTCGAACTCCTGACCTCAATTGATCTTCCAGCCTCGGCCTCCCAATTCTTAATTGACCATTCTCACAAAGATAAGAGTAAGTAGAAGTCAACCTTAAATAAGAGCTTAGAAGACTTCAGATCTATGTACCAAAGAGAAAAGCAAATAAAACATTCTATTTTATTTTACCTTTCAGCATACATTCTGTATGCTGAAAGGTAAAAACATATGCTTGTAGAGGTGGCATTTTTCATTATCTGTAGTCATTTCTCACTGTGATAACATCTTTATAAAGCACTGATGCAAGTATACAGGATTTTGATCTTTATGGTAAATTACAAAGATTGCATATATAAAACAGAAGGCAGACAAAATGTGCACAGTCCAATCTTAACTCCTGAAACACTGATCTCAACATTTGTGGAATGTTTGCTATGTATAAGGCACTATTCTAATGTCTTTATATCTATTTTCTTATTCAGTCCTCACATTTTACAGATGAAGCCTAAAACATAGAACATAAATAGCTTCCCTAAGGGCTCAGCCAGTAATTTGTGGAGCAGGTCCCCAAATACATTTTCAACTAGTCTGAGTGAGAACTAACATTTATTAGAAATCTACTTATTCTGTAGCTCCACTAAGTGGTTTATATGCATTATCTAATTTAGTCTCCATACGAATATTCTAAGATTGGCATTATTGTCCCTATATTTTAGATGAGGAAACTGAGACTCAGAGGTGAAAAGTGATAAATAGTATATGATAGGGCTGGAATTTAAATCCAGTCTACCTATATACAACATGCTACCAGACACTAGAAATGATCACCAATAAAGATATATCCATTTAGTTTATGCCCTTCCCATATAATAAGGGTTACGTATTATGATATGAATATAATAATGAGCATTAGTTGTCAGAGATAAGCAAGTTAGTGACCTTCACTAATTACTAGCTGAAGGGTTTAGTGAGTTCTTATAATTTTATGTTACCTCGGCATCAACTTCGAATACAGGTTTAACTATCATATTATACCAGAAGCACAGCTTAGTCACCCTTGACACAGTTTCCAGTTCTACATCACATACAAATGGCTCAAGCTGGTGGCCAGAGATAAGAACTTAGAGGCATCTCCCCCGCTTAGAAGACTAGACTCCCAGCTTTCCCACCACTGCTTCCTTTAAAACGGATCATTCAGGCATTTGCCTACAAACTTAAAGTGACCCACACCCTATTTCCTTATATATACTACTATTTGGCCATGTGGTGTCTCCCTCTCTCTGCCTGACTCTTCATTCCTGCCTTCTGTGACCCAGGGACAGAGAACTGCCCACCCAACTCATTACGCCCTCTCTGCTGAGAATCTGTTTGTAAAAGCCTTTGAACTTATTTCCTATTGTGGTGGTACACCGAATTTGCACCTTCCATCAGAAGAATCAGGGGCTGCCGCAGGTCTGGTTTTCCCCAGGACTCTGAGGGGAATACAAGATCAGGCTCCCAGCATCAGAGTGATAGACAGGCACAAACAGGACACAGGTCAAACAAGAGCCACAGGGGTATCTGCTAGTATAAACAAGTTTTCCGTATAAGGGACCTCCTGGTCATAGGTTGGACAACTAGGCATTAGGCTATCTGCCAAGTAAAAGAAGTATCCTGTCAGAGGCACTCTATAAGCAGCACACGTCCAGCTTCCCTTTACATTTCGTTAGGGCAGGGTTGCTAGCCACTCTGGTACTGGAATCCCAATTTAGCTGAGAGCTCTCAAAACAAAGGGTCACTTGTTATCTAACAAGAGTGAGGAGAAAAAAAATCATGGGCATGAGTGACCAACTACCAAATAGCATTTCACTCACAATAATATGGAGTTGAGGGGTGTTGTGATCAGAGCTGTTTACTAGAAAAATTTAATGGGTAGTATTCATATGATAAATTAGATGAGTCAGGGATGTGGGACAAAGAAAATAATTAAGAGGGTTTTCATAATAGTTAAAAAGAGAAGTTGCAAGGGCCTCAACTACTGTGGTAGCCATGGGAATGGAAAGGAGCACATAGATGAGAGAAAAGTCTGATGAACAAGAGAAGTTGACGAAAGTAGAAAGCTTTAAAGATGGTGAACTCAAGGATTCTTAGCCGTTGAGCCACCATGACTGGGAGGTTGGTGAGGTTAAGGAAATCTAGAGAGAGGCTATTTTTATGAGCTTCATTTTGGACATGTAGAATTTGAAATACCAGCAAAGAGATGTCAGATAGGCAATTGTAAATTCAGTAGCTCTATTTAGGAGGGATATTGTATCTTCTGTTTAGAAGTGAGAACTTATTCATTTACTAAGCCCAGTTATATGCCATCCACTCTGCAAAGCACTGAAGAAACAAAAATGAATAAGACACAAAATCTCACCCTCAAAAGCTTGGAGACATGTGGCAGCTGGTCTCCAAGTTGGCCATAATTAATTTCTTTCCTCCATATATGTGTATACCATGCCTTCATTCCTCCCCTTCTGTTGTTCCTCCCCTTCTCTTACATAGAGACTGGCTTTTTAACTTGCTTTAACAATTGAAAGTGGGGGAAAATAATGTTTTAAGAGTTCTGCGGCTGGGTCATAGAAAGTCTCGCAACTTCTGTGTGGGCCGCTGGGAACCCTTGCTCTGGGAAAAGCCAGCTTCCATATAAGAAATCTGATTACTGTCATGCTATGAGAAGCCCAAGCTACATGGAAAAGTCCTAAAAATTAGACACCTTTTGAAGAAAGAGAAGCCAAGAAGCACCAAGACACTAGATATTTGTATAAAGAAGCCACCTTGTAAGTAGATCCTCTGACACCAGCTATCCAGACTTGTGCCATGTAGGTCAGAGTTGAACTACCCGGCTAAGCTCCTGGAAAGTTTCTGACCCACAAATTCATAAAATATACTATACTTACTTCAAATACTATGTTGTTATTGTTTTAGGTCATTGTAAACCATTAAGTTTTGAAATATTTTTTATGTAGCAATAACTAATCAGAACAGGATATGAGAACAAACTAGATGCCATAATGTACTTGGAGAGGTAGGCATGTGAAAATTCATAATGCTGTGTGATAAGTGTAATCTCTACCGGGGAGAAAATATGAAGAGAGAAGAAAAGGTGGCACAGAAGAGATCTTAATTTGAAGGAGAGCAAAAAGTATGTTTCTTTTTTGTTTGTTTGTTTTTTAGATTGAGTTTCACTCTTCTTGCCCAGGCTGGAGTGCAGTGGTGTGGTCTCGGCTCACTGCAACCTCTGCCTCCTAGGTTCAAGTGATTCTCCTGCCTCAGCCTCCCAAATAGCTGGGATTACAGGCATGTGCCACCACACCAGGCAAATTTTGTATTTTTAGTAGAGACAGGGTTTCACCATGTTGGCCAGGCTGGTCTTGAACTCCTGACCTCAGGTGATCCGCCCCTCTCGGTCTCCCAAAGTGCCAGGATTACAAGTGTGAGCCTCTGCGTCTGGCCAAAAAATTACAAACTATCATGAGTAGTTAAAGAGCAGATTTGATTATGGCAATTTAAGGGTGCGAATGCCATTTATGAGTTACATTTCCAGTCAATAACAATACAGTGGAAAGGTGTATACAATTTATGGCAATTTGAGGACAAATTAGATTTAAATCACTTTAATTATGCTTATATAGATTTAACTATCATGGAAGTCGTCTTTATTTTCCTGAAAGTATTTACAAATAGGTCGGTTCTGCTACATAAAACACTATATGATTAGTAATATAATTGCTTAGAAAATGATACACAGAGCAGGGTCAATAAACAGTACATCAATAGTACATATTAAAAAAGGAACAAGGACATCTTAGCTTCTATGTTCACTGTATGTTGGCATCTGAATCTTAACTTGTGACAAATCTAATAACACTTCATTATTTTCCACAAGTCCATTATTGGTTCCTTCTTAAGATAACAATGCAGTACAGTGTTTATGAGTATTTTAAATGTCAATCTTTATCCCTCAAAGATTATCTATGAATTTACTTTAATAAATCAGGGCACAATTTTCTGAGGAACACAAGTCTAAAAGAAAGGGCTTCTGTTAATATGGCATTTGTTTACAAGGAGCAAGGAAATGAATGCTTTGTAAAGCTACCCACAAACCTTTCTGGGATATTTTCTGTGTTAATAAATTTCATCTTTATGTGAAGGTTAAAATAAAGGTACAAAGCTACCTTTCTTGAAGAAAGAAGAGCCCCATCTGAGACTATTCAGTGGTGGGTTGGTAAAGTGCTACAGCCTTTTCGGGATACTGAAGATACAGATTAAGAGGTTTACTGAAAGATATTTAAGCTCTTTCCTATTCTTAATGATCAAGTCAATCAACCTTTAGCTTGGGGTTCCTTTATACACAAGGCCAAGAGATCTGAAGTAAGTGGTAATGTTATTAAGCCTACCATCGAAGATACATGTCTTACCTGAAATTTCTCTTGCCTCTATTTACTAGTCTATCAACTAATTCAGAAACTCTTTTTGGTTGATAGGAAGGTTCTCTTCTGTGTATCTGCCAATTCTTCTTTAAAGATCTCAATCATTTGTATCTCCCTATTCCCCTTTCCCGTTTGAATCCAGAAACCCCTGGGATTTCCCTGTCAGAAACCTGAGTCAAAGAAATTTAAGCCATATCAATAAAACCATACTGCACTTAGTGAAGAAAAATTAAGGGCATCTGTTTCAAGGGAAGACTGGGTTACCAAACTATGAAGCCATTTCTACTTCAGAGACACTAAGAATGTGTAGCTGGCTTCACTGCTAATCTGTGATAAGCCTATCTATCTTAGCCATCCTGTGAATTCAGAAGCCCTTAATCACTGCAGCATCTAGGATCTTCAATCAGGAAATGTCAAAGGAAGGAAGTAAAGGGAGTTGAATAGGGTTGACGAGGGAAACACATAAACACTGACATATACTGGTGAAGACAAAAGAGAAAAGAAAGTGAAAGAGGGAGCAGAGAAGATAGAAAAGTGTATTTCAAGGAAAAGTTTTGGTACAGCTAAGCAAGACAGCTTTTAATAAGAGAAAGGCCTTATATGTGTATATTTAGAATGCTATGAAACACCAAAAGCCAAATTCGAAGCTACCTATTTTCTACAGCAATCATCCATATTTATACAACTATAATTTGTTTATACTTATATAAGAAGTATCCAAATGGGAATGGCATCCTGTGGCATATTATATTATGACAGACAGTGCATAGTAATACTGTGATGTATATACAAAATGACACAAGATTAAACAAAACAAATGTTATTATTTAATATTATCATTCAATACCAGAAAACAGAAGTTTTTTTCTCTTGCTATGATAGTTCTCATTCCCTTCCAAAAAGGGACATTGTGCTCTATAAATAATGTAGGCTTTTTGTTGATGATCATTGTTTTGTTCCACAGATTTAAAAAAACACTAAGTATTTTTCTCTCAGTGAATCTTTCTAAATCATAAATTGAGTACCTGAATTTTAAGTTGAATTAACAAAATTGAATTAGACATTTAAAAGTGTCCCCTAGACCAAAGAATGGTATTATAATTGAAGAAATAATGTTTATAATCAAATTTGAGTAATAAATTGTCATCACACATTATTTTCCTCAGCACAAGCAATGAGTTTGTATACTTAATTGTAGGAAAGTAATCTCCTAATCATATTTTTCAGAAAATATTTTTATGAGTGTATTTCTTAAAAGTATAAGTAGTACAAAGAAAAGAGAAAATTTTCTGCTTCCCATATCTTCAGATGAAGTTAAAGAGATATAACATAGTAGAAAACATTCCGAATTCAGAAAATAATTTGTGGTTTTAGTTCCAGTTCTGTCCCAAACTAGTTGTTATCATGGGTAAATCATTTCTGTAGGCTTCAAATTTCTCCTCTGTAACTAGGTCATCTTAAGAGTTCTCAGCTTTGAATATGCTATACAATTATGAACACATTTACCAATTTTCCAAATAAGTTGGGGCATAAGTGCATGATTCAAGTTGGATCATTCCATTTGATTCACATTTATCTCATGGACTTATTTGGGTAAGAACTAGGAGTTCTGTGGCATCCTAGTCTACAAATAAGCTCATCATAATTCATCTAAAATGTAGAGGTAAGGAGATAGCCACAGGTGATCAATTTTGATTTTGTAATATTTTTTAATTTCAACTTAAAATGTGCTTATTATATTAAACCAAACATGCAAGGAATTTTGCAAAATTAGTAAAAATCACTCTTCAAACAAAATATTAGCAAGAGATCCAAGGGTAAAGCAACAGCCTCATATTTTAACCCCTCCTCATACATTGTTTTCCATACGTAGCAGGATTTTACAACAGTACTAATTACTAGATCCAATTTGACTAAATAAAACCAAACATCCACATTATCTGGTGCAAATTATCTTGTGTATTGCAGATGCATATCCAAAGCTGATGTTTGCAATTTTGAATAAGAAACACAAAGGAAACAATGCCATTTCCATTAAATGAGATGGAATACATAAAACACTCTTTGATTGTTAACTGATTGCCTTTTGTAAGTAGTGACCATCCACAGCAATAAAGAAGTCTTATTTCTCTGTGAGTATATTGACAAATAGCCACATCTAGGTGACACAAACTAAGTATCTGCAACTGCTAAAAACCACTGGAGATAATTAGTGGCTCTGCACCTTTAGTAAACAAACCATCTCTGACCATCTCAATCTGTTTCGGAAAATGCATTAATTTTGCTATTTTCAACTCTTTAAAAATATTTTATGATGATCGGCAATCCGAGGATGGGCTTTCCTTCTTATCTATGTTTGCTCATATGGCAAATGACCAGTCCAGGAATTTTTGCTGGTTTTGTTTCATTTCTGATAATCATTTCCTGAGAAGATGGCTGACACTTTTGTCCTATTTCCCTTAAAACAGTGGAAAAATTCAAAATAATGCTCTCTCCCAGCTCTTTCCCTGTTCCTTCGGTGAAATAACCCTGCATTGTACCTACTTCCCAGATTTACACTTCATCATTAAGGAAAAAATTTAGTACTTTCTTTTAGCCTAAGTTGGGTGAATCATGTAGCCTCTCTGAACTTCTGTAGCAGTATTTGTAAATTGGAGATCACAACAACAATAACAATAATAACACCTCACTGGCATATTTTGATGGTTACCGACAAAAATTCTTTGCTTGGTCAGATTCTAGTCAGGCTTCTGCACCTTTACCTAGGCCCATCTGTACTTCCTCATAAAATCCAGTTTTAGCAAAAAAACCCTTCTAAGCCAGCTTAGCAAGAACCCCTCACCTTCAATTTCTGATCACCCTGATAACTGATCCAGTTCCTCATCCTCCACCGTCCCTTAGGTGATGTCTGATCTCCCTGGCCTGTCTTCAGCAAAAGTCCTGTTAGGTTGGTTTAGCCAGAATCCCCCTTACCTCTGATGCTTCCTTGTAGTAATTTTCCATTCACTGACCCCCTCCCTGCACCTTGGCTATAAATTCTCACTTACCCATGCTGTATTCAGAGTTGAGCCCAATCTCTCTCCCCTACCGCAAGACCCCATTCAAGTGGTCCCTATACCTATTGCTATGGTCCTGAATAAACCTTTCCTTACCATGCTTTAACAAGTACCATTGAATGTTTTTTATTTAACATTATATAAGCTAATATTGTGAATTTTCTGTCACAGAATATGAACTAAAAACAGAGTCGTTGTTAATGGTAAGTCTGGAATGTCGTCCAAATTACATATCTTTTCCCACTAATAGAGATACTTTTACCAATAGATTATTGATTTTTCTCTCCCTCATTTCTTACCTGTCACTGTTGTGATAATTTTTTTCTCAATAAAGTCACAAAAATGTTGCTTATTTGCTAAGACACTAAATATATAATTACCATAAAAATATTAAGATATCATTGAAGACTGTTCGTGCATATATTATACACTTACATGTATTTTTTTTCAAATACATCCTATCTTCCCAACCTGACCAATAAAAAATTCAATAAGTATTTGTTTTCTCTTTTATTTTCATTCTGAATATAACACAATTTTGCTAGACAAATGCCTTCTAGCACTACTATCTGGACTAGACAATCTGCTCAATGGAGATAAATGGAAAGACTAGCCTTCTACATGAAATGGGAGAAACAGTATTTGTTCTTTTATCCCTTCCAGTTCTTTTTGAAACTTCCATATGTATATGTATGACAGCTGGCATGCACACTAACAGTTGCAAATATTTGTATTCTCAACCTTCATTCCATAACTTTTACAATTTTCACAAGCCCCCACATTTTAATATCATGGAATCCCTCTGAGAGTAGCTTTATCTTAAGCTGCATATATGCAGTTGGAATAATGTGCTATCTACTGAGACCAATATCTGTAGTGAAATTTTCATATAAACTGTTCTCACTGTTGCTGGGGAAATATATATGATACACTATTTTGTCATAAATTTGCTATTGCTCATGATGAAATTTTTTAGTGTTTCTCTATGACTATTAGAAAGTTAAACCCAAGACATTAAACAATTGTTCAGGGAATCTGATAAAGTTTTTTTAATCTATTAAGATAAAATATTTGAAAGATGACCCCTGAACCAAGATTTTAAACATGATTTTTCTCTTATAGCTAAATGGACATTTATCAAATGCTGATTAAGATGGCTTAAGAACAAGAAGAAAAATGATGAATGCCTCATGAAGAAAGATTGATTTTTTTCTTCCTATACTCCTGTTTCCTGTTCAATTGATGCCTTTGAATTTAAATTTTTTGCTTAGTCATCCTATCTATCAAGTTAGATGAATGAAATCAATACTCCTACAGCGAAAATTAGCTCACTAATATTTACATTTATTTTCTTCCTTTCTTTTCCTACTGCAATCTGTTACCATACTACATATCTTTCAAATGACTCTACAATGCTCTCTGCTTAACAATGAATCAATGGAATTTTAAATTATTTCCTTTGCACAGTTGAAATCTCTTATTAATGGCAATGCTGTAGGACAAAGAGAAAAACGAATATAAGAAGCTTTGAAGAGGAGTGATAGAGACAATATTAGTGGCTTATTGAAAAGAAATTAGAACAGACAGACTAGACTTTTAACAAATGATTGTATGCAATGACTATGTGATTGAACTTTTTTAAAGGTGATGCTACTGTTTCCAGAATAAATTCTTATGGTAGTAATTTATTTTCCTGACATTACAATTGGCTTTTGTGCCTGCAAATTGATATATCTTTGTAAGATTGTTTCCATTGACATTTTTTCCAAATTAAAATATAAATGCCTTTGCATGCTTTTCATATTTAACTTGTTCTCTTAATATAAAAAGTTGCATCCGGCCAGGCAGGGTGGGTCACGCTTGTAATCCCAGCACTTTGGGACGCCAATGTGGTAGATCACCTGAGGTCAGGAGTTTGAGACCAACCTGATTAACATGGTGATACTCCGTCTCTACTAAAAAAATACAAAATTAGCCGGGTGTTGTGGTGCGTGCCTGTAATCCCAGCTACTTGGGAGGCTGAGGCAGGAGACTCAATTGAACCCGAGAGGCGGAGGTTGCAGTGAGCTGAGATGGTGCCACTGCACTCCAGCCTGGGCAACAAGAGTAAAACTCTGTCTCAAAAAAAAAAAAAAACTTGCATTCAATTTTAAAATATTTGTGATACACCTGAAACCGAGATGACTTAAATACTGAAAGGAAAAATTCGGACATTTGGTTCTTTAATGGAATTTATTATCTCTAAGATTATAATTCCTGATATCAAAACCTTTTCCAGGGAAAAAGATAAATATACATTATTCATTCACATGCAGTAAATAAGTACAAATGAACAGTTATTTAATATTGCTTTAATAACTTTTTGAATATTAAATTTAAAGTTCCAAATGAGTCTAGTCTTTTATCTTAAAGATTTTAATCACTCTTTCATCATCTATGTGTATTATTTATAATACGGAAATGACCCTAATTTTTCCCATGGAAAACATTTTTTTTCTCATAAGTGTACTTAATTATGTTGTAAAATGCCACCCAAAAATTGGGTCAAGGGTGATTCTGACAGAGATATGGACCTCACCCTAATTTTTCTTTGGAAAACACTTCTTTTCTCTAAGTGTACTTAGGTATGGAGTAAAGTGTCACCTAAAAATTGGGTCAATGATGATTCTGACACTAACATACCAGCTAAATAATTATGCATTTTAAATAACCTTCGTTTATGATGGTAAAAAAGTTGCATTTTAAGTCTAAATATGCAATCCTGTGAAATTTAGGTATAACCCTGAGGACTTTCCAACTTGCATTGAATAAAGGGTCATAATAACATTAATGCTTAAATCCCACTAGCTTGTTTTTTGAGACAGAGTCTCGCTCTTTCCCCCAGAGCTGGAGTGCAGTGGCGTGAACTTGGCTCACTGAAACCTCCACCTCCTGGGTTCAAGCGATTCTCCTGCCTCAGCCTCCCGAGTAGCTGGGACTACAGGCAAGTGCCACCACACCTGGCTAACTTCTTTTTGTATTTTTAGTAGAGACGGGGTTTCACCGTGTTAGCCAGGATGGTCTCGATCTCCTGACCTCGTGATCCACTCGCCTCAGCCTCCCAAAGTGCTGGGATTACAGGTATGAGCTACCGCGCCTGGCCCCCACTAGCTTGTTACATTCACCTTCCTGTGGTTAGTTCTCCAGAACCCATCAACCCCTCCCCCAGCTGCCGCCTGGGGGTTCCTGGGAGTCTTCCCTCACCCTTCATCCACTTGGCAATTTTTTTCTTACGTTAATTTAAGTCTTATTGTTCAACTGCTTTATGGGCTAAAACCAAGAATGGTATCTTATCTTTGGCAATGCTGCCTCCCTGTGCTTTTCAAAGCTGTAAAACGTTTGAGGTACAAAAATATCACTTTGCTGCATTCAGGCCTGAGTTTTCTGGTGTCAGACTGGCCATGATGTATTTCAAGCAAAAATGGAGAAAATGCCTTTCTCTAGCCCTTTGGTATTTTCAGGTTGGTGTTCATGAAGTGCTCTGAGATCCTCTCGTGAGAAGGGTTGCTTCTATTTCTGCCTGCATTCTCTCTATCAATATGGCTCAAAACCATCCTCTCCATATTCCCAAAGACCCTCATATCTACTCAACTGCTTTATCCTTCAGGTAAAAGAGGGGTTAACAAAACAAAAGAAAATCTTCTCAAGGGCCCAACATAGTGTTGGAGCTCAGAAAGCAATACTCCAAAGACCGACACATTGACATTCTGAGAGGCCTTAAAAGCCACTTCAGCATCAAGGTCCTTCTAACAGTGTCTTGTACTCTCCCCAACCCCCCCACCTCCCCCCGCCCCCCCACCCACACACACACACACACACACTCCAAGCACAGGGAAGGACTCTCTGAAATTTCCTTATTTGGACCAAGAAAGTTTCTTTCCAAAATAAATTAAATTTCCTTAAGACCCTCTCCCTAGGAATCACGTCAAATAAACAAGAAAGAGAAGAGAAAAGACTGGGTGGCAGTCATCATCCTGGCCAGAAAGATTTTTCATCTTTTCTTCTGAGGGCAGCTCCCAGACATTGTCTAAAAAACTTTATCTGCATAATATGACAACCTTTGTTCCTGTGAACCACTGGCTGAGCATTGCCCCATTCCTTCCCCGATTCCCCCTCCCCTAAGAAGAGAAGCCTCAACCATCTGGCTCCTCTTTAAGTTCCTATTTTGTATGACTCATATGCACAAGTGTGCACATAATAGTAGTAAATTTGTTATGCTTTTCTTTTGTTAACCTGTTTTTTTTATAGGGGTGTTAGCCATGGACCTTTAAAATCGGGAGGAAAGGGATCACCCTCTTTCGAACTTTACAATAGTCATAGTTGTAATTTCAGTTATCCTGTAGCTGTAGCAACTACTACAGGTTCACTACTTATCCACAGTTTCAAAATTCAAAATGCTCTGAAACAGAGTTTTTCTGGATTTGGTACCCAATTTATCCATTTCAGCAAAACTTGAACTTAACTGACTGAAGTTATTTGATGTCATTATGTGGCCCATTTATTTTAAATATTTGGGTGTTTTACTGTAGATATTGATTTTATTATCATGAGGTACTGGTTCAGACTCATTTGAGCTGTTACTCAATATCAGTATATGCTCAATTTTACATTTCTAAAATTCAAAAATCTTCTGAATTACAAAATACATCTGCCCTCAAGAGATTGTGCACCTGCAAGCAAATGTATTTTGAAAATATAGGTGTACTTTTCTTGCAAGAAAGGATAAATATAACATGTGAAAAACAAGATAAATATAACAAGAAAACTACTGAAGGAGATGAAAAGAATCTCTAATATTTTTTCATTCATTTGCTCATTCATCTAAAAAATTGTATTAAATCTAATTAGGCAGTATCTAGCCTATAACACACTACAGATTCCCAGGGTAATATCCATACTAATTCACTGATTGTCATGATTCTTGATTATTTATTGTTGCTATTATTACAATTGATTGCCAAAGAACAAACTAATCATTGACCAATATACCAAAACTAGTCTTATTATAAATACCAGATATGTAATTGTTTTAAATGACTAGTACTGGATATGTAAACAAAATATCAACACACACATAAAAAGGCCTTCTGAACTGGCCTTTGATTCATTACAACATTTTTGAAAGTCACTTCAATTCAATGAAATTTTTAATTACCTTAGATTTGGTCACCTTATTAGGTCAAACTTATATCTCTATAGCATGCAATTTAATATTCTTTCTAATCCTCTGTTCACTAGAATTATTTCAAATATTACTTTTTTGAAATTTAAAGATTTTAAATCTTAAAAATGATCTAGGGAGTCCATCTTACAAGTGAATCTGGGAAATGTATCTGATAAGTCACTAGAAGTTCATATTTTTTTCAACACTGGATGACTTTAAGGGCTCTCTGCTTTACATTACTTCCCAGTCATCATATATGTGTTTATGAACATATCCTGAGGAATAGTTGAAAAAATTATTGTGGAGCATACACTGTCTTTTAATCGGCTAAAACAGTACTTCTTCAAACCAATACTAGTCCAGCTTATGTCTGTTGTGTGTGTCTGTGTGTGTGTGTGTGTGTGTGTGTGTGTGTGTGTGTGCTTTTTAAACCTTCCCCCAAATTCACATAGCATTGTTTAACTTTTCAATACTCTTTCTTATCCTTTACTTTACCTTACAATAATCAAAATCGTATAAAGTAATTAAAGCAGAAATGTTTTCTCCTTATTACAAATGAGAAAACAAAAGTTGAGGTAGGATGTTTTGCCTAAGGACATAAAGGCCTCAGTTGCAGAGAATGGATGGGCAGTACCTCACCATTGTTCTACACAACCCTTCTTCTCTTTGTCATCCAGTGACATTCCTGAAATTAGACTACAGTATAAATAAATATGATGTTTATAAATTACTTTTCTGCTTATAAAGTAATGACATTCCTTCACCTTAATATTAGTGTCAAAGGATGACTGTCCTATGACACTATTCAGTACTGCAGGCATTATCTCTTAATTAACCACCAGTTATATTTCTGCACCATTTTTATGTACTGTATTTTATTACCTCATTACTTTATTTTTATATTCATAATTGCTGATAAGTGCTGAACTTTTTTAACGTGAAAGTAAAATTTAGTTATTAAAAATTGATAAAATCTTCAAGGCAGAATGTTAGGTAATTGTTTCATTTGCAGTTTTCAGATAGATAACAGGGATCCAATTAAAATGTATATTACCTGTTGTAATTTAGAAATAGATCCTGTGATAGAGTATACCTACTAGGGTATAAGTAACGAACTGGGAGTCATGCTTGTGAATAGCACCAAATTAGAGAAGAACAGAATCTTCATTTTTCATTTTTTATAGAACTTGAAAATAACTTTTTAAAAAGTTTTATGAAATGGATGATTCATAAAAAAAGGTACCCATAAGAGTGGTAACATTATTAGCATTCTGTGAAAAAAACTAAAAATCCTGTGAAGATATATTTTCCTATATCGACAACATCTATATACACTGATTTTTTAAATCCTTATTCCTACAAGCATCTGCTTTCATGGTTTCTATTAGCAGATATAATTATGATGCCAATCATACTAGCAAAAATTCTGTACCCGGTAGCATGTTGGCACTTAAAGGGTCCCAAGGCTCTTTACACCAAAGGTGGACATCTTGGCATTATGCTAGTTGTTGTTGGAGTAAACTTGATGCTGCCTCTGCTCTCAAAGATCTTACAGTCAACTGTAAAAGAATGCAAAAAGTGATGTAAAATTAAGAGAAGAAACACAGTGATATAGACTGATCAGTAAAAGCCTTCATCAAAGAGGAGGAAGTAATGTTGAAATAAGCCTTGAAGGAAGGATAGAATTTCAATAGGTAAAGATGAGGAAACAGAATGAGCAAATGTACTAGAATGGAAAAGCAAAGATATGACAAAAATCCAGTTTGGCTATAGTGCAGGTTATATGCAGAAGGATGTAACTATACTTGAAAGCAGTAAAAAAAAATTATAGCAAAAAGTAGTAGTGAAAAAACTCAAAAATAATTACAAGGGAATTTTTGTTTATTGACAAAATGATTTCAAGGGCTCCTAGGAAATGATCATACAAAAATAGCAAATAAATGCCTGAAAAATCACACAATACACCTTTGTAATAAATCTGTCCATGGATACCCTGATTTTAAAATCGAAGGTTAAAAAAAAAGCTAAAAGGACCCCAGCAAATATGCCTCCATGTCTTGTCTAAATTTTACAAATCCATAAAAAGAACATTGATGGGTACTAACAACGTTAATCCAAAAAATCTGGTATGTAGTGTTTGCACTTTAAATAAACAACTCAAAATAAAGGTGATCATTCTTTCATGGAAAAAAAACACAAAATGCTAAAGTATACTATAAATGTAAAATAATTTTTAAAAGCGGTACTGGTACAATAATTTAAAGGCAGATTGATAGTAAAGAGTAATCTAATTCTGAAACAAAACCTAACATACATTGGAATTTAACATGTAAAAAGGGGATTCATAACAAACAATTGAGACATAATGCATCAGTACAAAAAATGCTGTTGTAGAGAATCAATATATTAAAAATTACACATTTTTATTGCATAAAATATATAAAAGTAAATTTACAGGTTAAAAAGTCAATTGTTAAAACATAAAACATTCAAAAGAAAATTGAAGTTAATATTAAACTATATAAGGAAGGCTTTTTCTAATAAAAACAATACAATAAATTACAAAACAAAGGATTTAAAATTTTAAATTTATAAATAATTAAACATCTGCATATTAACAGCATCATGAGAAAATCAAATGAGAAAAGGCAAGTTGGGCAAATATTTATATCTATGACTAAGATAGGATTTATATTGGTAATCTTCCTATTCTCTTCACCTATGCAAATCTTACTCATGTTTCAGAGTCTAAATCAAGTTCCACTTCATCTATGCTGCATTTCCTAAGTATCCCAGCCCTCAGTGATGTTCTAACCCTTACAGTGTATATCACACATTTTGGTACTTAATTATTCAGTGTCTTGCATAGTCTCTAATGCTATATGTGTATGCTTCTCTTGCAGATCAGATCATAAACTTCTTGAGGAAAGACCATGTTTTATAGGGTTTCTGTAACATCCATGTGCACTAAGCACATGGTAGGTGTGGAATAATTATTCATGTATCAATTGACTGGCTATTTCATCCTTCTCAAATATAGATCAGAAAATCATGAGGGGGCATCCATCATTTTCCCCCAAGTTTTCAAATAAAAGGAATTTCAATTCTTTTCATAAATGTAATAGAACTGTCAAAAGAGCATAAAATAAGCGATTTAAAGTGAAACATAATTTGTTTGGTAACAGTAAAAAATCACACATTGCTTTCTAAGATAGAAGATAATACAAAAAATATATATAGGTATTTGAAAAACCTCATCTGACCAACACAATTCAATCATGGCCTCTGTTTCCAGTTATTTTTTTTTCTGCTAGCCTGCCTACATGAATTTCTTTATTTATGTAAAGCTTCCCTTCCTTGATCATTGCATATTTCAGCTATGGGCAGTGATGGACTTCCTTTGATAGCCAATTATTCAAAAGCAATGTCAAACCCAAAGTTTCTTTTTTCTTCCTAGAATCACGTAGTGATTTCAACTTTCTAATAAATAGTATAAGTTTTCTATCTTCTCTCTCCTTTGATTCCCAATTCTTGGATATATAAGTCAGCAGTAATATTAGTTCCCTCATGATTAAAAGAAACCACTCTGTCTTGCTATGCAATAATGATTCAGGCCTATGGATCACATGCATCCTTATCCCACATGTATTCTCACCATCATGCCCATCTTCTTCCTCCCCATTATCTTTGTTCTTCGATGCCTATACTCTACTCTAGATTGAGGAATAAGCAAGTTTAACTTTGGCTTTTAGATCTACTCCCAATATTCACTAGTTTCATGGTACCAGTAAAAAACCAGTCTTAATTTTCTAGGCTATTATTTCAGCACTTGGGAAACCACAGTAAAGACTCTGTGACTAAGACATTGGATATGAGATAAACAAGACTTTCTTTTCACAGTGCATAAAACTCAACACACAGTGGGCCTGAGTATAGATATAAAATGTCTCTAGATAGATGTAAAATGGATGCTGTGCTGGTTACTATCCTTTGTTCCCCACTTCACAACCACCACCAATATCCATATTCCTTTCTTTCTTTCTTTTTTTTTTTTTTTTTTTTGAACCGGAGTCTCGAGTCTTGCTCTGTTGCCAGGCTGGAATGCAGTGGCATAATCTCAGCTCAATGCAACCTCCGCCTCCCAGATTTAAGCAATCCTCCTGCCTCAGCCTCCCAAGTAGCTGGAACTACAGGAGCACGCCACCACACCTGGCAAATATTTTGTATGTTTAGTAGAGATGGGTTTTCACCATGTTGGCCAGGCTGATCTCGAACCCCTGTCCTTAGGTGATCCACCTGCCTCGGCCTCCCAGCGTGCTGGGATTACAGGCGTGAGCCACCACGCCCAGCCTCTTCTCTTTCTATGTTCCCTGGGAGGCTGACTTCTGGAATCCTCCCTTGCCAGCTGACTTTCCATTAAGTTAGGCAAACAGGAGGCACCAGCAGGACATTTTAGGTTAAAAAAACAAAAAGATTAGAGTACTTTTTCCCCAAGCCCTCCTTACTTTAGTACCTTGTCCCCGGTGGTACTTGAGCTCCTTGGTTGATTACAGTTCCTGCCAGGCAGTCTCTCCTGTGATTCCCACTTTCACTCATTTGTTATAATCCCTTCAAGATTAGTGGTGATAACAACTTCTAACTGTTGCTAGTTTCTCAATGACTCACACCTATCCATTAATGACTCTTCACTTGAACCAGCTGGAGTGTATTATTTCCTGCTGAGACCCTGACTGATACAACTCCAAACCCCACAGAATTTGACTCTAATTTGCTTCAGTTTATTATCAAATCTAAAGAATATCAGAAGGTTGTGGGGAATGGTGTCTTTGAAACAGACAAAGGAGCATCGCAGAGGCAAAAGTTGACAGAGTCTATATAAAGCATTGTGCAGGAAATAAAGAGCCTTGAATGATAATCTTTGAATATTTACAGTTATCTCTAGTGTGAAAATAGAGGCAGGGTCTTGCTGCCAACAGAGTCAAGAATTTTAGTACAAATGATAAGATCAATTTTATTGTGATTATCTATCTTAGCTTGATAACATGAAAAATGTATTTTGTTATGTTTATTTAAGTTTTAATTTTTATGGGTGCACAGAAGGTGTATTGATATATTTTTGGGGTACATAAGATATTTTGATACAGGTATTAAAAGTGTAATAATCACATCAGGGTAAATGAGGTATCCATCATCTCAAGCATTTATCATTTCTTTTTGTTACAAATATACCAATTATACTCATTTAGTTTTTTTAAATAGCATGGAAAATTTAATATATCATATGTCCCTTGCTTTGATTCTATGCTCACCAAGCACCTTTCTGACTATAACTTGGGTTCCATATATGTGCCTAGAGAGAGGAAATATACTGGTCAGGCAGATTTTAAATATTTCACCAACCGTGATTTTTTTATTTTTTAATCACTGGGAACTAACAAACAGCCATTATGTTTTCGTTGCTATGATTTGGCTAAATGCAAGTGCTCTCTTGAGAAATTTGTCTCCTTTAGGTGTGTTACTAATATCAAGCTTCTGAAGGCAAGGCCCTGGACTTTCTACATTTCTACCTGTGACTCGCTTTTATTATTTGAAATTCTGCACTGTAATATCTAACATGTTTAAGAACACTTAGAAGAATATGGGCCACTAGCCTAGGGGAAGCAATCTCATACCAGACCTGCTTCTTGGCAGGGCCTTGGAAGTGAATCTTGGTAAAGGTCTTGCAGAAATTTATCTGCGTGCCAAAAAGTACCTACCTGATTGTCCAGAAAGCAAATGGACTAGAACTATTACTTTTCAGCCACTAAATGCTGTTTGGGGATCTGAAAAGAATGTCTCTCGGTACCATGCAGAGTATTTTTACAGTCAAAAACACATTTTTAAAGCTACCATACTGTCCATGACAAAACATCGTAATTATGTATATTCTGACCTGCTCTCCAACTTTCTCTAAGATCCTGAGTATTGGGTGCTTGCCATAAACACTGGTATTTGTGATTATGGTACATGTTTATACCAGTCTTGCCCATTTACAATTACTTCGTCAGAGAGTTTGTGACATTTCATGCCAATATGTTAGTTAAAATATAATTCAGATGGATGTTTCTGAGTATTCTGTGGGTGTTCAGAAGAATAAAGAGACAGACAATCAGTTTCTGTTGTATAATCACCTCACTCTCAGACATGCTGTTTCTGTTGGAATTCTTTATTATGGATGGAAATTGATTCTGCAATGTTCAAAGCAACATCTCTCCATGTTCCCCCCCAAAACCCACAAACTCAAAGTTTCAAACCAAAAACTTAATATTAAATACATTTATTTAACAAATATAATAACCTGTTTTTCCACAGGGCAGCATGTATGGCTACAATAAGAATGAAAAGCTTTTGAGTATCAAAAGGCTTCTCCAAAATCAGTTGTGATGAATTAGGAATATGTGAATCATCAACTTCTGATTAAATTTCTCCTAAGCATGTGGCATACACCTAACAAGAAAATAAAATTAGAAAATGCTTGCAAAATAATGCTTTGGTTTTTATTTAATAACCCTGGTTCTTCGGAAGAGTTACAGAAGTCATTGACAACACAGAAAGGCACTTTACTTTTTTTCAGAATTATGTGGGAATGTTTAAGAAATTGGCTGGTAAACCATCATTCTCCTATACTGCACATGGAGGAGACATATCATTTATTCCTTTTTCTATGTCTGTCTTTTCTCTTACCCAGTTTGCTTCTGTGGAATTTCTAATGATCCTCTAATAACAATAATAACAGCTATAGTAGTGGTGGCAGCAACAGCAGTTATCATTTATGTATCGACTACATACTACGCACTTAGCATTTTGCTAAGCCCTTTACAATGATAAAATGGTTCCCTCTCTCCTTAATACTTTGCAGCTGGTACTGGTATTTCTCCCATTTTACAGATGAGGAAAATGAAGATGAAGAGAGGTTAAATAACTTGCCCTAATAAGCTGCTGCTGTTATATTCAAACCTAGTTACATTTGGTTATGGGAGCTATGCACTTAAACACTATATAATAATGTCTCACAAAGATGAGATCAGTGAAATTACCCTGATCTCTGGGTGATTATGTAATTGGAAGGTATGTAATCTTCTCAATGTTTATACATGCTTATCATTTGCTCAAAGTCTATGAAACTGTAACCAAAATGAGCAACATTGAGCATTGTGCTCAGATTTAGTAAAAATTCTTAATAAAACAAGAGACAGCCAGCTTATCAGCTAAATCATTAATTAGGTAGCATATGTCATGGTCAGATCGCTTAAATATTCATAAATATAATTTATTTTAATAGATGATATTAAATCATTCAATAATAAATTCCCATATTGCTGTTTGTCTTAGTCCAGCAGTCCCCAACCTTTTTGGAACCAGGGACAAGTTTTGTGGAAGACAATTTTTCCACGGACTGAGGGGGTGATAGTTTGGGGATGATTCAAGCACATTACATTTATCATTAGACTCTCATAAGGAGTGTGCAACCTAGGCCCCTCACATGCACAGTTCACAATAGCGTTCACACTCCTAAGAGAATCTAATGCCACTGCTGATCTGACAAGAGGTTGAGCTCAGGTCGTAATGCTCACTCGCCCACTACTCACCTCCTGCCTTGTGGCCTGATTCCTAACAGGCCACGGACCAGTACTGGTCTGTGGCCCAGAGGTTGGAAACCCCTGTCTTAGTCCATTCAGGTTGCCAGGACAGAATACCATAGAGTGAGTGGCTTACGAACAACAGAAATTCATTTATTACATTCTGGAGACTGGGAAGTCCAAGATCTTGGTGCCAGCAGACTGGTGTCTGGTGAGGGCCTGTTTCCTAGATATTTGTCTTTTCTTTGTAACCTCACATGGCAGTAAGGGACAAGGGGTCTCTTTCTTGCCTTTTTTACACAGGCACTAATCCTATTCATGAGGGCACTGCTCCCATGACCTAATCACCTCCAAAAGACCCCACCTCCTATACCATCACTTGGGGGATTAGGATTTCAACACATGAATTTTAGAGAGACAGAAACATTCCACCCATTGCACAGCATTTGTGGAATTCATGTTAGGATTTATCTATTACAAGGAGATCATCATATTCTATAAGTCACAGAAGCTAGGAAGATGCATTTTCTAAATAGAATGTACTCCTAAATTGTGACATAGAACTCAAGAGTGGAAATAAATGATGCATATGTTGCCATAAGATATTAAAAAGCAGATCTGAAAAAACAAATGGAGAATAGGAGGCAGGACTAACTTGCACCTCCCACTTGGATGGACAGAGTAGCGTGTGAAGACTCATATTGTGAACTTTTGCTCCAGGAACTACCTCAGGAACATAACAGTAAAGCTGAAAGAATCCAAAGACCTTTTGAAGGAACTGGCTTGTCACTGTAGCTCTGCCAGACAGCCAAAAAACTGAGAGTGCCCAAAGTGTGTAAGGGGGAAAGTTCTGCCCCCAAACACACATCCTCACTGGGAAACCTTAAAATACAGATCACGAGAAGAATTTAACTGTAACTAGAGCTGAGATAAATTTAGAGAGCCACAGAAAATATAGAGGTAGAGGTGGCAGCAGGAAGAGCCCTGTGGGTACTCTCGGTCCCCAGGGAAGTCATTTCTGACCTTGTCTCACAGGGGACCTTGGGGAGCCCTGCCAGTGGAATTGGGGAAAGACTGCAGGAAGAAGGAAACTTCCAACCGAACATTGTAACAATTTTGACAAAATAAGTAGTTTCCTGGACAGAATCTGGGGTAGGGTGCAAACAGGTAGTGCAGATACCAGCACAGAATCCACAGCAGGCAGGGAGGTGCGAAACCTGAAAGCCCTGCTTGCTTTCTCATTGGGGAGGCTTGTAGCCTGCAAGAAGTTCTCAGCCCTGCTCATTGGCTGCCTGGAACTAAACTAGTGCTATTGGTGGCGGGCGGGGGCGGGTACAATGAGAGTGAGACTGGCCTTTCTGGCTGTGTAGAAGCTGCGTGAGGCCTGTCACTGCCAGCTATTCTCCACTTCCCTGGGAGCCTATATGACATAGCAGAGGAAGATGTAATCCCCCCAACAGCAGCCGCAACAGGCCCCTCCCAAGGAGATTCTGAGTTCAGACACACCTAACCCTGGGCCCACCTGATGTCTTTCTCTGCTCATCCTGATATCTGAAGACAAAGGACATCTCTCCGGAGCTATGTGGCTCTGCCCACTGCCTGAGAAACCCAAATACTTATCCAGGCGACTCTACGGCAAGCTTGTATCCTCCCTATATTACCTCAACTGTTGCTCTCCTGCAAGTGCCACCTCCTGGCTGGAGGCCAACCAACACAAAACCAGCACACTAAACAAAACTGTAACCAAGAACCCTATCAGAGTCCACTTCACTACCCTGCTACTCCCACCAAAGCAGGTGCTGGTACCAACAGCTGAGAGACTTGAAGATGAATCACATCACAGGACTTTTGGCACACACTCCCCAGTACCAGCCCAAAGACCTGTAGCTCTGCTGGGTAGCTAGACCCAAAAGAGAAACAACAATCACTGCAGTTCACCTCTCAGGAATCCCCATCTCTAGGGGAAAGGGCAGAACACCACGTGGGACAAACAAATCTGAACAGCAGCCCTTGAATCCCAGATATTCCTGCTGGCATAGTCTACACAAATAAGAAGGAACCAAAGAAAATTCTGGTAATATGACAAAACAAGGCTTTTTCGCACCCCAAAAAGAACACACTAGCTCACCAGCAATGGATCCAAACCAAGGAGAAATCTCTGAATAGCCAGAACAAGAATTCAGAAGGTTGATTATTAAGCTAATCAAGGAGCACCAGACAAAGGTGAAGTCCAACTTAAAGAAATCAAAACATGATACAGAATATGAAAGGAAAATTGTTCAGTGAAGTAGAAAGTATAAATAAAAAACAATCACAATTTCTGGAAATCAAGGACACACTTAGAGCAATGCAAAATGCACTGGAAATCCTCAAAAATAGAATCAAACAAGTAAAAGAAAGAACTTTAGAGCTCAAAGACAAGGCTTTTAAATTAACCGAATCCATCAAAGAAGAAACAAAGAATTTAAAAAATGAACAAAGCTTTCAAGAAGTTGGGGATTATGTTAAACAAACAAACCTAAGAATAATTGGTGTTTCCTAGTAAGAAGAGAAATCTAAAAGTTTGGAAAACATATTTGAGGGAATAATTGAGGAAAATTCCCAGGCCTTGCTAGAGATCTAGACATCCAATTACAAAAAGCTCAAAGAACACCTGGAAAATCAATCCCAAAAAGATAAACACCTAGGCACATAGTCATCAGGTTGTCTAAAAAAAAAAGACAAAAGAAAGAATCTTAAGAGCTGTAAGACAAAAGCATCAGGTAACCTACAAAGGAAAACCTATCAGGTTAGCAGCAGATTTCTCAGCAGAAACCCTACAAGCTAGAAAGATTTGTGGTGCTATCATTAGCCTCCTTAAACAAAACAATTATTAGACAAGAATTTTTCATCCAGCCAAATTAAGCTTCAAAAATGAAGAAAATATAGTTTTTTTTTTCAGAAAAACAAATGCAGAGAGAATACGCCACTAACATGCCAGTAATACAAGAACTGCTAAAAGGAGCTCTAAATAGTGAAACAAATCCACAAAATATACCAAAATAGAACCTCCTTAAAGCATAAACCTCACAGGACCTATATAACCATAACACAATGAAAAAATACGAGGTATTCAGGCAACAAAGCACAAGGAATAGAATAGTACCTTGCATCTCTCTACTAACATTGAATGTAAATGGCTTAAATGCTTCACTTAAAAGATACAGAATGGCAGAATGGATTAAGAAATGCAAATCAAAACCACAATGAGACACCATCTCACGCCAGTTAGAATGGTGATCATTAAAAAGTCAGGAAGCAACAGATGCTGGAGAGGATGTGGAGAAATGGGAATGCTTTTACACTGTTGGTGGGAGTGTAAGTTAGTTCAACCATTGTGGAAGACAATGTGGCGATTCCTCAAGGATCTAGAACCAGAAATACCATTTGATCCAGCAATCCCATTACTGGGTATATACCCAAAGGATTATAAATCATTTTACTATAAAGACATATGCACACATATGTTTATTGCAGCACTGTTCACAATAGCAAAGACTTGGAACCAACCAAAATGTCCATCAATAATAGACTGGATTAATAAAATGTGGCACATATACACCATGGAATACTATGCAGCCATAAAAAAGGATGAGTTCATGTCCTTTGCAGGGACATGGATAAAGCTGGAAATCATCATTCTCAGCAACTAACACAGGAAAAGAAAACCAAATAACCAAACACTGCATGTTTTCACTCATAAGTGGGGGTTGAACAATGAGAGCACATGGACACAGGGAGGGGAACATCACACACCAGGGCCTGTCAGGGGGTAGGGGGATAGAGGAGGGATAGCATTAGGAGAAATACCTAATGTAGATGATGGGTTGATGGGTGCAGCAAACCACCATGGCACACATACCTATGTAACAAACCTGCACGTTCTGCACATGTATCCCAGAACTTAAAGTATAATTTTTAAAAAAAGAAAAGAAAAGAATTTACTAACCAAGTTTCTGCTGTCCTCAGGAGACTCACTGAACACATAAGGACTCACATAAACTTAAAGTAAAGGAGTGAAAAAAGATATTCCATGCAAATGGATACCAAAAATGAGCAGGAGTAACTCTTCTTACATCAGACAAAACAGACTTTAAAGCAACAGTGGGCAAAAAAGGCAAAGGGGGACATTATATAATGATAAAAGGACAAGTCCCACAGAAAATATCACAATAATAAATATATATGCACCTAACAGTGGAGCTCCCAAATTTATGAAACAATTACTACTGGACCTAAGAAATGAAATAGATGGTAACACAATAGTAGTGGGGAACTTTAATACTCCACTGACAGTACTAGACAGGTCATCAAGACAGAAAGTCAACAAAGAAACAATGGACTTAAACTATACCCTAAAACAAATGGACTTAACAGATATTTACAGAACATTCTACCCAACAACTGCAGAATTTACATTCTGTTCATCAGCACATGGACCATGCTCCAAGGTAGACCATACAATAGGCCACAAAACAAGTATCAGTAAATTTAAGAAAATCACAACTATATCAAGTACTCTCTCAGAACATAGGGAAATAATATTGAAAATCAACACCAAAAGAAACTCTCAAAGCCATGAAAATACAGAGAAATTAAATAACCTGATCTTACATGATTGTTGGGTCAAAAATGAAATCAAGATGGAAATATAAAAATTATTTGAATTGAACAATAATAGTGACACAACCTAACATATCTTCTAGGACACAGCAAAAGTGGTGCTACAAGGAAAGTTCATAGCATTAAATGCCTACATCAAAAAGTCTGAAAGAGCACAAATAGACAATCTAAGGCTGCAACTCAAGAAACTAGAAAAACAACAATCCAAACCCAAACCTAGCAGAAGAAAAGAAATAACAAAGGTCAAAGCAGACCTAAGTGAAATTGACACACACAAAAAAATACAAAAGATAAATGAACAAAAAACTGGGTCTTTGAAAAGATAAACAAAATTGATAGAACATTAGACAGATTAACCAAGAAAAGAAAAGAGAAGATCCAAATAAGCTCAATTAGAAATGAAACAGGAGCTATTTCAACCAGTGCCACAGAAATACAAAAGATTATTCAAAGCTATTATGAACACCTGTATGTGCACAAACTAGAAAACCTAAAGGAGATGCATAGAATCCTGGAAATATACAACCCTCCTAGATTAAACCAGGAAAAAGCAGAAATTTTGAACAGAACAATAAAAAGCAGTGACATGGAAATGGTCATTTAAAAATTGCCAAAAAAAAAAAAAAAAATGTCCAGGGCCAGACAGACTCACAGCTGAATTCTATCAGACATCCAAGGAAGAATTGGTACCAATTCTGTTGACACTATTCCAAAAGATAGAGAAAGAGGGAATCCTCCCTAAATCATTCTTTGAAGCCAGTATCACCCCAATACCAAACCAGTAAAACACATAACAAAAAAAGAAAACTACAGACAAATATCCCTGATGAATATAGATGCAAAAATCCTCAACAAAATACTAGCCAACCAAATACAACACCATATCCAAAAGATAATCCACCATGATCAAGTGAGTTTTTTACCAGGGATGCAGGGATGGTTTAACATACATATGTCTATAAATGTAATACACCACATAAACAGAATTAAAATAAAAACCACACGATAATCTAAATAGACACAGAAAAAGCATTTGACAAAATCCAGCATCGCTTTGTGATTAAAACCCTCAGCAAAATCGGCGTAGAAGGGACATAACTTAAGGTAATAAAAGCCATCTATGACAAACTAACAGCCACATTACACTGAATAAAAAAAAGTTAAAAGCATTCGCCCTGAGAACTGGAACAAAACAAGGATGCCTACTTTCACCACTTCTGTTCAACATAATGCTGGAAGTCCCAGCCAGAGCAATCAGACAAGAGAAAGAAACAAAGTCATCCAAATTAGTAAATAGGAAGTCAAACTGTCGTTGTTTGCCGATCATAATTGTATACCTAGAAAGCCCTAAAGACATCGAAAAATCTCCCAGAACTGGTACGTGAATTCAGTAAACTTACAGGAAACAAAGTCAATGCAAACAAATCAGGGGCACTGCTATATGCCAACAGTGACCAAACTGAGAATAAAGTAAAAAACTCAACCCATTTCGCAAAAGCTGCAAAAAAGTAAAGTACTTAGGAATGTACCTAACAAAGCACGTGAAAGACCTCCACAAGGAAAACTACAAAACACTACTTAAATAAATCATAGACGACAAAAACAGGTGGAAACACATCCCATACTCATGGATGGGTAGAATCAATATTGTGAAAAGGACCATACTGCCAAAAGCAATCTACAAATTCAATGCAATTCCCATCAATATATCACCATAATTCTTTACAGAACTAGAAAAAAATTCTAAAATTCATATGGAACCAAAAAGGAGCCCGCATACCCAAAGCAAGATGAAGCAAGAAGAACAAATCTGGAGGTATCACATTATCTGACTTGAAACTATATTATAAGACCATGGTCAACAAAACAGCATTATACTGGTATAAAAATATGCACATAGACAAATGGAATAGGGTAGAGATCCCAGAAATAAAGCCAAATGCTTACAGCCAACTGATCTTTAATAAAGCAAACAAAAACATAAAGTGGGGAAAGGACACCCTATTCAACAGATGGTGCTGGGATAATTGGCAAGCCACATGTAGAAGAATGAAACTGGATCCTCATCTCTCACCCTATACAAAAATCAACTCAAGATGGATCAAGGACTTAAATCTAAGATCTGAAACTTTAAAAATTCCAGAAAATAACATCGGAAAACCCCTTCTAGACACTGGCTTAGGCAAAGACTTCATGACCAAGAACCCAAAAGCAAATGCAACAAAGCAAAGATAAATAAATGAGACTTGATTAAACTAAAAAAGTATCTCACAGCAAAAGGAGGAATCAGCTGAGTAAACAGTCAACACACAGAGTGGGAGAAAATCTTCACAATCTACACATTGGACAAAAGACTAATATCTACAATCTACAAGGAATTCAAACAAATCAGCAAGAACAAAACAATCACATCAAAAATTGTGCTAAGGACGTGAATAGACAATTCTCAAAAGAAGATATACAAATGGCCAACAAACATATGAAAAAATGCTCCACATAACTAATGATCAGGAAAATGTAAATCAAAACCACAATGCGATACCACCTTACTCCTGCAAGAATGGCCATAATCAAAACCTTAAAAAAAATAATAGATGTTAGCCTAGATGCAGTGAAAAAGGAACACTTCTACACTGCTGGTGGGAATCTAAACTAGTACAACCAGTATGGAAAACAGCGTGGAGATTCCTTAAACAGCTAAAAGTAGATCTACAATTTGATTAAGCAATCCCACTACTGGGTATCTACCCAGAGGAAAAAAAAGTCATTCTATGAAAAAGCAACGAGTAGATAGATAAATTACTATTTATTATTTATTACACTTTCGTATAAAGTCATTATATGAAAAAGCAACGAGTAGATAAATCAAATACTATTCAGCCATAATAAGGAATGAATAATGGCATTGGCAGCAACCTGGATGGAACTGAAGACTATTTTTCTAAGTGAAGTAACTCAGGAATGGAAAACCAACCATGGTATGTTCTCACTCATAAGTGGGAGCTAAGCTATGAGGATGCAAAGACATAAGAATGATACAACAGAATTTGGGGAATCAGGGGAAATGGTAAGAGGGGTATGAGGAATAAAAGACTACAAATATGGTACAGTGTATACTGCTCGGTTGATGGGTGCACCAAAATCTCACAAATCACCACTAAAGAACTTACCCATGTAATCAAATACCACCTGTTCCCACAATCCTATGGAAATAATTTGTTTAAAACTGTTAAAATAAAAAAATAAAATGCAAAAAAGATATTAAAGAGCAGAATAACTTATAGAAAACACTAGAAAATGGAACCTCTGTATTCCTAATGCTTGTTTAAATGTACCCAGTTCTATAATCTCAGATGAATCACTTATCTTTTCTGGGTCTCCAATTTTTCATCCATCCAATGTATTACTATAATATCTCTGCTTTTCCCTTCCCTGCTCTGACTTTCTTAAAATCCCATTCATTTTGGATATCTCGTGAGCTGCTTGTATGGCATTATAGATAAGTAAGAATGCTTGTCCTTTAAATTCTTACTTGGTCCACTCCAGTATGTAAGAGGAAGTAGTATATGTGGTTTATACAGAAACAGAAATGACTTTGTAAACAAATATTTACAATAATTTCCCAGCCAGAAAATGAGTATGGTTTATGACAAGAGCATAATCATCAAGGGACAGAAATCAATTGATGGAGAATGAAAAACTCCAGTCAGGAATGTTTTGCCAACTCTCTGGATTGCAAGCAATGGGCTTAAAACAAACTCAAAAGAAATGAAGAAATCCCATCTGACATCTAGTTCAGACTTTATTACTGAACACTTTTCACTTAGAATATTTACATGCGAATTCCAGACTACAGTTTCCTTCTGGTTATGGATTCTGGTTATTTCCCAATTTATCATTAGCAGCTCTAATAAAGCCAACCCTAGAGTCTTCAGTAGATGTTAAACTCACCACTCTTATGTGAGTTGGCATCATGGGCCTGGCCATGTTCTAAACTGAGATACACAATTGGCATCTTGAACTTGCTATGCCAATCAGCAAGTCTCCTGTGGGCAAATTTCAAGCCAGGTAGGTTCCATTTTTTTCACTTAAGAAAAATATTTAATTATTAATAGTTTTCAAATTAATTTGTTGGCAGGAAACTGAAACTCTTAGAAAGGGAAGACATGATAGGAGTCTTTCTCTTTTTTATGTTAGTGCAAGTCATATCCTGCATACTATCCTCTCTTGCTCAGTGTTGCCATTAGGCTTCTGCTTAGACCACATTTTCCCATAGAACTAGTACAAATACTTCCATATTAACAGAGACTGGGGAGCAGCTCACTACCCTTCTAATTGCTAAGCACTCTCTAAGATTACATTTCCTGAAGGCAGAAACCTTGCTATGGTGGTGTGGAACTGACAAGAATAAAGGGATTCTTGTTAAAGGAGGAGTAAAGACATTAAGTGCTGAAACCTTAAAGTTCCAAATGGAATTCCTTAATGCAAGAGATTAAAAGATGACTCAAATTCTATTTGAACAACACAATCTTCTTCACTTAAAAGTGACATATATTTTTTCCTAGAGAATCTGCATGTGTCTATGTGTACAGGTGCAAAAATGTGTACATAACTCAGTATGATACATCAAAATAAAATTAATCATAGATTAATTAGGCAATGAATTACCTTACAAATAAAATTGTGTTGATTTAAACCTACCCATATACACAAATACTGAAAATTTTACCCTACCATTATAACCCATTTTTCTACAATTATTTGGCACATTTCTTTGAAGTAAATGTGCCAAATAATAAATATAAATGTAAATGTAATATATAAATACAAATGTAAGGACAACAATGTACATTAATGACATATTGCTATTTATATCATTCTCCTGAATATATTTTCCAGAACTCCAGTAGGTATTTAATTATAATATTTCCATATTATGATTCAAAGTACCTTACACAAATCAGTTGCTACAGCCTTCATAGCTAAAGACCGTCATGAAGGATGGTTGAGACATATGTCTCTTTGAGTTAACTTTCTTGGGATTTTGATATTTGCATTGGAGTATTACCCCCCAATGTTTCTGATCTGTATAAAGCTAATTATGTGCTACTATTAAAGCAGATTGCAAGAGACATTGACAGTTGGAAAGGCCTAATGACCAGCTGGATGGGAAAATTTTATGTTGTCAAAATGGTAAGTTTGCCAGGAATTTTACATACCATTTATTTGCTACAAACATGAATACCTAAGCCTTGTTTTAAGATAAACTTAGCCTGCAAAATAATCACATTTTGAGTATGAAAAAAACTCAAAGGCTAAGAGGTATGTTCCATATTTTGAGACTGTAATCCTTCACTATCTAAATTCATGTTGAATTTATAGACTTTATTTTTTGCCTCAAACTTATAAAAATATAATGTATACAAATAAGAAAAGACATCCTCTAATATATTCAATGTCTATAAAATTTTAAAAAATAAGCTAATAATTCAGGGAGCAAATTCAAACCAGTTACATGATGTCTTTTAGAATCCCCTGCATCCAATTGTTTGAGGAAACATTTCACTTTACAACTAGTTGTGTCAACACAATAATAATACCATTCCTACAGTACCTTTCATTTTAAGTATTTTTTTGGACATTATCTCATTTGTTCCTCATAATAATTCAGTGATGTAAGATTTCCAGTCCTAGACTCTTTCCATTGATATCAGAATGCATTAGTAGGGAGAAAAACAACCACTTAATATCGTCTCCTCTTTAATATGCTGCTATTAAAACACAGTGACATATTAAAATTTTCAACTTTTTCTCCTTAATCCCTCAATCTCATTGCATTCTTCTTAGACATAAGAGCAGCTGACAACTGCCTCATCTTTCCATCAACGATTTTACCAACATACCTGCATATGTTCCCATATAATGACAATAGCAGCAACAGCAACAATGGCTGGCATTTATTGAGGACTAGTTGCATGCCAAGCACTACTTTATACACTTTACCCATTTCAACTTATTTAATACTCATGATAACCCTACAAGCTATGTGCTATTATTTCATCTCCATGTTAGAGATGAGGAAATGAAAGCATTTTTCCAAGGAAGAACACACACACACACACACACACACACACACACGTGGCAAACACAGCAAATACATGGTCTAAACCCAGGAAGCCTGCACCCCATACTCCACTGCATTGCTGCTGTTATAAAATAAAAAGTGTCTCCTACAAATGTATTCACTTGTGCCTTAAATATTTCATTCCTTCTCACCTTCACAAGGACTTTGCATCTGTAATTATGCCCCTTCTCTACTTACTTATCAGTTTCTTCATCTCTACTGAGCCAACCCAATTGTCATTGAAATATGCCTTATTATCACTCATCTTAAAAACATAACAAATAAACAAACCCTAAAACCTCCATTTCTCTATTCTCCTTCAATGGTAACAATCCTCCAAATACTTGTCTATACTCACTAACTCAACTGCTTAGTCTTGAAAAATCTCTTATCAGAGACACCAATGACTTATACGTTACCCAAGCCAATGGTGAAATCTATGTTCTAATTTTATTGACCCATCAGCAGCATTTGGCATGGATAACAATGCTCTTCTTGAAGTATTATCTGGTTTTCCTTCTATCTAACTAGACACTTTCTCTGTTTCTTTTGCTGGTTCTTCCTCCTCTATAAGATTTTCAAATTTAAAATGCCCCAGGATTCTTTCCTTACTCCTTTTTTCTTTTTACACACTCTCCCAAAGTTATCTCATCCAGTACCATGAATTCAAATGCCATCTATACCCATATCATCTATTTGAAATGACTCTCAAATCTATAGCTCCAGTCTGGATTACCTTTCTGAACTTCAGAATAATGTAATATATCCAGTTCACTACTTTACATTGCCACTTGGAATGTATAATAGACTTCTCAACCTTAACAGAGTCCAAATAAGAGTACAGTTTCACTTCTAAATCTCATCCCTGACAGGTTTTCTCCATTTGAGTAAATAGTCCTTGAGGACAATAATGAAGAATACTTGACTCTCTCTTTCCTTCAGGTCTCATCATCAGTAAGTCTTCTTATATGTCTAAAACTCTATTTCTGAAACTATTTACCGTGTTTAAATGTCTAAAATCCATCTCCACTGGATTTGAAAACCTTAGTCCAAGTCACTATCATCTCTTACCTGGATTATTGCAGTATTCACTTAGTTTGTCTCCCTGTTTCTATTTCTTTCCTCCTACAACCTGTCCTCTTCACAGCACCTAGAAGGATCTTTTATACTAAAAACATCAATCTAATAAATGGTACTTCCCATCTTAAAGCCCCCCAGTGTCTCCCCGTGAAACTTCAAATAAAATCCAAACTCCTTATCAAGGATTACAAGGTACTGTATGATGTAGCTTCTTCCTATTTCTCTCTTCTCAGCTTCTTCTACTTTCTCCCTCATTCTGCCCCAGTCAGACTGATTCTTCTTACACACAAAAAAAAATATTTCTGTTTCTGGGACTTTGACATAAAGTTCTGCTTGGATGACTTTTCTCTCAAATCTTTGCATGGCTGCATCTTTCTCATCATTTTGAATTCTCAATTCAAATGCCATTTCCCCAGAAAGGCTTTCCCCAACAACCCGAGCTAAACTGGTACCCTGCTCACCTTCCATCAGAGTAAATTAGTTCTTCTTATTATTTATCAGAACTAGAAATCTTATCATTTATTTGCATTTTATTATCTGTCTTCCCCAGTGGAATTTAAGTTCCTTGAAGACACAGACCAAGTTCATCTTGGATCCTTAACATGGGATCCTTAGAAAGTATCTGTGCATAATAGGCACCTAATGCGTATTTGATAGTAGGCTCCACTATAATACTAATATTCTATAGATGGAGAGTCAAATACATAGTGAATATGGGGAATGGTTACATGAGGTCACTAAAAGTGAAATGGGAAACCAGTAAGGCCCTTATCCCAACTGCAAAGTAGTCTTCATTGCAAAAAGCCATTATCAGATACATAAATAGAAACAGATAGGTAGATGATAGATAGATGATAGATAGATAGATAGATAGATAGATAGATAGATAGATAGATAGACAGACAGAGAGACAGACAGACATAAAATTCTGCAGCTTGAATTTTCAAGGCCAATCTGATAACTTTTCTTTTTTCATTTTCTTTTTTATTTTTGTATTTCAGTAGGTTTTTGGGGAACAGGTGGTGGTTGGTTACATGAATAAATTATTTAGTGGTGATTGCTGAGATTGTGGTGCTCCCATCAGCCAAGCAGTGTACACTGTACCCAATGTGTAGTCTTTTATTCCTCCCCACCTCCCACCCTTTCCCCTGTTGCATCCTCATAGCTTAGCTCCCACATGTGAGTGAGAATATGCAATGTTTGGTTTTCCATTCCTGAGTACTTCATTTAGAATAATTGCCTCCAATTCCATCCAGGTTGCTGCAAATGCGATTATTTCATTGTATTTTATGGCTGAGAAGTATTCTATTCTCTCTCTCTCTCTCTCTCCATATATATATATATAAAATGAAATGAAAATGAAGAAAATTATATATATATAATAAATATATATATATATTTTTCTTCATTTTCTTTATCCCCTCATTGATTGATGGGCATTTGGGCTGGTTCCATATTTTTTGCAATTGCAAATTGTGCTGCTATAAACATGCTTGTACAAGTATCTTTTTTGTATAATGACTTCTTTTTCTCTGGGTAGATACCTAGTGGTGGGATTGCTGGATCAAACGGTAGATCTACTTTTAGTTCTTTAAGGAATCTCTACCCTGTTTTCCATAGTGGTTGTTCTAGTTTGCATTCCCATCAACAGTGTAAAAGTGCTCCTTTTCACCACATCCCTGACAACATCTATTATTATTATTTTTATTTTTAGATTATGGCCTTTGTTGCAGAAGTGAGATGGTATCACATTGTGGTTTTGATTTGCATTTCCCTGATAATTAGTGATGTTGAGAATTTTTCCATATGCTTGTTGGCTATTTGTATATCTTCTTCTAAGAATCATCTATTCATATCCTTAGCCCACTTTTTGATGGGATTGTTTGTTTTTTTCTTGCTGATATGTTTGAGTTCTTTGTAGGTTTTGGATGTTAGTCCTTTGTCGGATGTATAGGTCGTGAATATTTTCTCCCACTCTATGGGTTGTCTGTTAACTCTGCTGATTATATCTTTTGCTGTGCAGAAGCTTTCTAGTTGACTTAAATCTTATCTATTTACCTTTGTTTTTGTTGCATTTGCTTTTGGGTTATTGGTCATGAAGTCTTTAACTAAGCCAATGTCTAGAAGGGTTTTTCCGATCCTATCTTCTAGAATTTTTATGGTTTCAGATCTTAGATTTAAGTCTTTGATCCATCTTGAGTTGATTTTTGTATAGGGTGAAAGATGAGGATTCAGTTTCATTCTTCTACAAGTGGCTTGCCAATTATCCCAGCACCATTTGTTGAATAGGGTGTCCTTTTCCCACTTTATGTTTTTCTTTGCTTTGTCAAAAATCTCCCTTTGCCTTTGTTTCTGGGTTCTCTATTCCGTTCCATTGGTCTCTGTGCTTAGTTTTATACCAGTGCCATGCTGTTTTGGTGACTATGGCCTTATAGTATAGTTTGAAGTCGGTTAATGTGATGCCTCCAGATTTGTTCTTTTTGCTTAGTCCTGCTTTGGCTATGTGGGCTCTTTTTTGGTTCCATATGAATTTTAAGATTGTTTTTTTCTAGTTCTGTGAAGAATGATAGTGGTATTTTGATGAGAATTGCATTGAATTTGCAGATTGCTTTTGGCAATGCAGATTGCTTTTGGCAATATGGTCATTTTCACACTACTGATTCTACCCATCCGTGAGCATGGGATGTGTTTCCATTTGTTTTTGTCATCTACGATTTCTTTCAGCAGTGTTTTGTAGTTTTCCTTGTAGAGATCTTTCACATGCTTTGTTAGGTATATTCCTAAGTATTTTATTTTATTTTTTGCAGCTATTGTGAAAGGAATTGAGTTCTTGATTTGATTCTCAGCTTGGTTGCTGTTGGTGTATAGCAGAGCTACTAATTTATGCACATTAATTTGTATCCTGAAACTTTGCTGAATTTATTTACCAGTTCTATGAGCTTTTTGGATCAGTCTTTAGGGTTATCTAGGTATACAATCATATCATCAGCAAACAGTGACAGTTTGACTTCCTCTTCACCAGTTTGGCTGCCTTGTTTTCTTTCCCTTGTCTGATTGCTCTGGCTGGGGTTTCCAGCATTATGTTGTGTAGAAGTGGTGAAAGTGGGCATCTTTGTCTTGTTCTAGTTCTAGTTCTCAGGAGGAATGCTTTCAACTTTTCCTTGTTCCGTATAATGTTGGCTGTGGGTCTGTCATAGATGGCTTTTATTACCTTAAGGTTTGTCTCTTCTATGTTGATTTTGATGAGAGTTTTAATTATAAAGGGATGCTGAATTTTGTCAAATGCTTTTTCTGTGTCTATTGAGATGATCTTGTGATTTTTGTTTTTAATTCTGTTTATGTGGTGTATCACATTTATTGACTTACATATATTACACCATCCCTGCATGTCTGGTATGAAACCCACTTGATCATGGTGAACTATCTCTTTGATATGCTGTTGGATTGGTTAGCTAGTATTTTGTTGAGGATTTTGCATCTATATTCAGCAGGGATATTGGTCTATATAGTTGTCTTTTTTTGTTATGTCCTTTCCTGGTTTTGGTATTAGGGTGATACTTGCTTTATACAATGATTTAGGGAGAATTCCCTCTTTCTCTATCTTTTGGAATAGTGTCAATAAGATTGGTATCAATTCTTTTTTGAATGTCTGATAGAATTCAGCTGTGAATCCGTCTGGTCCTGAACTTTTTTTTGTTGGCAATTTTTAAATTACCTTTTCAAACTCGCTGCTTGTTATTGTTCTGTTCAGAGATTCTATATCTTCCTGGTTAAATCTAGGAGGGTTTTATATTTCCAAGAGTTTATCCATCTCCTCTAGGTCTTCTGGTTTATGCAAATAAAGGTGTTCATAGTAGCCTTGAATAATCTTTTGTATTTCTGTCGTATCAATTGTAGTATCTCCAATTACATTTCTCATTGAACTTATTTGGATCTTCTCTCTTTTTTTCTTGATTAATCTCACTAATGGTCTTTCAATTTTATTTACCTTTTCAAAGAATCAGCTTTTTGTTTGATTATTTTTATTGTTTTCTTTCAATTTCATTTAACTCTGCTCTGATATTCGTTATTTATTTTCTTCTGCTGGATTTTGGTTTGGATTGTTCTTGTTTCTCCAGTTGTGGGAGGTGTGACTGTAGATTGTCTATTTGTGCTCTTTCGGACTTTTCAATGTAGGCATTTAATGCTATGAACGTTCATCTTAGTACCCCTTTTGTTGTATCCCAGAAGTTTTGATGGCTTGTGTCATTATTATTGTTCAGTTCAAATAATTTTTAATTTCCATCTTGATTTTATTGTTGACCCAATGATCATTCAGCAGCAGGTTATTTAATTTCTATGTATTTGCATGGTTTCGTGGGTTCCTTTTGGAGCTGACTTCCAATTTTATTCCACTACTGTCTGAGAGAGTAATTGATATAATTTCAATTTTCTTAAATTTACTGAGACTTGTTTTGTGGCCTATCATCTGATCTATCTTGGAGAATATTTCATGTGCTGATAAATTGAATTCTGCAATTGTTGGGTAGATTGCTATATAAATATCTGTTAAGTCCATTTGTTTTATGGTATAGTTTAAGTCCATTGTTTCTTTGTTGACTTTCTGTCTTGGTGACCTGTCTAATGTTATCAGTGGAGTATTAACAACCCCCACTATTATTGTGCTGCCATCTATTTCATTTCACTTCTTATGTCTAGTAGTAATTGTTTCATAAATTTGGGAGCACCAGTGTTAGATGCATATATATTTAGTATTCTGATATTTTTCTGTTGGACTTGTCCTTTTATCATTATATAATGTCCCTCTTTGTCTTTTTTACCTGCTGTTGCTTTAAAGTCTTTTTTGTCTAATGTAAGAAGAGCTATTCCTGCTCACTTTTGGTGTCCATTTGCATGGAATATCTTTTTCACTCCTTTACTTTAAGTTTATGTGAGTCCTTATATGTTCAGTCCAAATAAGTTCAATGAGTCGCCTGAAGACAGCAGAAACTTGGTTGGTTAATTCTTAATCCATTCTGCCATTCTGTATTTTTTAAGTGGAGCAATTAGGCCATTTATATTCAATGTTAGTACTGAGATGGGAAGTACTATTCTATTCATCATGATATTTGTTGCCTGAATACCTTGTATTTTTGCATTGTATTATTATGATATAGTTCCTGTGAGATTTATGCTTTAAGGAGGTTCTATTTTGGTGTATTTTGTGGATTTGTTTCACTATTTAGAGCTCCTTTTAGCAGTTCTTGTAGTGCTGGATTGGTAGTGGCAAATGCTCTCAGCAAGTGTTTATCTGGAAAAGATTATCTTTTCTTCATTTATGAAGCTTAGTTTCACTGGATACACAATTCTTGGCTGATAATTGTTTTGTTTAAGAGGCTAAAACAGATAGGAGGCAAGACTAGTTTGCAGCTCCCTCTCAGATGGACAGAGCAGTGTGTGGAGACTCACATTGTGAACTTTGGCTCCAAGAACTACCACAGGAACATACCGGGAAAGCCAAGAGCATCCACAGACCCTTTGAAGGAACTGAATAACTCCTACAGGCTTCCTGAGATGCTGAAAAACTGTGATTCTGTTTGCTTTCTCAATGAGGAGGCTTGTGGTCTGGGGCAAGTTCTCAGCTCTGGTCACCAGCTGTCTGGAAATAGACTTGGTGCTGTTGGGGGACGCACAGTGGGAGTGAGACCAGCCTTTAGGATTGCATGCTGCGTGGAAGTAGGGTGAAGCCTGAGACTGCCAGCTTTCTCCGGCTTCCCTGGCAACCTGTATGATTCAACAGAGACACCAAAAATCCCCTGGGAATATAACTCCATCTGACTGGGAACCACACCCCCACCCCTCTCAAAAGCAACAGCAAGCCCCGCCCAAGGAGAGGCTGAGCTCAGACATGCCTATCCCTGCCCTCACCTGGTAGTCTTTGTCTACCCGCCCTGATAGCTGAAGACAAAGGTCATAATCTCTTCGGAGCTCCATGGCCTTGCCCACCACCTGAGAAACTGGAATACTTAAACAGGTGTCCCTAGGGCAAGTTTGCATCCTCCCTATAGGACCGCAGCTGATGCATTCTTGAAAAAGTCACCTCCTAGCTGGGGGCCAACCAACACGAAACCAGCACACTAAACAAAAACACAACCAAGGACCCTCTCAGAGTCCACTCCACTCCCCTGCTACCTACACTGGAGCGGATGCTGGTATCCAAGGCTGCGAGACGTGAAGATGGATCACGTCACAGGACTCTTTGCAGACATTCCCCAGTAGGATCCCAGAGCCTGGTAGCTCTGCTGGGTAGCTAGACCCAGAAGAGCAAAAACAATCACTATAGTTTGGCTCCCAATCTGATAACTTACCTACTTTCAAAGTGAATTCGTATCCTTGGAAGTAAGAAATTGTTGGCAGACGACTAAGAATTTAAGTTTGCCTAAGTTCTTAATTTGGATAAAGTAGATGTTTATATGGCAAAGAGCATTGCCAAAATAAAATAAAATAAGATGAAATACACAACGAACTGCTTCTTTTATAACCACAGTCTGGTATTTTTGGCTTTACACATACTCAAAGCGAAAATTGTTATAAGTTGAATTATGTAGGTATGTGATCTTTAAAGTAAATGCTCTTTTGTTACTTCTATATATTTTTTCTAATTATGCTGTGTACTATTCCTAGGTCTGCCGTAACAAAGTATCACAAACTAGGTGGCTTAAAACAATAGAAATTTATTCTGTCACAATTCAGGAGGCCAGAAATCTAAAATCAAGGTTTCAGCAGGATTGGTTCCTTCTGGAAGCTCTGAGAGAGAAACTGTCCCATGACTCTCTCCTAGTATCTGGGGGTTGATGGCAATTGTTGGCATTCCTTGGCTTATAGCTCCATCACTCCAATCTGTTTTTCTGTCTTCACATGGCCTTCTTCCCTGTGCGTATTTCTGTCTTCAAATATCTGTCACCTTACAAGGACACCAGTCATTGGATTTAGGTCCCACTATAATCCAGCATGACCTCATTTTAACTTGATTACATCTGCAAAAATCCTATTTTCTAATAAGATGACTGAACAGGCACTGAGGGCTAGGACTTCAGTATTTCTATGGCAGGATGCAATTGAACCCACAATTCATTCAGATCTGTCACAGTAGCTTGTGGTCCACATTGATATTATGCATATAGTACTTCGAGCTTCAGGTTTAACAAAGAATGAGTCTGCATTTTATAAGTCTGAACTTTTTTTTTCTTTAACATATATATTTTGAGCATCCAGATAATGCATGTCAAATATTAAAAATCTCAAAATTCTTATTTCTAATGGAAGCATGCTATTTTAGTTTTTTGTTGTTGGTTGTTTGTTTGTTTTGGCTTTTGGCCTTGTCTTTCAAAAAGAGACAACCATCTGCCTAACTTAGTTAAAAAAATACCTTGGCAAATAATGAGTACTACAGACATGGAATATGAGATTTGAGGGGGAAATTCATTTTAATTAAATTACTGCCTCTAATGATTGACAGAAGTAAATGCCACTGATTGGCGCCATTTTGAATCTTGCCAAGTACTGAGGCAATCTTTAGGGTATTCTCCTCTTCTAATAAAATAAAGTTAGCACCATCATTTAAAAAGAGTCTGGAAGGCATATATTGAGTTGTCACTCTATTACCGGGACTAATTCTGAGCCAATATCTTTCTGTTCTTATTTTAAGATAATCATTAGGTCATGTGAATAGAAGTATAATTCATTGTTTTCTCCTTTCTTTCTCATTTACAGAACACCTAGTGTTCTGTAGTAGACTAGTGAATTTAGATACCTATAGCTAAGATTCTTCAATGGCCACAAGCAGATAATAGTAACGGCACTAGGCTACTCTGTGTAATGCCTTTGAATCATATAAAGAAAGGTGACTTTATAAAATTGCTTATTATGTGGGCTGTGAGTTGAGAATATATGGTTACAATCCATTTAATGAAGTTCTCCTAAAAACCAAAAGCCCGTAAAAACTGAAACATAAAAATTCCTTTCTGCTAAATCAAATGCTTTTTCACCATTCCAGTGTTATAAGTACCATTTCCCTCCTAACTCTCCGAGAAAAGCAAATCCATTTATGCTATTCATAACACTTATGAGCAAGCTGTGGTTTTTAATAAAACACAAGTCATTTGTGCATATAATAAGCAGATGTAAACTTCTTTGCACTCCTAGAATAGAGTTGTTTGCATTTATGAATGGCCCCAATCAGGTAGGAAAACCTATAATTGGCTCTTTATCAATCCTAATCAGAAAATGTCTTGTTTCATTCATTAGTTGAGGTCTGAGTTTTAAGATCTGAATAATAATGGGTTGCAACTTAAATTTTCTAATTCCCTTTCACTCAAACTTTCAGATGCAGAGGCATATATAACAAAATTTCCTAGTTAGCTAGTTTGAAATTTCTTTTGGAAATCACAGAATATCAGAGCTGAAGGAGACTTTGTCAACAGTTAGTCAATGGTAGAGCTAGAATAAGACCCTGTGTCCCTTGATTCCCATTTTCGTCTTTTCTCTACTACCTAACACTACCTCTCCATCTGCCCAATGATTTACTTGCAGCATCAAAGTGTCAAAAATATAATTTTATTCAGTTGGCTGCTATAGATATTTTAAATCTCCAATTAAACAAAAAGACCTAAATGACATCATTTCTAAAATAATCACTCACTGCAAATCCTTTATCAAACGTAATTCAGTCTTTTGAACTGATATTTTAAGAAACATTCTCTTTATAACTATACCTTTGATCAATCTTTCATTCTGACTAATCAGCATCTCCCTGGGATGCTTCCCAGAAAGTAGGTATGATGTTTTCCAAGTCTTCTAATTGAATAGAAAGACTTGTCTCTATTTTGATATGTGGGTTTAGTTGTGGTATGCTTACAATAAGCGGCTTTTAAGATTGATTAAAGCCCTTTGCTTCAATTCAATTATTAATTAATCTCAGCAGCCATTTATTGCTTTATATGCCACAGAAAAATAGAGATCATCCTTTAATTATTGATTCGTCTGATAGTAGTGCACCAGCTGTACTACCTTTACATGTCAACATTTCTGTTAAGTATATTTTCAGTTTGCTCTGCTTTCCTTGTCAAAAGGAAAGACATTTTCAAACCATCTGTTAAATCACCAACCTCTTCTACAGATTATTCTGAGCAAAATTATCTGGCAGGAAGTCATTCAGTTTCTTGCAGGTAAGAAGACTTCTCTCTGAGGGCTTAAAATGGCCCTGAGCTTCTGAATTACTTGACTTTTGTTTTTACTTTCTCTTAAGAGCAATAGGTCAGAAATAGCTTAATCAGTATGCACTTCTGAATGTATAAATTTTTATATGTAATATGGGGAAATTTTTCTTACAGTGAATATTGCAGTTCTCTTAGTGTTTAATTCTGTCAATATATGAAAAATATTTTCTGTGTATTTTCAGGCATTTAAACTAAAAATATAAATTTGAGTATTGTCTCCATTATAAATGGAGAAGGATGCTACAGCAGAGTTCTTTGTTTCATCAGCATTGGCCGTGATTACCAATAAGCAATTTGCAATTTGATCAGTTGGTTCTCTTACTGATAAGTCCACCTTAAATAACTAAGAATTTCTTCCAAAACTTTTATAGAAATAGTGTCTGTGTTACATTACTTGCTGGTTTGGCTGCTGTAACTCAGAGACCTCAAATAATAGCTGCTTAAACTAGAGAGATTTATTTTTCTTTCACATCAAAATCTGGGTAGGCAGCTTCAAAATCAGCAAGGATATTGGTTCATTGTAACATATTGCTTTGATGTTATCAATACACAGTTACTATCTCCTCAACCAAGAGAGCTATATAACTCCTGCCATCATATTTATGTTCCAACCTGAGGGGCGGATGTAAAGACACAAGGGATGGAATGCCTCTTCCTTTTAAATGAAGGAGCCAGACATTGAGTACATCACTTCTGTTCACATTCTGTTGGCCAAAATGTAATCACATGGATAGCCTTACATACCTTCAGGGAGCCTGAGAAATGTAATTCTGGGCTTTTGTTGGGTATATGTCTGGCTATATACCCAGCAAAAATTCTATCCCTATATATGAAAGGGAGAATAAATGTGGGAGGACAATTAGCAGTCTCCACCCTAGCCAAAGAAATAAGAATTAAGAGTAAGCCAATAATTCCTTTCATTTATATAGCCCTTTTTTTCTGAGAGCTTTCAATTATCTTACTATATCCTCACTTCAGTCAATTCTTAATTATCTACAATAAAACCTGGGAGGAGGAGAGAATCACAAATAATCAAATGTGGCAGATAATATAAACATAATTAATATTTTATTTTGATTTGAATGCTCTGGTTCTTTGATGCCTAACAATCAAGATGAGCAATATTGAATTATCATTAGGCCCCACATATGCAAGAACATTTCACAACTACAGATACCCTCATGCTGCTTTTTTTGCCTGCGATGGCCTTTTCTTGCTTGCCTGCCAAACGCCCGCCCAACTTTCAAGATTCATCTTAAGTGTTATCTCTCCGTGTTCTCTCAGAAAAAAACTCTCTCCCACTAACCAAGGTAGAATTAATTACATCATCTTTTGTCTTACCATTCCACCTTGAATAAACCATAATTTATTGTTTATTGGTTTATGTGTCTGTCTCCCCCAGCTCCCAGCACAGAGCCTTTCATATCACAAGCACTCAGTAATATCTATCAATGTAAACACTTTTAATAAAACAATAATTTACACTATTAAAAATGCCATTTGAACACATCTGAAAAGCATGGGATAGAAAGTATCACCCATCTTATACACAACATTTCACACAGAAAAGGGATTACCTGATAAAATGCAGACTATGTATGAAAGATTCTAATCAAAAACAAATGAACAAACATGTTTCATGTGAAAACTGGTGCAGATTACCTCAGTAGAGCCCATTTCAAGTATATGTAAAAGATGTAGCAATACCAGTAATGTTATAGTCCAAATAAGGTTAAAGATATGGACGCTTGTTGTCACCATTAGAAATGAATATTTGTATAGGTACTCTGACTAATTCAATAATATATGAAATAGAAATGTGAGTCATAACTCATGTTTACCCAACAAAAATTCTACATGCGTAGAGTCATAACTCATGCTTCTATTTCATATATAGAATAAAGAAGACAGAATTATCACTACTTGTAGATTATGATGTGCCTAAAACTACAAATGCATGGTTTTATAAATCATTAAAAATAACACAAGTTCAATAAAATGGTAAGTAAAAGCAAAATATAAAAATATACAAAATAAATGTAATTCCTTGATATTAGAAATAATTCATAAGAGAAAAAGGAAAAGGTGACATTCCCAAAGCAGCCAAAAGTATAAGCTATCTAGGAACAATTCTAACATGAAATATAGGATATTTTACAATAAAAATTTCAATGAATTTTTAAAGAAAAACTTAACAAAATGATTCCAAAAATTATTCAGGAAAAAATGAACAAATAAAACACATAAACCTAAAAATCAAATGGGAGACAGTATAATAAATCTCAGCAAATATTAAAACAAATCAAAATGTTTTAATATTCAAAACAAATGTCAATGACTCAAGCATCAACAGATAGTTGATGGAACAGATCTTGTGCATGTAAGTAAAGAATCACAAATTGATGTGGAATGATAAATTTATTATAAACAGTATGAAGATAATGGGCTACATAGGAAAAAAGTCAAATTAGAGCTTTCCCTCATACCTTACCACATATTTGAATTCAGACAAATTAAGGAGTTGCATTTAAACTTGTATATGGCAAAAGGCTCCTTAACCAAAGTCAACAGATGGCTTAAACACTAGAAAAAATACAATTGAAATATTTAAGAAAAAAGTTAATATCCTTGCTGCTGTGGTCTAAATTGTGTCCCTTCTACAAAATACATATGCTGAAGCTCTAACCCCTAATGTGACTGCATTTGGAGATAGGGCCTTTAGGAAGTAATTAAGGTTAAATGAGATCATAAGTGTGAAATCCTAATCAAATAGTCTTGGTGGCTTTAAAAGAAGAAGAAGAAAATTGTGTATCTCTATCATGTGAGGACTCAGAGAGAAGGTGGCCTCCTGCAAACGAAGAGAGCCCTCACCAGAACCTGACCACCTTCACGCTCTGATCTCGGACTTCTAGCTTCCAGAACTGTGAGAAAATACATTTCTGTTGTTTAAGCCACCTAGTCTATGATATTTTGTTATGGCAGCCCAAGCTGATTAATACTTGCTAAATAAATAACTCAAAATATGGAGAAAAAGACAACTATCCCAAGAAAAATATAGGAAAACATATAGCTGTTACGTGCTGAATTTTGTTCCTCAAAATTCATATGTTGAAGTCCTAACTCCATGTACCTCAGAATGTGACTATATTTGGAGATAGAACCTTTAAAGAGGTAACAAAGGCAAAGTGAGGTCATATGTGTGAGCCCTAATCCAATATGACTAGTATCCTTACAAAAAGAAGAGATTAGGATGCAAACATGCACAGAGGAAAAAACATGTAGAAACACAGAAAGGGAAGACCATCTACAAGCCAAGGAGAGAGGACTCAGAACAAATCAATCTTGCCAACACCTTGATTTCACACTTCCAGCCTCCAGAACTCTGAGAAAATAAATTTCTGTTGTTTAAGCCACCCAGTCTGTGGATTTTGTTATGGCAGCCCTAGCTAATACAAGTCAAGTAATTTAGCAAAAAAATAGAAGGAAAGAAAGGAACAAACAGGTAAAGATCCTTAATCTTATCAGCAATCAGAGAAATGCCTCAGGAAAGTGAATTAGGTTGAAATACTTGATAAATATACAACAATGTTTATTAAAAGATAGTTACGGCCATGTTGTTCATAATAACAACAAATAATAGAAACAATCTAAATTAATAATACAAAATTATTTTAATAATTTATGAACTTCAGACTTGCATATATAACTGCCTACTCTAAATTTACAATTAATTCTAAGTGGCATCTCCAAATTAACCCATCTAAAACCAAATTAAAAAAAATAAATTTAAAAAATGTTATGGTAGTAAGAACACTTAACATGAGATCTATCCTCTGAACACATTTTTAGGTGTACAATACAGTAATAGTAACTATAGACACAATATTGTTTAGCCAAAACCAAATTTTTGAGTTCCACTCTCAAAATAAAAACCTGTTACTTCCAGTTTAATTATCTCATCTATTCTTCCATAAATTCAGGCTCTCTCACACAATACATCAAATCCATCAACAAATTCTTCTAGAACTACCTTCAAAATACATCCAGAATCCAAACACTTATCATCCCTACCACTACAACTTTAATTCAAACCACAAATGCCTGTTGCCAGGATTATTTTGAAATCTTCCTAACCTGTCTCTCTGTTTTTGCCCTTACCACCTTACAGTCTATTCTAAGCACAGCAGCCAGATTGAGCCTTTTAAAATGTTAGCTCAGATAATGTCACTTCTCTACTTAGAAGTCTCCAATGTCTTCCCATCTCATACAGAATAAAACCCAACATCCATTCCATGGCTTTATTGGTGGCTCAAAGTCTGGCCCCTACTACTTCCTTAACTTAATCTACTATTTTCCTCCTCACTCACAGCACTCCTACAACACAGGTCAGTTCTTTCATATTTCTGATTAAATCTTGCCCCTGATCCCATAAAGTAGAAGTTGTTGGTACCCTGCTTAGATCCCCCTTCCTGCGTGGCAGAACTATTCTCCTACCTGTTGTGAGTATTGAATCTTTAAGAGTTCACAGTTTCATCCTTCTGAGAGCTGGCCTCAACAGCAAGGAGTAACCTCTCCTGGAAATGCCTGAGAGTTTACATCCTCCCCCTGCCTGCAACAAATGACTAACCAATATAGGAGTACAAAATGCCATACCCTTGCCTTAAGGTGGGATAACTCTGTGGTGTCATTCATGTTCCAGGGCCTTCTACTTGGAACAGGCTAAACTTCAGTTGAAACCACATCTTTGGCTGATATATTCCTCTGCCTTAACCTAATTTTTCTCACTCCCTTAAAGGATTCACCTGAAGGTAACTCCCTCAATAAATCAATTTTTCAAAAATGCTATCTCAGGCTTGCTTCCACGAAATAAGAAGTAATTTAGTTGGTATCACGAGAGTTTCTAGGAAAGAGTCTCAATGTCTGAAGGGCCAATAGTAACCCATTAGTGGTGTTACATGGAGTATTGACAGTGCTTAGAATATAGGGATGTGCTAGCTTTTGTAATGTCTCTGGTGTCTACAAAATACAGGGATCTTAGTGAATACCTGGATTGTACTTTCTGGATGGCTGTTGCTAAGCACCACTGATGCTTTGAAAAAAAAAAAAAAAGAAAATCACAAGCTCAGAGCACTTAATTATCAATTTAAAGCAATATGTAAGTGTCACAGGGCATCCTTAGAAGCATCTTAAAAAGGACTTCATTTCCCACAGCTGGAGTGCAAACTGACACAGAACTTGACTCAAAAAGACTGAATATCAGAGGTGGTTGAATTCTCAGCCTAGGAAAGTTTCCTATGCCAAAGTCGGCCCAGATAGAGAAGGAGTAGAGCCCTGAAACTTAGAATAAGAATATCTGGGTAGATTCACTCAAGATATTTGAACCCTCAGATTCCCCTTAGTCCTCTGGGCTTAAAAAATTATCCAACTCTCCCTTGTGTTAGGAGAGAGAAGGCCTTCTTTTGAAGACTATACACAATGCTCAAATGAGGTATATGTCTTACAAGACAATGTTGTCCCTCTTCAGGATCTGCCCCTACATCCCTCTTGGACTCCAGACCAATAACTAGATTCAGAGCTCAGCCTGATCCTTCTGGGGCAGTGATAAGTCTGCTAAGGGAGTAGATGAATTACACACCACAGAAGCTGAAATACCTGGCTAATACATGCTGTAAGACACTGGGAAATTGTACCTGGAAATAGAACTCGAGGGTGTTGCATCAAAGGAGACAGAAAATAAAGGTGGATAAAGGAGAGTTTATTAATATTACGACACTTTTCTACAGCAAAGGCTTTGCTTAGTGGTTCTGATGCATGGCTGGATTACCTCTTGGAAGCTTGGTAAAAGTGATGACTCACATTCAATGAAGCAAAGATGTCAACATTGCAATGTACCTGAGGGAGGCAACATGCCAGAATGGATCTATCATAAGAGAACAGATAATCTAGCAGCTGACCTTGTTCCTTGGGAGAGATGGAAAACTATGATGTCATTCATACCCAAGAGCTTTTCCTAGGAATAGGCTAAGGCTAGATTTCAGGTAGAACTACATCTTTGCCTAGCTTCTTCTTCTGCCCTATCTTGCTTCTCACACTCTTCCAGGTTTCACCTGAAGACACAGTCTCAAACTACTTGTCCAAGAATCCTCATCTCAGGGTTTGCTCGAAAGAAATCCAAATGAATATATCACCCTAATCAGAATTAATTTTCATCATCTCTCACCACTTACCCTACTTTTCTTTTTTCATATTTATCACTACCTTATATGTTATATATTTGCTTGTTCTTTGTCTCTCCACCCCTGTAGAATATAATATCCATGAGAGTAGGCATTTTTGTTTTATTTACTGCTATATCCCCAACACCAACTATGATACCTGGCATACAGTAGATATTCAATAAGTAATTTTGAATAAGTTAATGAATGGCAAAACAAATAATAAAACTATATGTAAACTATAATCCCATTTTCCTATTTTATATTTTTAAATGTGTGTACAGTTAAAAATGTCAAAGGAAGCATGTGAACATTTAATAACTTCAGTAACTGACAAAGTAAAGGCAAACATGTTCAGTAGGACTTATAAGAATCTTCTTAACCTAAGCCCTATCTATATTTTCATCCTTCTCTCTCATTGGCCTCACCTTCAGCTGTTAAACTTTAGCCATTGTGGTGTTTTTTAAGTTCTCTGAAAATTGTAAGCTTTCCCTTTCCCCAGGCATTGGCTTGCATCATCGTTTCTGCCTTGGAACAGTCTTCCCTTAATCTTCACATTGCTAACTAATTCTCATCCATCGTTTCTCAGATTAATGATAACTTTGTCATGGAAACCTAGGTTATATGTTCTTGCTATGGACACACCCTATAACACTGAATTTACCCCTATGCTTTCCTGCTGGATTGTGTATTCAGCAAGAGCAGGGACCTGCTCACCACTGTGGCTCTAGCACCTGGTGCCTGCCACACAGATGTTTAATATTTGTTGAACAAGCACAATGGTAAGAATGAAGTTCATTTTTACTTTCTCTTTCATATTTTCTGAGTTTGTCACAGTAAACTAGCCTCAATGTTTTATATTTTAAATAGCTCTTTGTATTTTGAAAAAAAAAAAACTTAAATATGTATCCTGAAACCCTAGGCTAGTTAGAAGAAAATATAGGTTGATATTAACTTATGTCAGAATAGAACATTTTTGAAACATAAAAGCAAGAGGAGAAACCATAAAACAAATGATCTGTAGGTTGAACATCTAGCTTTTAAAATTTCTGTACATTAACATATAAAGGGAAATACATATGCAACAAATTTCTATCTGTCAAAGTCACAAGATTTCTAAACAAAGCATTCACTTTTAGTGGGGGTAGGCTGAGAGGAGGCTCATATATACTTGCTCACAGCCTTAAAGAAGTCTATAACTGTAGTAAATAATTTCAAAATTGTTAATCTATCCTAAATAAATAATCAGTGATAAGGTCAAGGATTTATCCACAAGCTCTAAAGGGAGATTTTTCTATGATAGTTAAACATTGTAAGCAACATAAATACCCAAATTTGGCATATTAGCTTAAAAAGTATTCAATCATAATGTGACATATCCTTCAGCCATTAGCCAATTTTAAAGAGAATAGAATAACTTAAAATACAGCATATTGTTTAGTGAACAAATAAAAACAATATACAGAATGAGGCAAGATTTTTTATTGGAGAGAGAGGAAGAGAGACAGAGAGATAGAGACAGAAGTCTTTAATATACTACAATGTTAAAACAGTTCTGAGTATTGTGATTAAGGACAAATTTTACTTTTCTATATTTTCTATTTTTATACTATGACTTACATCTATAATTATAAAAAAAAAGCTAAAAATATTTGAAGGAGAAAATTTGATACCATGGAAGAAATGCCAATAACAATGGAAAAATTTGTGTGTGTGCGTGTGTGTGCATGTGTGTTTAAAGAGAGATAAAGAAGGAGGAAAGTGACATAGAGAAAAGACTGAAAACTGGTACACTAAAATGTCAGTAACTCCTCCTGGTTGTTGAGAATATGTGTGAATTTTAAAAGTTCATTTGGTTATTAATTCAACAAATATCATTAATATTTTTATAGTCACTGTGATACCGTGATGGGCAATGGGAATTCAGTGGTGATCAATATGGTAAAAGGCCTCGACTTTCATGGACCTTACAGTCTACGGCTAAGAAAGGACTCAGCAGGAGGAGTGAGCTTTTAAGGAACCGGTGTCTTCATTTGGCAGAATATGAATGACAAACTGGGGAGTTGCGTCAGGGTTATCACTTCCTCCTGGTCTTTCAGGTTTTGCTTTTCCTCACCTAATATCCAAATATGTTATGTGCATTATATAGATAAATAGATAGATACACACACATATGTGTGTCTCTCTATATATGAGTAGGTGTATATCTAGTTTTTCTCCCAGTGTCCAACTTTTAAAAGGCAAATACTCCTGGGAAGACCATCATTTGACCCCTTTGACACTAAATGGAAAAAGGAAAATAAAATAAGAACATCTTTTCTGAGCTAAACAAAGGGAACAGGTGTGGTCATTGGTACTGAAGAATAAAGTTTTTCTACCTCAACATTGCTCAATTTCAGGTCAGTATCTGCAGATAATCAACAATGTATTAAATTGGAGTTTTATCATTGGCAGTATAAGAATTTATTCTGAAAATAGAGCTTAAAATGTGAGAAATTTGGAGTTGCATCCAATAGGGAAAAATATCTAACTTTTAATTGAGGTTTAATGGAACAAAATAATCAAAACTAAAAATGCTTCAATAAAAGAAGACAGCTCATAAATGGGTCATTGCTGCAATGACCACTTTTAATTTCACCCTCCTTCCAACCAGATTGTAGTTTAATGGGATGCCATAAAAGGGACATAACAATGTTTTCATAGAGAAATAAACATGGAGTAAAGATTAAATGATACCATTTAAAAATTACTTCTTGCTTGGTTTTCTCTGACAGCAAATTTGGTTTTCAGAAGTTCTTTGATACAAATCCACAAGTCATGCCATGACATAAAGACTGAATAAACATCCTAAGACTGTTCAATAAGGAAATATTTCTAGAAGCCACTCTAAGAAGGCAGAATTAATCGTGGTGAAAAGAAAAAAACTCATGGGTTTTCATTTTAATGTGCAATAAATATGTTCTTTCAATTTTTTTTAATTAGAGAAGGAGAGGGAGGAGCTAGCGAGTGAGCAAGTGAGAGAGACAGAGAGAGAGAGAAACTCAGTGGCTTTATAAAAAATGGTTTAGTTAAAAATAGGCTAATTCTTTCTTAATATGGAGCACTGTGAACCATCTCTGCTTGCTTCCAGTAGCATTGTTTGCTTTACATCAATATATATTTAAGGCAATATTCCAGTAAGCAGTCTTACCTCACAGAAATAGATGTCATGACATAGGATGATTTTATTGGTACCTATCTACATATTGTCTATATTCAATAAGGGAGATATAAATTCTTAACTCTGAGAACTGAAACTTTTGCTATTATTAAAATTCTTTCATGTTTAATTGTGAAAAGGTTTAATTATGATAAGGGATCAGCTTTCGTAACCATTAAATAAACTTGGGAACCTTCTTTCTCATAAATTTTGGTTGATTAGATTTTAATGAAACTTCCTGCAGCCACTGAATAAAATAGCTTCAACATTATTTTCAAGACTTGGTATACCATCAGCCTATACCATGTGACTGTGTTTAGCACACTTCCGTGAGTACATATATGTCATATGTGATCATATAATCCACATTCACATGATCTCACATAATCTCTCAGGATATACAGTTTAACTTTCTGTTTGCTTTACTCAATTTGGAACGAGTCAATTTTAATTGCTTTCATAGGCACAAAATACCAGAGTAGTAAATCACAGAACAACAAAATATCTTCTTGCTGCCAAAAACAATCAGAAAACAGCCAAGTTTCTCTGAAAGGCAAACAACTTAATCATTATTAGTATTTTCAATGTCACAATTATTTATTATTTAATGCTCTTGTGGTTAAAAAAATGAATATAACTATTTGCATCTTGAACAGTGCTTTATAACTTACAGAACCTTATTTATTATCTCATTCAGATTTATTAACAGTTATGTGAAGTAGACTGAACAAGCATAATTACCCCTATTGTAGATGTAAAGAAAGTGAAGTTCAGAGAAGATAGTTAACTTCTCCTTGGTCAATTGTCTAAAAAGTAACAGAGTTAGAAGCAGGACTCAAATTATCTAAATCAGGGTTACAACTTTCTCTACTACAGTGTGTAATCATGGAGTGAAAAAAATATGCCCCATAAATGGTTATTTCTTTTTCCAATAGTTTAGTTCCATCAGTGAATTTTACTCTAAGAGTTCAGGTGCAATGAGTTCTACCTTGTATGTGCCTTAATACTCAAGAAATCAACTTCAGAAACTGTGTAGCAAAATTTCAAAGAACTCTGAATGACAGAAAAGTTTAAGATATTGTTAAATGTACTGCCCTCTTCCCCAAACAAAATTACTTCCTTACTTCAAGAGACAGCATGGATGCCATTATCCAACCATTATGTACTGTATCTAGGCTGCTTTTCTAAATGGCTCAAGAAAAACATGACTAAATGGTACTCTAAAATCATAAGCTCTAACTATGACTGCCTTATTAGTGGGATTGCCAAATTTAGCAAACAAAAATACCAATGTCCAGTTACATTTTAATTTCTTAAAAACAAGTGTTCATTTTTAGTATAAGTATGCCCTAAATATTTCATAGGCCATTCTTATACAAAAATGTTACTCATTTTATCTGAAATTCAAATATAACTATGTGTCTTCATTTTACCTGGCAACGCTACTTTATTCACTCATTACCATTTCACACAGACTGGATTCCGTAAATTTACCCTCTTCACTTTAGATGAGTCTCTCCAGAAGCATGGGCTTCAGGTGAGCCAACTTCCCAGCAAAAAGGGTCTCATGGTTAGAGTTTCTGCACTATCAATCTTGGTCCAGGGAATAAATGGGTCCCCAAGTTTGCAGTTTAGGATTTAATTCGGGTTTTAATTGTAGAAAGATATCACAAGGCAGAGAGACATGAGAAACAACCACCATTCTCCTAAAAATATCCACTGAAGATCATCCCAGCCATACTAAGGTTCTTCTTATTTGGGATGATTTGAGTTGAAAAGTTCTGCGCAAAAGTACAATTCTTTCGAATTCGTTTTTCAGGCCAGTGAAACCTTAAGACAGGCCAACACAAAAGAAAGTTTAAAAACTTAGTTATAGTCATGGAATTTTATCTGCTATTGTTTTGTCTAAAAGGATGTTTTAAAACTACATGCCTCTTCTCTTAAAAAAAAAAAAAAAACCTGTCATGCTATCATTAGGTGATCCTTCTAGGATAAATTTTGGCTGTTAACTTTTTTCTCCATCTGTGTTGTGGGCTGCTTAGAAAAACACCTCGAATCAGCTAGATGTGTATATCGAACACGATGTTTTTTAGCTCTTTTATTTTTTCACATAAGTTCCAAGTATCTCTTGAAAAAGACAACTAGTTGTTTCAACAATTATGGCCTTTAATTCTCCTCACTCACCGAGATAAGGCAATTTCTAAGCACCAAAGTAAACTTCACAGAGAAGGGCTTCACTTAGGGAAGACTCTAAGGAGATTCAGGGAGGATCTTTGAAGAAATAACAAGAGGGAAAACTAAATGGCACATGGTTTCCACTAATTGTATCATGAATTGTCTTTATTTTATCCTCTACACCACATTTTCTATGTAAAGCGTAAGGGGAAAATAAATTAAAATAAAATACCAGTCAGTGAATGAAGACAGAAAACATTTTAAGAGTAACAATAGCAACAAAATTTCCACAACCATAGAGAGCTACCACAAAGGGCAAAAAAAGAAATCCTATGTATAAATAATGGAACAGTGTTTAAAAAATCTAGACACAGTAGAGCTTCAGCGGTAAGGCAAGACTGAGGTTTGAGTGGCCAGTCTGAAGTTTACATAAGAATAGCTTCTTAAGAAAGGATTTCAGGTAAGATACCTTGGAAGTTAAATTTCCTAGTAAAGTGGATACTGTTGAATTCATTTATAAGACAACAAATTCTTTTGCTCATAACCCCAGAAGATTCTTGTCACAGGACGGCAAAACTAACTAATCAAATTGTTAGAAGTAGCTGTAGTTTAAAAAAAGCAGAGCCTTCTCTTTCCCCTACAAGCATTTAGTTTCCTCATCAATAACCCTAAAAGCTTCCCAATAAATCAGACATATTTCTACATATATAAATCTGCTTTATATGAGGCAAACATCATGTCTAATTTCTGGAGATATTGTCAATTTGTAATCTGAGTATTTTTAGTGTATTTTGCCTGCAGGTTAAAAAATGCCCTATTTCAGCAAGTCAATTAAAAATAAATGTTTTGAAATGAAAAAAAAAAAAAAAGACTGAGTACCAATATGCTTTGGCTCTGTGTCCCTACCCAGATCTCATGTTGAATTGTAATTCCCAAAGTTGGGGGAAGGACATGGAAAATGCTGATAGTAATATGGACAGTGAAATCCAGGCTGAGGTGGTCCCAGATGGAGATTAAGAACTTATTGGGAACTGGAGTAAAGATTACTCTTGCTATGTTTTAGCAAAGAGACTGGTGGCATTGTGCCCCTGCTCTAGGGATCTGTGCACCTCTGAATTTGAGAGAGATGATTTAGGGTATCTGGTGGAAGAAATTTCTAAACAGCAAAGCATTCTAGATGTGGCCTGGCTCCTTCTAAAAGCCTATGCTCAAAAAAATAAATAAATAAAAATAAAAATAAAAGCCTATGCTCGTCTTCATAAACAGAAATGATCTGAAACTGGAACTTGTATTTAAAAGGAAAGCAGAGCATAAAAGCTTGAAAAATTTGCAACCTGGCCATGTGGTAGTACAGAAAAACCTGTTTTCTGGGGAGGAACTCAAGCTGGCTGCATAAATTTGCATATGTAAAGAGGAGTCAAATGTTAATAGCCAAGGCAATGTGAAAACACTTCCAAAGCATTTCAGAGACTTTGTGGCAGCTCCTCCCATCACAGGCCTGGAAGCCTAGGAGGGAAAAATGGCATTGTGAGCCAGGACAAGGGCCCCACTGCTCTGTGCAGCCTTGGGAAATGGCACTCTGTGTCCCAGCCACTCCAGCTCTAGCTGTGGCTAAAAGGGTCCAGGGTATAGCTTGGGCCATTGCTTCAGAAGGTGCAAGCCCTAAGCCTTGGTGGCTTCCACGTGGTGTTGGGCTTGTGTGTGCACAGAAGTCAAGAATTGAGGTTTGGGAGCTTCCACCTTGATTTTGGAGGATGTATGGAAATGCCTGGAGGTCCAGGCAGAAGTCTGCTGCAGGGGATGAGCCCTCATGGAGAACTTCTACTAGGGCAGTGGGGAAGGAAAATCTGGGGTTAGAACTTCCACACAGAGTCCCCACTGGGGGACTACCTAGTGGAGCTGTGAGAAGAGAGCCACCATCACCATCTTCCAGACCTTAGAATAGTAGATCCACTGACAGCTTGCACTGTGCGCTTGGAAAAGCTGCAGACACTCAACGCCAGCCCATGCAAGCAGATGCGTGTGCTGTAGCCTATACAGCCAAAAAGGTGGAGCTTCCCAAGCCTTGGGAGGCCACCCCTTGCCTCAGTGTTGCCCGGATGTGATACATGGAGTCAAAGGAGAATATTTCAGAGCTTTAAGATTTAATGACTGTCCTGCTGGCTTTTGTACTTGCATGGGGCCTGTGATCATCTTTTTTTGGCCAATTTCTCCCATTTGGAATGGGAGCATTTACCCAATGCCAACTAACTTGGTTTTGATTTTACAGGCTCATAAGCAAAAGGGACAAGCCTTGTCTCAGATGAAACTTTGGACTTTGACTTTTGAGTTAATGCTGGAATGAATTAAGACTTTTGGGGGCTGTTGGGAAGGCATGGTTGTGTTTTGAAATGTGAGAAGGACATGAGATTTGGGAGGGGCCGGGGAACGAAATATATGGTTTGTGTATTAGTCTGTTCTCATACTGCTATAAAGAACTGCGTGAAACTGAGTAATTTATAAAGAAAAGAGGTTTAATTGACTCACAGTTTCACATGGCTTAGGAGGCCTCAGGAAACTTACAATCATGGTGGAAAGGGAAGAGGCACATCTCACATGGCAGCAGGTGAGAGAGATACATGTGTGTAGGAAGCAAAGGGAAAAGAGCCCCTTATAAAACCATCAGCTCTCATGAGAACTCACTCACTATCATGAGAACAGCATGGCAGAAACCACTCCCATGATCTGATCACCCCATCACATCTCTCCTTCAACACCCGAGGATTACAATTCAAGAGGAGATTTGGGTAGGGACACAAAACCTAACAGTATCAGTTTGGCTCTATGTCCTCACCCAAATCTCATGTTGAATTGTAATTCCCAATGTTGGAGAAGGGACCTGGTGGGAGGTGATTTGATCATGGGGGCAGATTTCCCTCTTGCTGTTCTCATAATAGTGAGGGAGTTCTCATGAAATCTGATGGTTTAAAACTGTATGGCACTTTCCCCTTCACTCTCTCTCTTTCCTGCTCCACCATGGTAAGATGTGTTTTCTTCCTCTTTGCCTTCTACCATGATTATAAGTTTCCTGAGGGCTCACAGCCATGCTTCCAGTACAGCCTGAAGAACTGTGGGTCGATTCAAATTTTTTTCTTCATAAATTACCTAGTCTCAGGTAGTTCTTTATAGCAGTGTGAGAAGGGACTAATACCAGTATGTAGATGGTGGTTTGGTTCCCATACTATTCATTCTGTGGGTCTTGAATTTGGGGCAGCTGCACTTTCTTCCTCGTCACCGTTTCTAGACTGTGAGATCACACTCACTTTCTCTCCATAAAAACACCCAGAATCCACTCCCTCTCATTTCTTTAGCTCCTGTATCAATGCCATTTTCTCAAACACTGACTGTCATAATTTGTGGAGATTTAAGTATCCACCTAGAAGATCAATAAACTAGCCTCATAGTTCTGGAGCTCCTCTCCTCTTATAATCTGATCTTCCATTTTAGCTCAGTCACTTAATCACATGGTGTATTAGGGTTCTCTAGAGGAACAGAACTAATGGAATAGATAGATAGATAGTTAGATAGATAGATAGGAGTTTATTAAGTATTAACTCACATGATCACATGATCCCACAATAGGCTGTCTGCAGGCTGAGGAGCAAGGAGAGCCAGTCTGAGATCCAAAACTGAAGAACTTGGAGTCTGATGTTTGAGGGCAGGAAGCATCCAGCATGGGAGAAAGATGCAGGCTGGGAGGCTAGGCCAGTCTCTCTTCTCACATTTTGCTGCCTGCTTATATTCTAGTCATGCTGGCAGCTGATTAGTTTGTGCCCAGCCAGATTAAGGATGGGTCTGCCTTTTTCACCCAACTGACTCAAATGTTAATCTCCTTTGGCAACACCCTCACAGACACACCCAGGATAAATACTTTGCATCCTTCAATCCAATCAAGTTGACACTCAGTATTAACCATCACAAGTCCACCCCTTATCTACTTGAACCCATACACATCTCCTGAGATCATACATAATCTTCAAATAAAGACAATAATGTCATAATTACACCTAACATAATACAACTATCCTTCATACAACCAGAAATGCACCAATTCCCAACCCAAATAATATCATATAAAGTTAACAATACTTAAATGCTAATGTAAAGTTAATAAATCTCAAGTCACATGAAAAAGGAGAAAGGAAATAAAATGAAGATATTTTATTGGTACAAGTGTATACATGCACAAACATGTTTTTCACAAAAGAAGGGGGAAATATTCATGACAGTTACAGTCCTCGTTTCTGTAGCTGGTCACATCATTGTAGGTGGTATTGAAGACCACCTTCTTCTAATACCCATTCTGTATTCCCTTTGCCTTCAGCCAGCACCTCAGAAGGTCGTGGGTGTTTGTTGTTGTCATTGTTGTTGTTATTTTGTTTTGTTTCTTTTTTTTCTGGTGGAGTAACCCAAACTTTCATTCATGATGGGTCTGGCCATTTGTAGTCCTGCCTGGATTGGGCTGTTGTATTTTCCCATTGACCTTAATCACAGGGCATGGTAATACTAAGAGATGCCCTAATGGATCTCCTGTATTCCATGCGTACTCTTCTTTACCTGCCTTATGGAGTAGTAGACTGATTTCATCTTGATAGCCTGGGTCAATCACCCCAGCCAACACTGTAGCTCCCATCTTAGCCTGTTGACTTAAAGATAGGAGGAGCCCAAAGTTTACAGCTGACAATTTTAACTTCTAGTTTAATGGAATTGTTGTTGTGTCTCCTGGTGGCAGCATTCATCCCTCTGGATCTAAGACCTCTAGGCCAGCAGAATGTAATGTCACAGGAACAGAAAGCAAAAATTTTGCTAATGGATCACTAGGGGTGATGGTGAGTGGTACCACTTCCACTTCCACCCCTTGATTCCTGGACCCATGAATCTGGCTATGGGAGAAACAGTACCATATATTGGACACTTATTCAGAGCATGCACAGCCCTCTGGAGAACTTTGCCCCAGCCCTGCAAAGTATTGTGACCTAGTTGGTGTTGTAATTGTGACTTCAAAAGGCCATTCCACTGTTCTATCAATCCTGCTGCTTCAGGATGATGGAGAACATGGTGACACCAATGAATTCTATGAGCCCACCGCCGCACTGCTTTAGCTGTAAAGTGAATGCCTTGGTCAGAGGCAATGCTGTGTGGAATACCATGACCACAGAGAAGGCATTCCATGAGTCCACAGATGGTAGTCTTGGCAGAAGCACTGCGTGCAGGATAGGCAAACCCATATCTGGAGTAAGTGTCTATTCCAGTGAGGACAAACCTCTGCCATTTCATGATGAAAGAGGTCCAATATAATCAACCTACCACCAGGTAGCTGGCTGATCACCCCGAGGAACGTTGCCATATTGAGGGCTCAGTGTTGGTCTCTGCTGCTGGCTAATTGAGTACCCAGCAGTGGCTGCAGCCAAGTCAACCTACAAAAGTGGACTTCCATTTTGCTGAGCCCATGTGTAACCTCCATCCCTGCCACCATGGCCACTTTGTTGATGAGCCCACTGGGCAATGACAGGGGTGGCTGGGGAAAGAGGCTGAGTGGTGTCCACAGAATGGGTCATCCTATCCACTTGATTATTAAGATCCTCCTCTGCTGAGATCACCCTTTGGTGAGCACTCACATGGGATACAAACATCTTCAGTTTTTGACAGCTCAGAGAGGTCTATCCATATAGCTCTTCCCAAAATTTCTTTGTCACCAATTTTTCAATCATGCTTCTTCAAAGTCCCTGGCCAACCAGCCAAAGCATTGGCTACAGCCCATGAATCAGTATATATTTGCACATCTAGCCACTTCTCCTTCCATGCAAAGTGCACAACCAGGTGAACTGCTTGAAGTTATGCCCACTGGGAAGATTTCCCTTAACCACCATTCTTCAGGGATGTCCTAGAAAGAGACCGTAGTGTTGCAGCTGTTCACTTTTGGGTGGTGCCTGCATATCATGCAGAACCATCTGTGAACCAGGCCCTAGTATTCTCTTCCTCTGTCAATTAATCCTAGGGAACTCCCCAAGAGGCCATTGTTGCAGGCTGTGGGAGAGAAGGCAGGGTACCAGGAGTGGAGACCATGGGCATTTGAGCCACTTCCTCATGTAACTTACTTGTGCCTTCAGGACCTGCTTGAGCCCTATCACATATATGCCACTTCCATTTGATGATGGAATGCTGCATTATATTGGACCTCTTTCATCATGAAAAAGGCAGAGGTTTGTCCTCACTGGAATAGACACTTACTCCGGATATGGGTTTGCCTATCCTGCATGCAGTGCTTCTGCCAATCTACTTTATGCATAACCTACTTTATGGCTAGATGGGTCAGAAAGTGCCCAGTTCATGATAAGCAGTTCAAGTTGCATGGTGACTTGATGATCCATAGTCAAACATTCAGTTTCCACCAAAGCCCAGTAACAGGCCAAAAGCTGTCTCTCAAAAGAGTAGTTATCTGCAATAGCAGTTATCAGATGATGCCAGGGCCTTGCTCCAAAATCCTAGAGGCCTCCACTGTGATTCACCAATGGAGGCCTCCAAAGGCTCCAGACAGCATCCCTATCTGCCACTAACACCTAAAGCACCATTGGATCTGCTGGGTCATGTGTCCCAAGTGGCAGAGCAGCTTGTACAGCAGCCTGAACCTGTTGCAGAGCCTTCTCCTGTTCTGGGGCCCACTCAAAACTGGAAGCCTTTTAGGTCACTCGATAAATGGGCCAGAGTAACACACCAAAATGAGGAATGTGTTGCCTCCAAAATCCAAATAGGCCCACTAGGCATTGTGTCTCTTTCTTGGTTGTAGGAGGGGCCAAATGCAGCAACTTATCCTTCACCTTAGAATGAATACCTCAACAGGCTCCACAACAGTAGACCCCTAGAAATTTTACTGAGGTAAAAGGTCCCTGAATTTTAGTCAGATTTATTTCCCATCCTCTGACACACAAATGTCTCACCAATAAGTCCAGTGTGTTTGCTACTTCTTGCTCACTGGATCCAATCAGCATAATGTCATAAATGTAATGGACCAGTGTGGCATCTCAGAAGTGAAAAGCAATCAAGTTCTCTTTGAATAAGATTATGGCACAAAGCCGGAGAGCTGATATACCCCTGAGGTAGGACAGTAAAAGTATACTGCTGGCCTTGCCAGCTGAAGACAAATTAGCTCTGGTGGGCCTTATGGACAGGAACAGAGCGAAAGGCATTTGCCAAGTCAATGGCTGTATACCAGGTACCCAGAGATGTGTTAATTTGCTCAAGCAATGAAACCACCTCTGGTACAACAGCTGCAATTGGAGTCACCACTTGGTTAAACTTATGATAATCCACTGTCATTCTCCAAGATCTATCTGTCTTCTTCACAGGCCAAATGGGAAGGTTGAATGGGGATGTGGTGGGAGTCACCAACACTGCATTTTTCAAGTTGTTGATGGTGGCACTAACCTCCGCAATCCCTCCAGGGATGCAATATTGTTTTTTATTTAATATTTTTCTAGGTAGAGCCAGCTCTAATGGCTTCAATTTGGCCTTTCCCACCATAATAGCACTCACCTAACCAGTCAGGGAGCTAATGTGGGGGTTCTGCAAGTTGCTAAGTATGTCTATGCCAATTATGCATTCTGGCACTGGGGAAATGACCACAGGATGAGTCCCGAGACCCACTGGACCCACTGTCAGTCGGACTTAAGCTAAAACTCTGTAATTACCTGACCTCCATAAGCCCCTACTTTAACTGGAAGACCACAATGATGTTTTGGGTCCCCTGGGATCAACATCACCTCAGTGCCAGTGTCCAGTAGTCCCTGAAATATCTGATTATTTCCCTTTCTCCAACGCACAGTTACTCTGGTAAAAGGCCGGAGGTCTCCTGGGGAAGGATGGGAGAAAGATTCACTGCATAAATTGGCAGTAATGTTGTGGCATCCTTCCTCAAGGGGACCCAGCCTCTCCTTCACTCAAGAGGTTCTGGACTGTAAACTGGCTCAAGCCTGGAAATTGATTGAGGGGCCATGATTCTCTCTTTTTATAATTCAAATTAGTCTTTTGTCCATTCGACCTAGAAGTTGTCTGCTTGTATATATTAAGTAGAAATGCAGTAGGCTTCCTATAAATTTCACTTCTAGGAACACCGTAATTAATTAGACAATGCTAGAGCTCTACACAAGTCAGACTATTCTGATTGTTGCTTTGCCTCTGCTGTCAATTATGGTAGCTATGCCCACCTCACCTTTGATGGTTAAGTGCCACCACTCGGCTCCTGCCACCTCAGGATCCAATTATTCCCATGGTATTTAAATTTTGTAGTTGAGTGACTGCAGTTCCCACTGTTAGATCTGACATATGGAGAAGAGCAATTACAAGGCTCTTCAAAGATGCAGGTGCTGCCCTCGCAAAATCTATTTCACAAGGCCTTGGTCATGGGTATATTTTCTGGGTCCTCCCGGCTGGGATGACTAGGTCTAAAGTGACTAATCCACTCCACCATCCCAATCTCCCTAAGGCTTTGGATCCCTTCCTCTATATTAAACCAAGGGATATCAGGCATTTCTAGCTGGCTCACAGTGGGCTATCTTTTAATCGATATTTCAGCTAACCAAGCAAATAAGCTATTAGAACCTTTTTTTTAAGCTCCTCAAGCTGCAACATTAAATACAGAGTTCCTACTTAGTGGGCCCAAATCAATAAATTCAGCCTGATCCAACTCTATTTTCCTTCCACCATTATCCCACACCCTTAATATCCATTACCATGCCTGTTCTCCAGATTTCTGTTTATACAAATTAGGAAACTCAAGCAGTTCTTTTCAAGTGTAATGCACCTCCTTATGGGTCACACTTTCAACCTCACCTCTAGGGGCCTGCTGGGATATTAATCTAGTTATAGGTCTAGAAGCAAACAGGGGTGTTGGGGGTGGCTTCTGAGGAGAATCAACATTATCTTGACTGGCAACTGCCTCAGGGGAGGCCATCACTGTTGCCTCAGGGAGCACAGGTTTATGTCCTCAGACAAAGGTGGAAGGGCTGATGGCAGCATGGGTATGGGAGGGTATGTTGCCACTACCGTAGATGGGAAAGCTGTTTCTTCTGGCAAAGAAAGCTTAATCAGAGTTTAAGCTCAGTGTCCTAAGCTTCATCAGGGTCCTCCTGCATGTCCCCGTTCCAAGCTGCAAGGTCCCATTATTTTCCAAACGATGCCCTCACTTTAACAGTAGACACCTGACAAGGCTGTGCATGCACCTTTCATTGCAGGTCAGCCACTTGCATGATAAGAGCTTGTGTCTGCTTTTACACAATTTTAGCTCTTTCTCTATGGGAGATAAGACTCTCACTCAGGGCAGTCTTGGCAGATTTGAGGCTCAGAATCTGCTTCTGAAGCTGAGAGATAGAATCCCTAAGTTCATCATTTTCATTCATCCCTTTGTCCACTGAGGAGTAACCAACCAGCTTCTATATGTTCCTTGGTTCTCCACATATGGTCAAAGGTATTAAGTACAGGGTCACTAAACTCCTTGCCTCTCACAAGTGATGAATCAGGACTATCAAATGCATTTATTTTGCATAACTCTCTAAACCGTTCATGCTAAAGACTATCAGTGCTCTCTATATTATTAGAAGTTGGGTCCTTAGCATTTCTGTAAACAGTTCATGCCAAAGACTATCAGTGTTCTCCATACTATGAGAAGTAGAGTCCTTAACATTTCTGGGTCTATTCATATTATTAAGCAGCCAACTCCAGAAACCCCAAAGTTAATGAAAGAACCCCATACTTAATAATCTGCTCCTTTAGAACCACCTCACTTCTGGTACCAAACTTGTGTTAGTCAGGGCTCGCTAGAGGAACAGAACTAATGGAATATATGTGTATGTGTGTGCGTATGTGTGTGTATATATATATATATATATATTCCATATGTATAATGGAATATATATATATACACGTATTCCATATGTATAATGGAATATATATCATATATATGTATATATATGAATTTATTGAGTATTAACTCACATGATCACAAGGTCCCACAATAGGCTGTCTGCAGGCTGGGGAGCAAGGAGATCCAGTCTGGGTTCCAAAACTGAAGAACTTGGAGTCCAATATTCGAGGGCAGGAAGCATCCAGCATGGGAAAAAGATGTAGGGTGGGAGGCTACACCATTCTTTGTTTGCACATTTTTCTGCCTGCTTATATTCTAGTCTCACTGGCAGCTGATTAGATTGTGCCCAGCCAGATTAAGGGTAGGTCTGCCTTTTCCAGCCCACAGACTCAAATATTAACCTCCTTTGGAAACACCCTCACAGACAGACCCAGGATCAATATTTTACATCCTTCAATCCAATCAAGTTGACACTCAGTATTAACCATCACACATGGTCATACTATTGACCTTAGTTTTACAATATCTGCAATCACTCCTTAATTTCAATTGTAAACATTCAACTGCTAAACTACCACTCTTATGTTTCCAGCCAACCTCTTTTGCTACCTTGACAGAGATAATTTTTCCACTAAACTAAGACCTGTAATCATTGATCCTAAAGCTTTTCACTTGTTCTTACTCCCTCTATATCCTCCTTTCCATCTTGATGCAGCTTCAATTTAAAAGTCAGTTAATGTAATGAATTTTGTGCACATATCCTACTGTATCTCCTCTAGCTCCCCATGCTTCTCTCAATTCACTTTACCCACCTAGTGAGACTAGAACCTTAGTTAAATAAAATCCTCCAGCTGCTTATCTTTGCACCCCTGCATCTGAACATTTCTGTAGAAAACACAAAACCACACTGAATCTTCACATTTAATTCATGACCACTAACTTCAAACAGAACCTTAATCCTGACTAGCTTTCATGCTGTATTTCCCTAGCTCACCCACTCTCCCCCACTTCTAGCTGACTATTATATCCTTGCTCCTATTTCTTTAAATCTCTAGCACCACTTTTTTCATCCTTGTTCTCAGACAATAAGCGTGTTTCCTGTTTTCTTTTCCATTGAGAAAACTGAATTACCAAATGAGAACTCCCATACTTTCTCACCACTACTTTTACCTACCTGCCTGTACCTGTATTTTTATATTCTATTTCCCTTCCATTTCTATGAATGGCTTCCCATGCTCCTAGCCAAGGCCTATGCCTCTCTCCCTGTGAATAAAATCCTATCAGCATTCCACAACTCAAAGGCATTTTTCCAGACACCCTCCCTATTTTCACCATTAAATTTTGCTTCTTTGCTGAATAATTCCCAGCAGGAAACAAGTCATTACTTCTCCCATGACACACAAAAATATCTCAAACCTATTTCCCTTTCAGCTACCACATTGCATCTCTCTTTTACTTTACAGGAAAAAGAAAAAAACCTAAAGAATTATCTGTACTTCCTTGATTTATCTTCTCCCATTCCCTCTTGAACTCACTGGGTTTTCACAAAGCTATCCACAGAAACTGATCCCCTCATAGTTGCTAATTATCTCATACGGAATTTATCTGTCCTCTCATTTGGTCTCTCAGCAGCATTTGTCAGAATTTATCTTTCTCTCCACCTTAAAATATTTTGTCACTCCACTTTCAGGTTAGTACAGTCACTTGGTTTTCCTCCTATCTTTCTGACTATTCCTTCTTAATATCTTTTGTTAGTTTCTCCTATCTGCAGCCTAAAAACATGTGTTGCCCTAAAGTTCAGTCGTCCTTTCCATTTATACTTGCTTCCTTGGTGATCTCAAGTCTCAAGGCTTTAATTATCATCTACACGCGATAACTCCAAAATCCTTATGCCCAAGTCAGACTCTTACATGAACTCCAGACTTGTACATCCAAATGTTTATTGGATATCTTCACTTGGTTGCCTAACGGTCACTGTGACCATTAGAACACATCTGATCTGTGTTCACAACATTCTTCCCCCAAAGCTTTTTCTTCCGGAAGTCTTCCCCCATCTGAGTTAATTTTAGTTATTTTTGTCAAAAATGTTGTTTTTACCTATGATTTTTCACATTCTCCCACACTTCACCTCTTTTCCATCAGTATATTCTGTTGGCACTAATATCAAAATATATCCAAAATTTGACATTTCCACTACTTCACTGCCACCACCTTGGTCTAAGTCATCATCATGTCTTTCTTGAATTAATACAATTGATCATTCTGCTTCTGTTCTTGCTCTCTTATAGCTATTTTCTCCACACAGCACAGAGTGATCCTGTGAAAACTGGTCAGATAATGTCGCTCCTCTTCTCAAAATCCTCCCATGGCTTTCCACAGTAAGTTAAAGTTCCTACTATGGCAATCAAAACTACACAACTGTCTTTCCTTTCCTCTCTGACATTATCTCCTACTACTCTTCCTTAGGTTTCTCCAAAGAGAACCTCCTCACTGTTACTTTCACATATCTGGCATGCTCCTGGCTCAAGGGCTTTCATTCATATATATAACTAATTATATCTGGAATGTTCTTCCTCCAGAGAGCAGCATGGTTTACTCCCTTACTTTACCTCTAAGCACATATATCTCTGAATCAGTAACTCCATCTGAAACGTACAATCTACCACACTATTTCTAATTATTGTTCCCAGCTTTATTTTTTCCTTATCTTTTATCATTCTTTAACACATTGTTTTATTTATTTATACTGCTTTGTGTCTTTTCAAGCAGAATGTAAGTGATGTGTGTGTGTATATATATATATATATATATATATATACATATAACTATTGTTTCTCTGAGCCTAGAACAGCGTTGGGAAATAATGGGTTCTCATTTATTGAATAAAAACATTAATGTAGATATTATTTATTACTCTTTATTTCCTTTCCCCATTCTTTTTGTTTATTTTCATAGACTGACCTTTATACTGATCTTAGAACATGCAGGTCTGTGTTCTTTGTCTATCAACTTATGTATTTTATTTTCTTTCAATGGAATGCATTCCAAGAGAATTTCCTGCTTTAAGCTTCTGGTTTACCAATGCACTGATTTGCTCTTGCTCTCCTATTGAGCAAATTCATTGATTATTTTAAAAATTGATAATTATATTTTTAAGAGCTTAAACCTTGAATTCATGAGGTTATTTGTTCTTATCCTATTTCAAAAATTATGGACCATCACAGAAACTTTGTTTTAGAAGTTCTACCTCTGATTACAAAATATTCCACATAAAAATATGTATCGATATTTGCTTAACCCAAACTCCCATATTAATTAATATTAAAGAATGAATCATCTTTTAACAATAATGCACTAGATGTAAGTAAAGCTGAAGACTAAGGGGTCAATACATTGAAATAACACCTTTGAATAAGGAGATTCAAGAGCCATTTTAACTTTCCTCCAACACAAAGATAAAGTATTTCAGGCAGAAGGAGTTTCTAGTTGATATTTTTTTTCTAAAAAGAAATAGGGGAAAAATCTGTATCTTTAAAGACTTTAAACCTTGGTGCTATCATGGGGTTTAGATAAAACTGAGATAGAAAATGAAAAGAGTTGAGGTCAGTCAATGGTTTGTTCCTTTCAAACAAAGAATTCTAATCTTAAAATTACCAGATTCCAGAAAGAAATGTTCTGTTATATAAGCTGGAAGAGAAATCAAAAGCACCACATCCATGACAGCATAGGTCAAGAAAATATAAAGACTCAAAACTTTAAACAAAATTTCAAACCCAGCAAGAACAAATTTGGGTTTAAAATCTAGAACTAATCTGACAATTGACATCAGTGAGGAAGAAGAAACGTTTCTTGCTACTAGGAGATTTTATTAGATTCTTTTAATAAGCGTTCACTTGCCCTTTATATACTCTGATTTAGTTCTCTAAATTTTTACTGTGGCATTTTGTCATTTTTATATAGCCTCAAAGAAGAGCCTGGAATTAATATTAATTTTGAATATTAAATATGCATATTTCAATTTTTTTAACTTTCTATTTTTTCTTAAGGGAATAATTATCACTCACTTTGCCAGTGATATATTATAAGAAATTATAATAAACACAAGTTGCATTTTATATTAATTTATGTGAGATTGAAACTAATCATGTAAGTTTCTTTCTTGTCCTTTTTTGTTGCATTTTTATTTTTTTATTTTTTATTTCTTTCATTTTAAGTTCAGGGGTGTAAGTTTCTATAATTAGTCCACTCTTTCTTGTTCTAAATTATCTACAACTGATAATCTCCATAATGATATTCAGAAAATAAATATACTTTATTTCTTAATTTTTTTAGTTAAAATAATTTATTAATAATATGCTAGAATAGCATCTCAATGAGCAAATGCAGAACAAGTTCAGATCATAAGAATATAATTTAGACATGTAGCATCAGATGTTGACAATATATTTTTAAATTGTGGTAATAAAAGAAACCCAAATTTTAGGACAGTAGCTATACTAATTAGTATACTAATTAAGTATACTAATTAAGCTATACTTAATTAGTATAAGCTATACTAATTAATTAGTATAAGCTATACTAATTAATTAGTATAAGCTATACTAATTAATTAGTATAAGCTATACTAATTAATTAGTATAAGCTATACTAATTAGTATAAGCTATACTAATTAATTAGTATAAGCTATACTAATTAGTATAAGCTATACTAATTAATTAGTATACTAATTAAGCTATACTTAATATTTTATATATAATTGTGAGACATTATTCACATCACTGTTCAGTTTTGAGAACACTTATCTTTGCCCTAGATTTATTTTTCATTTAATTACTGTTCTAAAAATAGTACTCTACTTTATTTAAAAATATGCAATGAGATGTATTCATTTAATATAGTATAAACTCAAAAATAGTAAGAATTTTTTTTAAAAAAGAGTATTCAAGGTACTTTCATTTGAAGGCAATTCTACAACTATGGCTATCATTTAGTAAATACCTAGAAAAGTTGATGCTAGTTAAGTATCTTTTCACAATTAATTACATCAGGCTTTATAAAATATCATGGTTTATATTCTACTTTTATTTTTAAACATTCTTACTGTATAATAAGGCATACAATATGATGTTTTGATATACATGTAGATAGTAAAATGGTTACAAGAGTCAAAAAATTAACATAGCCGCCCTCATCTTATATAATTACCCACTTTGTATGTGTGGCAAGAGCACCTACAATATACCCTTTTAGCAAAAATATCAAGTACAATATAATATTATTAAGCATAGTCCTCATGTTGCACATTGCTCTCTTGATTTGCTCATCCTACATATTTGCTACTTTGTATCATTTTACCTACATCTCCCCATACCCCGTAACTATTGCTTTATCCTCTATCTCTGTATACTTGACTCTTTTTAAGAATCCACATATAAGTGAGATTGTGCAGTACTTTTCTTTCTATGTCTGGCTTATTTCACTTAGTGTAATGTCCTCCAGATTAATCCATGTGTGACAAATGGCAAGACTGAACTTTTTAAAAAAGATGATGAATATTCCATTGTATATGTATACTACAATTTATTCATTCATTCATTAACGGACACTTCAGTTGTTTCCATATCTTCACTATCGTGAATAAGGATGCAATAAACATAGGCATGCAGGTATCTTTATAATGTAGTGATTTAATTTCCTTTAGATATATATCCAGAAAAGGGGTTTCTGGGTCATATGATAGTTCTATTTTAATGTCTCTAAGAACCTCCATTTTGTTTTCCACAATAGCTGAAGCATTCTAAATCTCTATCAGTAGTGTACTTGTCTCTTATGTTTTTGATAATAGTGATTCTAACAGGTATGAGATGCTATCTCATCATGGTTTTGATTTACATTTCCCTGATGATTAGTGAGGTTGAGTACTTTTCATACATCTGTTAATCATTTTTATTTCTTCTTTGAAAACAATGCCTATTCAGGTCCTTTGCCATTTTTAAATTGGGTTAATTTGTTTTTCTGCTATTTAGTTGTGGGGGTTTTCAATATATTTTGGATACTAATCCTTTATTGGATATATGGTTGCAAACATTTTCTCCCAAGCTGTAGGCTGCCTTTTCATGTTGATTATTTCCTTTGTTGTGCAGAAGCTTTTTAGTTTGATGCAGTTCTATTTATTTATTTTTGCTTTTGTAGCCTGAGTTTTTGGTATCATACCCAAAAATCATTGTGAAGGCCAGTATCCAGGAGGTTTTCCCTTATGTTTTATTCCAAGATTTTTATGATTTCAGGTTTTTTTTTTTTTTTTTTTTTTTTTTTTTAGCAGAGAACATGCTTTATTGAGGAGTAGATACAGAAGAGCACATTCTACCACATGTGGGGAAGGGTTTAGCTTCTGTAAAAGGCCTTTACCCCTTAAGAAAACCCCTAGTGAAGTTGCTTTTGGATAAATTTTAACAGTGACACTGAAACTGGAGGGGAGCTGCCACTGAACATGCTTAAAATTAGCTCCCTCAACCCACAGTGAATATAAGTAGTGTACAGAGATGACAAGAGAAAGGCACAAATGACCGGAGTCAGGGATTGTGGTGAGGGCTCCACATGAAGACAGCATGTTGGAGGAGACCAAGTTGGGAAGGGTGACATGTCATACATCAAAAGTTGCCCGAAGATAGCAGGTTATAATGGGCTAGAGAGAAATTAGAGGGAACATCTCTTCCTTCACTTGAACAACACCAAAAATAGAAGACCAGAGAATAGAAGGATGGTGACAAATCCCAAAAAGGAAATGGAGGAGGAGTTCATGGAAAAGCAGAAGCACTTTAATCCTAGAGGGAGGGTGAGGCACTGTCGAAAAGAGAAGCAAACCTTGGCAGGGGTGGCCATTCTGCCTTGCTGAGTCATGGGCTGAGATACGGAAGTCACTTTCAGTCATTTTCAACTTCTCCCAGGGCATTCAGACAAAATCAGTGCAAGGTATATGGAAGTACAGATGTACTGTATCAGACTAGTGGAGGTGAAAAGTTTTCTGCAGTATAATTAACCAGTTAACATGCAGCATGAAAGGGAGAAGTGGACATTATTTTGGCATCTGCAAACGTAAAAAGTGGGAGTAAAGAGAGAATGAAATATTTACTAGTGGGTACTTTACAGTGAGGCAAAAAGTAGTATCCGCTCCCTTTCACCAAGACACTGCCCACTGCCCACAGGTGAACTCAAATCAAACCCAGAACCACCACCTCTTCATTCTTCTCTCCATCTCATTCAGATCAATTATATGCTATTACCATGACTAGTCCCTGGGAAACTCTTCAAAAGTATTTGGCTCTGGTTAGCCCAATACAGATCAAAAAGAGGTCTCTTAATCAAAATGAAGGAAAGAAATTTAAAGCAAGATGGAACCCAAAGTGAATGGACCCCCTGCCAATCTACACACAATCACAAGTGCCACCTCTTCCCTGCCCCTCCATAGAACACACATATAAGGAGTAACTGGAAAGGTCCTGGTGGTGGCAGCCATATTTGGAGGTCTGGTGACCAGGTGGCAAGCACTAGTACCACGCTTAGAAGACACAATACAACCTCATGGGGTGAGAGGACATGAGGAGAGAACCAGTGACTGGACAGGTACAGTACCATAACAGAACTCCTTGGGTCAGTGCTGAGAGACCTGCACTCAAGTCTAATACAGATCCCATCCAGGCAACCTCACTGAGGCCGAAACAACAGTTCCTCAGAACCAGTGTCTGCAGTGTACACAAAGATCGGAGCCAGGACAGTCCTGAGGGGGATGGCCTTCCCAAAGGATACTGTACTTGCCAATCACAAGAGCAACAGAAATGACCGACAGATCCCTAAGGTACGGATTCCTACTGCTGGGGTTCGCTGGCTCGGAATGACAGGTCGCTTTAAGGGCCCTTGGGAGGGGTCCATTTTAAGCAGCTGGGATCCATGGTTTTATTGGAGTTGGACCTTTTGGCCTCTTTGGCTATCTACTCATCAATCAGGTCCTGTCTCTTTAAAACTAGGTGTTTTCCCTTCCAGTACTTGAGCACCTGAAGGGCTTGCAGAGTGCTGACAATGTCCACAGGATTCACAGCCGTCTCCTGACTGATTTCTTTGATAGAAATCTCTTTGCCTTGGAAATTACGCAGTTAGCGGAGAAGTACTTCTTTCCAGTAACTGCAACAGCTTATAAGCCCCAGATCTGAGAGTGGACATTCTGGGGAGCCAACTTTTTCTTCAACTTTGGAAAGCAAATAACTGAAATCAATAAGCATCTTGCCATAGCCCTGTCTCATGTACTGAGGCATAGTAAGGATACAGGATACGTTGTAGTTGAGGAATGAATTCTTTTCCTTGGAAAAATATCCAATCAGGTGACAGCCAGTGTTGTCCGCCTCTGTCATAACATAGAACAGGAAGGGCTCCACATCATAATATAATGTCTTGTGGTCCAGAAAAAGTTTGGCCAGCAGGCACAGGTTTTGGCAGTAGATCTTGTTTTTCTTGCCATCCACTTCAAACACAGAGACTGAACCTTTGCGATATATCTCATCACCAAGTGGGTGTTTCCACACACATTTGGCCATGTGCTGGCGGAGTATCATTTGGCTCTTCATATATTTTAAACAGAATTCACACATATAGAGACGTCCCAGCCGTGCATATTCTTCAGGATATGGAGAATGGTACCAGGTATCAAGGTCATAGCGACCAAAAGCAATTGTTTTAATCATGTTGCTTCCCTCTGTGATTTGGCCTTGCAGCCTTAACTTCTCCAAATCCTCTGAAGCCCGGGCTTGTGCTCTTCGGAAAAGATCCAAGTCTTACTCGCTTGTCAAGTTTTCTAAAAGAGGTTCCCCTGTGTTCCCATAGGTCTGTCTGTGTTCCATGGCAGACACTACAAGAATCCTTTCCAGGAAAGAATGATTTCAGGTCTTTTAGCCATTTTGAGTTGATCTACAGTATAAGGGTCCAATTTTATTATTCTTTTTCATGTGCAAATCCAGCTTTCCTTGCACAATTTATTGAAGAGACTATTTTTTCTCCATGGGTTATCTCAGTACCCATATCAAAATTAGCTGTCCAGAAACCAGAAATCCTGAGAGGACCCACAGACCCTCTGAAGGAAGTGGACTGCTCCTGCAGGACCCGAGAGACACCCCAAATACTGTGAGTGCCCCAATTGCAAAAGTGGGAAAGGGAGAACCTCCTCTCCTGAACACACACACACACACACACACACACACACACTGGAGAAGGTGAAGGTCTGTTTGCAGGAGAAGTTTCCGACTTTATCTGGAGCTGAGTCAGTTTAGAGTGCCAAGTGAAAAACAGGGGTAGAGGGAGCAGCAGAAAGGCCCTGGGACCTTGCTGGGTCCCCTAGCAGGCCATTCTTGCCTAGCACCACAGGGATCTATCGGAAGGGTGGCTAGAGGAGCAGGGGATACAACTTCACAGGGAGAAGGAAATCTCCAGCTGAACTTTGCAACAATTTGAACAGGGCAAGGAGCCTCCTGGCCAGAACTCAAGGTAGGGCGCAAATCTGGTGTGCAGACTCCACAGGCGGGGGAGGAACCAAGCCCTTTTCTTCTGGAGTTGGGAGGCGGGTACCCTGGGGCAAGTTTTCAAGCCTGACTCACCCTCTGCCTGCAAACAGACTTGGGGCTGTTGGAGGGGGCACGGTGGGAGTGAGACCTGCCCTTCGGTTGGCATGGGAGCTGGGTGAGGCCTTTGACTGCTGGCTTTCCCCCACTTCCCTGACAATGCCACACCTTAAAATTTTGGCAAACATATGAAGAATTTTCAGGATTTATCACTGTGTTACCTAATCCCTGAGGATTCTACAAGAGTGTAATGCTATACCTCTGTAGCATATATAGCTAGGATGATGGTAATATTTTACTTGAAAAGTAGATATACACTATATTACACTATAGCTGAAAAACTACTGAATTAGCAAAATTTTAATAGCTTTATCCACTATTCTTCCAGTTAAAACGAATTCACCATCCAATGGAGAAGACTCATTTAGGGTAGGAACAATGGTCTGTAGAGTCTGCCTTCACAATGTCCCCTCCTACTACAACCACTTGGTTCAGTTCCTTGTCACTTGATGACTATACCACTATAATTGTCTCCTTACTGTCTCATATACCATGCTGATATATCCCATGCACTGTCAACGGATGAATCTTCCTAGAGTAAAATTGTAATCACATCACTCTACTGTCCAAAAATCTGGAAAGATGTCCTAGTACTTAGAAATAAAGGAAATATCTTACCGTGGTAGTCAAATCCCTTCACAGTATAGCCTCAAATAGTTTTCCAGCCTTACCTCAAATCTTTCCTGTATTTTATGTCCTACCTAACGTGGAACTTTTGTTTCTACCTTTCTCATAGCATTTGCTTGCACTTAAGAAATACTGTGAGAGGTGGAGCAAGATGGCAGAATAGAAGGCTTCATCGATTCTCTCCACCTCACCCAAACAAGAACATCAATTTAACAACTATCTACACAGAAAAACAAAACAAAACAAAACAAACCTTTATGAGAACCAAAAATCCAGTGAGCCCTTATAGTACCTGATTTTATCTTTATATCACTGAAAAAGACACTGAAGAAACTCAAAAAACAGTCTTGAATCACCAGTGGCACCCCTCCCCTCACCCCCCACCCTACTGGCAACAACAGCCTGCTCTAGAGAGCATCTGTGGGTGATGGGGGAGGAAGAACACAGCAATTGTGAGGCACTGAACTCAGTACTATCCTGTTAGAGCAGAAAGGAAAACCCGACCAGACTCAGCTGACATCTACCCAAGCAGGGAGCATTTAAACCAGCCTTAGCAAGAGGGGAATTGCCCATCCCAGCAGTCAGAACTTGAGTTCCCACAAACCTCACCACCATGGGCTAAAGTGCTCTGTGCTCTAAATAAACTTTAAAGGCAGTCTAGGGCATAAGGACTGCAACTCTTAGGCAAATCCTAGTGCTAAACTGGTCCCAGAAACAGTGGCTTGGCAGAGAGTAGGGAGGAAACACATGGCCTACTGAGACAGAAGCTAAGGCAGCTAAGGGAGTGATGACATCATTCCTCACCTAACCCCAAGCTGCAAAGCTCACAACTCCAAAAATGCCCACTTCTTTCCACTTGAGGAGAGGAGAGGAAAGAATGGGCAGGATTTTTTTTGCATCTTGGATACCAGCTCAGTCACAGTAGGATAGTGCACTGGTCAGAGTTGTGAGGCTCCCGTTATAAGCCCTAGCTCCCAGATGACATTTCTAGACACAAGCTGAGAAAACAGGGCATCTGCTGCCTTGAAGGGGAGGAAGACACAGTCCTGAAACCATTCATCCCCTGCTAACTGAAGAGCCCTTGGGCCCTGAAAAACTGACAGAGATACCCAGGCACTAAGTCAAGGACCATGGATGAGCCTCTGAGACTTGCTGGCTTCAGGTGAGACCCAGCATATTACCAGCTATGGTGGCTATAGTGTGAAACGCCTTCTGCTTAAGAAAAGCAGAGGAAAAAGTAAAGGAAACTTTGTTTTGTACCTTAAGTACCAGCATAGCAACAGGTGGGTAGAGCACCAATAGGGCTATTAAGGTCCCCAATTTCAGGACTTGACTCTTGGATGGCTTCTCTTGACTCTTGGATGGCCAGAAAGGAGGCAACTGCCCTGAAGGGTAAGTCTCAGGCCAGGCAGCTTTCACAATAAGCTAAGATACTATAACACTGTAACTGCAGTGTGTAAACTGCTCTTATCCTAAGCAGAAAGAATAAATAATAAACAAATCAAAAATAATTACTATAACAACTTTTCAAAACATACACACTACAATAAGATGTAAATAGAAAAAACAAAAAGTTAAAAGGAGGGGAACAAAGTCAGGGCATAGAGTTTTTATTACTTTATTTTTGCTGTTTCTTTGTTTATGCACACACTGCTATGTTGTTATAAGGTTAAACTAATGAGTTATAAGACAGTATTTGCAAGCCTCATAGTAACCTCAAACCAAAAAACATGCAATAGATGAACAAAAAATAAAAAGCAAGAAATAAAAGCATATCACCAGAGATCACCTTCACTAGAGGAAGACAGGAAGGAAAGAAAGAAGGGAGAGAAGACCACAAAACAACCAGAAAACAAATAACAAAATGGCAGGTGTAAGTCCTTACTTATCAATAATATTCAAGGTAAATGGATTAAACTCTCCAATCAAAAGACACACATTGCCTTAATGAATTAAAAAACAAGACCTATTGATTTGTTGCCTATAAGAAACACACCTCACCTATAAAGACACACATAGATTGAAAATAAAGAAATGGAAAAAAATAGTCCATGCCCAATGAAAAGCAAAAAAGAGCAGGAGTCACTATACTTCTTTCAGATACAATAGATTTCAAGATAAAAACTGTAAGAAGAGACAAGGAAAACCAGTGTATAATGAAAAAAGGGTCAATTCAGTGAGAGGATATAACAATTTTAAATATGTATGCATCCAACACAGGAGCAACCAAATATATAAAGTAAATATTATTAGAGCTAATGAGAGATAGGCTTCAATACAATAATAGCTGGAGAATTCTACACCCCACTATCAGCACTGGACAGATGTTCCAGACAGAAAGCCAACAAAGAAATATTGGACTGAATCTGCACTATAGACCAAGTGAGTCTAATAGATATTTACAGAACATTTCATTCAAAAGTTGCAGAATGCGCATTATTTTTCTCAGCATATGGATCATTCTTAAGGACAAACCATATGCTAGGTCACAACACAAGTCTTAAAACATTCAAAAAATTGAAATAATATCAACCGTCTTCTCTCACCACAATAAAATAAAGCTAGAAATTAATAATGAGGAATTTTTACAACTATGTAAATATATGAAAATTAAACAATATGCTCCTGAATGACCAGTAGGTCAATGAAGAAATTAAGAAGAAAATTGAGAATTTTCTTGAAACAAATGATAATGAAAATAAAACACACCAAAATCTATGGGGTACAGTGAAAGCAGTACTGAGAGGGAAGTTTATAGCTATAAGTGATGAAAAACCTGAAATAAACAACCTAATGATGCATCTTAAAGAACTAGAAAACCAAGAGCAAACCAAGCCCAAAATTAGTAGAAGAAAAGAAATAATAAAAATAAGAGTAAAAATAAATGAATTTGAAATGAAAAAATACAAAAGATCAATGAAATTAAAAGGTGGTTTTTTTGTAAAGTTTAACAAAATTGACCATCCTTTTGCCAGACTGAGAAAAAAAATAGAGAAGATCTAAATAAGGAAAGTCATAAATAAAAAAGAACACATTATATTTGATACTTCAGAAATTCAAAGAATCTTTAGTGGCTACTATGAGCAACTATATGCCAATATACTGGAAAACTGAGAAGAAATGAGCAAATTCCTAGACACATATACTCTACCAAGATTGAACCAGGAAGAAATAACAAACCTGAATGAGATCAAAGCCATAATAAAAAGTATCCCAGTAAAGAAAACCCAGGACTTGATGGCTTCACTGCTGAATTCTACGAAACATTTGAAGAAGAACTAACACCAATTTTACTCAAACTATTTGGAAAAATAGAGGAGGAAATATTTCCAAACTCATTCTATGAGGCCAGTATTACCTTCCCTAATGTCAAAACAAGACAAAGACACAACAAAAAATAAAACTACAGGCCAATATATCTGATGAATGTTGATGCAAAAATCCTCAACACAATACTGCCAAACTGATTTCAACAATATATTAAAAATATCGTTCATCATGACAAAGTGGAATTTATCCCTAGGATGCAAAGATTTTTCAACATATGCAAATAAATCAATATGATACAGCATATCAACAGAATGAAGGATAAAAATGAAATGGTAATTTCAACTGATGCTGAAAAAGCATTTGATGAAATTCAACATTCCTTAATGATAAAATTTAAAAAAAAAAACAAAAACACCAAAGACTGGGTATAGAAGAAACATACCTCAACATAATAAAAGTTACATATCACAGATCTTCAGCAGCTTTCATACTAAATTGGGAAAAATTGAAAGCCTCAGACAAGAAAAATAAATAAAGGACATCCAAATTGGAAAGGAAGAAGTCAAATTATCCTTGTTTGCAGATGATATGATCTTATAAGTGGAAAAAACTAAAGACTGCATAAAAAATTATTAGAACTGATAAACAAATTCAGTAAAGTTGCAGAATTCAAAATCAACATACATAATTCAGTAGCATTTGTATGTGCCAATGGTGTGCAACATGAAAAAGAAATTTGAATATTCCCATTTACCATGGCCACATATAAAATTAAATACCTAGAAATTAACCAAAGAAGTGAAAGATCGCTATAATGAAAACTATAAAACACTGATGAAAGAAACTGAAGAGGACACCAAAAATAGAAAAATATTCCATGTTCATGGGTTGGAAGAATCAATATGGTTAAAATGACCATAATACCCAAAGCAATCTACAGATTCAATGCAATCACCATCAAAATACCAATGACATTCTTCACAGAAATAGACTAAAACAATCTTATATGAAATCACAAAAGTCCCAGAAGAGACAAAGCTATCCTAAGCAAAAAGAACAAAACTGGAGGAATCACATTACCTGACTTCAAATTATACTACAGAACCATAGTTACCAAAACAGCATGGTACTAGCCTAAAAATAGACACATAGACCAAAGGAACAGAATAGAGAACCCAGAAAAAAAACTAACTACACACTTACACTGAACTCATTTTTGACAAAGGTGCCAAGAATATACAATGGGGAAAAGATAGTCTCTTCAATAAATGGTGCTGGGAAAACTGGATATCCATATGCAGAAGAATGAAACCAGACCCCTATCTCTTGCCATATACAAAAATCAAATCAAAATGGATTAAAAATTTAAATTTAAGACCTCAGACTATGAAACTACTATGAGAAAACAGTGGGAAAACTCTCTAAGAGAGGGAAAATATTATTGAGCAATACCCCACAGGTACAGGCAACCAAAATAAAAATGGACAAATGGAATCACATCAAGTTTGATGATTTTAATATCTGGAATATCTGTCCAATGCTGAAAATGGGGTGCTGAAGTTTTCAGTTATTATTGTGTTGTGGCGTATCTTTCTCTCTAGCTCTGATAATGTTTGCTTAATATATCTAGGTGTTCCAGTAATTGAAGCATATATATTTAAAATTGTTCTATCCTCTTGCTGAATTGACCACTTTTTTATTATATGGTGATATTCTTTACATCTTTTTTAAGCAGAGATTGATTAGATTTATTTATTTTTATTTTTTGTGTTTTTTTTTATTTCAATAGGTTTTTGGGGAACAGGTGGTGTTTGGCTACATGAATAAGTTCTTTAGGGGTAATTAGTGAAATTTTGGTGCACCCGTCATCCAAGCAGTGTACACTGTATCCAATGTGTAGTCTTTTATCCCTCGCCACCCACCACCCTTTCCCCCAAGTCCCCAAAGTTCAATGTATCATTCATATGGCTTTGCATCTCATAACTTAGCTCCCATATATGAGTGGGAACATAAAATGTTTGGTTTTCCATTCCTGAGTTACTTCACTTAGAATAATAGTCTCCAATTCCATACAGGTTTCTGCACATAACATTATTTTGTTCCTGTTCATGCCATTTTCATGGCTGAGTAGTATTCCATTATATATATATATGTATATATATATGTATATATATATATACATATATATATGAAAATTTGGTATATATATATTTATCTACTCATTGATTGATAGGCATTTGGGCTGGTTCCATATTTTTCCAATTGCAAATTGTGCTGCTATAAACATGCATATGCAAGTATCTTTTTCATATAATGGTCTCTTTTCCTCTGGGTAGATATCTAGCATTGGAATTGATGGAGCAAATGGTAGATCTGTTTTTAGTTCATTAAGAAATCTCTACACTGTTTTCCATAGTGGTTGTACTAGTTTACATTGCCACCAACAACGTAAAAGTGTTCTCTTTTCACCACATCCATGCCACCATCTATAGATTTTTTTATTTTATTATGGCCATTTTTGCTGGAGTGAGGTGCTATTGCATTGTGGTTTTGAATTGCATTTCCCTGATAATTAGTGATGTTGAGCATTTCTTCATATGCTTTTTGGCTATTTGTGCATCTTCTTTTGAGAATTTTCTATTCATGTCCTTAGCCCACTTTTTGATGTAATTGTTTGTTTTGTTCTGGCTGATTTGTTTGAGTTCTTTGTAGATTGTGGATATTAGTCCTTTGTCAGATGTATAGATTGTGAAAACTTCCTCCAACCCTGTGGGTTGTCTGTTAACTCTGCTGATTATTTATTTTGCTGCACAGAAGTATTTTTTTTAATTTTAATAAACTCCAATCTATTTATCTTTGTTTTTGTTGCATTTGCTTTTGGGTTCTTGGTCATGAAGTCTTTGCCTAAGCCAATGTCTAGAAGGGTTTTTCTGATACTACCTCCTAGAATTTTTATGGTTTCAGATCTTAGATTTAAGTCTTTGATCCATCTTGAGTTGAGTTTTGAATAGGGTGAGAGATGAGGATCCAATTTCATTCTTCTACATGTGGCTTGCCAATTAAATATTCCAGCGCCATTTGTTGAATAGGGTATCCTTTTCCTACCTTATGTTTTTCTTTGCTTTGTCAAAAATCAGTTAGCTGTAACTATTTGGCTTTGTTTCTGGGTTCTCTATTCTGTTCCACTGGTCTCTGTGCCTATTTTTATACCAGTGCCATGCTGTTTTGGTGACTATGCCCTTATAGTATAGTTTGAAGTCAGTTAATGTGATGCCTCCATATTTGTTCTTCTTGCTTAGTCTTGCTTTGGCTATGTGGGATCGTTTTTGGTTCCATATGAATTTTAGGATTGTTTTTTCTAATTCTGTGAAGAATGATGATGGCATTTTGATGGGAGTTGCATTGAATTTGTAGATTGCTTTTGGAAGTATGGTCATTTTTACAATATTGATTCTATGCATCCATGAGCTTGGGATGTGTTTTTATTTGTTTGTGTCATCTATTATTTTTTTCAGCAGTGTTTTGTAGTTTTCCTTGTAGAGGTCTTTCATGTCCGTGGTTAGGCATATTCCTAAGTATTTTATTTTAATGCAGCTATTGTAAAAGGAGTTAAGATATTGGTTTGATTCTCAACTTGGTTGCTGTTGGTGTACAGCAGAGCTACTTATTTATGTGCATTAATTTTGTATCCTGAACCATTGCCGAATTCATTTACCAATTATAGGAGTATTTACATAAGTTTTTAGGGTTTTTTAGGTATATGATTATATAATCAGCAAACAGCAGCAGTTTGACTTCCTCTTTACCAATTTGAATGCCCTTGATTTCTTTCTCTTATCTGACTGCTCTGGCTAGGACTCCCAGTACTATGTTGAATAGAAGTGGTGAAAGTGGGAATCCTTGTCTTGTTCCAGTTCTCAGGGGGAAAGTTTTCAACGTTTCTCCATTCAGAACAGTGTTGGCTGTGGGTTTGTCATAGATGGCCTTTATTACCTTAAGTTATGTCCCTTCTATGCCTATTTTGCTGAGGGTTTTAATCATAAAGGGATGCTGAATTTTGTCAAATGCTTTTCATGCGTCTATTGAGATAATCATGTGATTTTTGTCTTTAATTCTGTTTATGTGGTATATCACATTTATTGACTTATGTATGTTAAACCATCTCTGCATCCCTGGTATGAAACCCACTTGATCGTGGTGGATTAATTTTTTAATATGCTGTTGGATTTAGTTGGCTAGTGTTTTGTTGAGGATTTTTGCATCTATATTTATTATGAATATTGGTCTGTAGTTTTTTTTAATGTCCTTTCCTGGTTTTGATATTAGGGTGATATGGGCTTCATACAATGATTTAGAAAGGATTCCATATTTCTCTATCTTTTGTAATAATGTAAATATAATTGGTAGCAATTCTTTGAACGTCTGATAGAACTCAGCTGTGAATCTGTCTGTTCCTGGACTTTTTCTGTTGGCAATTTTTAAATTACCATTTTAATCTTGCTGCTTGTTATTGTTCTGTTAAGAGATTCTATATTTTCCTGGTTAAATCTAGGAGGGTTATATATTTCCAGGCATTTATCCATCTCCTCTAGGTTTTCTAGTTTATGATGCATAAAGGTGTTCATATTAGCCTTGAATAATCTTTTGCATTTCTGTGGCATCAGTTGTAATATCTCCTGTTTCATTTCTAATTGACCTTATTTGGATATTCACTCTTCTTTTCTTGGTTAATCTCACTAATGGTCTATCATTTTTATTTATCTTTTCAAAGAACCAGCTTTTTGTTTCATTTATCTTTTGGGATTTGGGGGGGTTTTTGTTTCAATTTTATTTAGTTCTTCTCTAATCTTATTTCTTTTTTTCTGCTGGGTTTGGGTTTGGATTGTTCATGTTTCTCCAGTTTCACGAGGTGTGACCTTAGTCTATTTGTACTTTTTCATTCTTTTCGATGTAGTCATTTAATGCTATAAACTCTTCTCTTAGCACCATTTTTGCTGTAGCCCAGAGATTTTGATAAGTTGTGTCACTATTATTGGTCAGTTCAAAGAATTTTTTAAATTTCCATCTTGATTTCATTATTGACCCAATGATCATTCAGGAGCAGGTTATTTAATTTCCATACATTTGCATAGTTCTGTGGGTTTCTTTTGGAGCTGGCCTCCAGTTTTATTTTACTGTGGTCTGAGAGAGTACTTGATATAATTTTAATTTTCTTAAATTTACTGAGACCTGTTTTGTGTCCTATCATGTGGTCTATATTGGAGAATGTTCCATGTGCTGATGAATAGAATGTATATTCTGCAGTTGTTGGGTCGAATGTTCTGTAAATATCTGTTAAGTCCATTTGTTGTAGGGTATAATTTAAATCCATTGTTTCTTTGTTGAATCTCTGTGTTGATGACCTGTCTAGTGCTGTCAGAGGAATATTAATCTCCCCCAGTATTACTGTGTTTCCATCTATCTCATTTCTTATGTCTTGTAGTAATTGTTTTATAAATTTGGGAGTTCCAGTGTTAGGTGCCTATATATTTAGAATTGTGATATTTTCCTCTTGGACTGGTCCTTTTATCATTATGTAATGTCCCTCTTTGTCTTTTTTAACTGCTATGGCTTTAATGTTTGTTTTGTCTGATATAAGAAGAGCTACTCCTGCTCACTTTCGGTTTTCTCACCCCTTTACCTTAAGTTTATGTGAGTCCTTATGTGTTCAGTGAGTCTCCTGAAGACAACAGAAACTTCATTGGTGAATTCTTATACGTTCTGCCATTCTGTATCTTTTAAATGGAGCATTTAGGCAATTTACATTCAATGTTAATATTGAGATGTGAGGTATTATTCTATTCATCATGCTATTTGTTGCCTGAATACCTTGTTTTTCTTTATTGTGTTATTGTTATATATGTTCTGTGAGATTTATGCTTTAAGGAGGTTCCATTTTGGTGTATTTCAAGGATATGTTTCAAGATTTAGTGCTCCTTTTAGCAGTTCTTATTTTCAGGCCTGGGTCCTTTCCTTCAAGGCACAGGTTCCCTTCTGGTCCAGGATGCATCTGGAAATTTTGTCTGGGAGCTAGGGCCTGGAACATGGGTTCACTACTCTGACTGGTGCCCTATCCTGCTGTGGCTGAGCTGGTATCCAAGATGCAAGACAATTCATCCACACTATTTCCTCTCCTCTACTCACACAGAAAAAAAAGTGTCTTTTTTGGAGCTAAGAGCTGTGCAATGGGGTTAGGGGAATGGTGATGCCAGTGCTCCTTTGCCCAAACTGTTGTCTCAGAATGCTGCCTGCATCCCACTCCACTGTCTCTGGGTCTAGTATAGTATTAGGACTCACTTAAGAGTTGGAGTATTTATGGCCTAGACTGTCTTTCAAGTTTACTTGGAAACAGAGATCGCTGTAGCCCTCAGTGGTAAGGTTTGTGGGAACTCAAGTTTGGACTGCTGGGATTGGTGATCCCCCTCTGGCTAGAGCTGGTTTAAATGTTCCCTCTGTTGTGGCGCATCAGCTGAGTTTGGACAGGTTTTCCTTTCTGCTCTAACAAGACAGCACTGAGTTCACTGCCTCACAATTGATGTGTACTCCCTCACTCAGTGTCCAGAGAGGCTCTCTGCACCATGAGGCTGCTGCCAGGGGTGTGGGAGGGGTGTTGTCAGTGATTCAGGACTGTTTTTCTAACTATTCAATGCTTCTCTCAGCAATATGAAATTAAAACCAGGTACTAGGAGTACTCACTTGATTTTTGCTTCTTATGAGGATTTTTTTTTTTTCAGCGTAATTGTTAAATTGGTGTCCTCATGTGAGCAGGGGGATGATCACCTTCTATTCCGCCATCTTGCTTCCACTTGATAGTTTTACAGTAAACTTTCAATTCTTATGAGTTTTTTTCTTTTCTGATTAGATTTATTTCCCCAGCACTTAACAGAAATTTAAATTTGAAATAAAAATGTTTTATGCATTACATTTTGAAAACTAATAAAATTACTATTTTAAAAATTCAACCTACACAATATCACCTAGTAAAATAAGTACAATTAAAATAATAAATTATATATTTATAAATAAGTAAAATAATTATTATTGAGAAATTTTTTAATTAACTACCTAGTACCCTCTCTTTAATTTTGTATCAATCTAAATTAATTCCAGATAGTAATGTATCTCCAAACTTTCCTTAGAATTTTTTTTTTTCTGGCATGCTCTAAATCCAGTACTAGTACATCACTCCATAATATCAGGCCAATTCAAGTGAGGGGAGATTTTTGGCTGACTTATTTTATCTGGGTAATTTATTGCAGTATGCTTTAAAAAAAACAGCCTACATAAAGTAATCTAACATCTACTCTATCATTTATATTCTAGTCTTAATTAATAAATAGGAGATGCTATAGTTATCTGATCTCCTTTTTGTCACCATAAACATCTATGTTCAAAACAGGTGCCATGGTATCAATGTATCCCTCAAAGTTCATGTTCATTGATCTTCAATATAACAGAGTTGAGAAGGGGACTTTTAAGAGGTGATTAAGTCAGTGGATTAATTTTGTTATCTCAGGAGTGAGTTCATTATTATGAGAGTGAGTTTGTTATAAAAGTGAGTTTGGCCATCTCTTGTTCTCTCTCACTTTCTTGCTCTTCCATCTTCTACTGTGGGTTTATGCAGTAAGAAAGTCCTCACCAGATGTGGCCCCTCAATTTTCTTGGACTTCTCAGCCTCTAGAACTGGAAGAAATGAATTTCTTTTCTTTATAAATTACCCTGTCTGTTGTATCTGTTATAACAACACAAAATTGACTAAGACAACAGACCAAATAGGGCAGAAAACAAACAATCTGTACCTTATGATCATTCTGTCCATGAATGTTGTGTTGACTCTTTGACCTTTTGGAATACAAACCCATTCATCTAGCTAAACCTTCAGCAGTTACATGCTCCTACCTGTTTTATCTAAACATGTTTGAAATGTAGCAGGGTAGTTCAACACTTCAATGGCACATTCTGGTTATCTCTGTTCCACCAATGTAAATCTGTTACCAAGATGTTTGTTATTCATTTTTTATTTTTGTTTCTGCTCTTAATTTCAAATCCATCTGTTATGAGTTGAATTGTGTTTCCTCTTCCTCTAAAAAAAAAGATCTTTAAGTCCTAACCCCGCAATTTCTGTCAATGTGACCTTCCTTGGAAGTAAGATCTTTGCAACCAATCAAGTTAAGATGAGGTCATTAGAATGAGTCCTAATCCAATATGACCATGTCCTTATAATAAAGAAAAATTTAAACACAGAGGCATGCAGACTTCTAGAGTGGGAAGAGGATGTGAAGATGCAGAGACACAGAGAGAGAATGCTATGGAAAGATAAAAGCAGAGAGTAAAGTGATGCCAGCAAACCTCCAGAAACTAGGAAAGAGGTGTGGAACAGATTATCCCTAACAGCCCTCAGAAAGAACCAATTCTACTGACACCTTAATATTGGAGTTTTAGCCTCTGAAAGTGTGACATAATAAATTTCTGTTATTTTAAGCCACTCAGTTTTAGGTACCTTGTTACCGCAGCCTTAAGAAACTAATACTCCATCTTTTCCCATGACAGAAATATAGCAAAAACTATAGTGTTTCTATCTTGAGAAATTCCATTGTTTCTCAATTAATCAGTATGAAGTAAATATTCAACTAATTTTAAAAGAAGAGAAAAATTATTTCCCTATCAGCCAAGTAGCTGGGAGCTTAGGGACAATGTTTTATATAGAAACAATTTAATTTAATGATTCCTTGGAAAGGCATTGTAACCTGCTACTTGTTAAAATAAGTCAATAAGGAAATTTCCCATAAACTTTTTTGAGAAAGCTTGCCCTCTACAAAGAAAGCATTATTGGAACATGAACTTTAAAAGTATATACACATGTGAGCATGCACACATATAATTCAACAAAGGCATGCTCAATTTTGTTATGTTCTAATTCACAATGACTACATGCCTTTTCATCCTAAATAATTTGGTAATTATTTAAATAACATAGGTCATTTCTTTTACTTCTGCTTCAAACTTGAAGGTGTCAATGAAAAAAAAATCCTCTACTTAGCTTTGCCAATAGCAACCTGATCTGATGCCAAGGCAGAGATGAGACTGTACTTTCATTTCGTCTAGGTTGCAGTCTTCAGCCTCGCTAAATAACATAGGTGGTTTCTCATGCAAAAGCACATGTAACATTATTTTGAAATGCACACATTCTTCTACTTTCTATGAAAACACAGTATTTGCTGTTTAAGACTGTTTAAGGTCTTCAATGCTTTTAAGAACTGAGAGCTACATGAGAAAATAAAGTTGCTGCAAGATTCATGTTCACTTCAGTGGGAGTTGCACAAGTGGAATGATGGTCAGGAATCTGTCCTAATTAGTAGGCACTCCTGCTTTGCTGCATCTTAGTTATGCCACTGTTAAATTATACTCAGTAAATTGAACTATCTTCTAGTCTCTGAAGAGATTAATGTTACATTTGGATTGTGCTGAATGCCAACCATTGATATTTAACAGAGAAACTTTAAGATATCTTTAAGTAGTTTTACAAATATATTTCCTATGATGAAGTTCATTTTTTCCTTACACAAGAGAAAAAGAAAAAGGAATTAGAAATATTTGTTTTAAGATTATTATGGAATATCACCTAAAGATGTTAATGATATGTTCCCTAGAATATTAATAACTTATAAAAAGGATAAAATATTTGGATAAGGCTTCAAAATGTCACCTTCATGCAGCAAACTAGTATTTTTCAGAATTATACTTTTTTCTGCCCAAGACTGTTTTCATCCAATCTCTCTACAATTTATCCTTGTGACATTCCTATCATGAGATCCGACGACGGTCAGATGGAAGAAACTCTAGAGACTACATCTCCTTACCTTGGCTGCTTCTTCCAAAAGTACACTCAGAAATAATTTGTTCCTACACTTGCTCTTATATTGGAATAAATTATCTTAATTAATTGACAAAATGTAATGCTAGAATCAAAATCTTCAAGAATATATCAGCTAATCACATTGAATGCAATTAATATCTTTTTAGCCTGAAGGGACTTATAGTTGTCATACTTTTATCGTATAATATGCAATACAAATAATTTGTTAAAATCACTTTATCTTCTTCTCATTATGGACTCCTTGGTTCATAAACTATCTTTAGATATTTTAAAGAAACTGTCTTAAGATATATTATGAAAAATGCTATTTTAAATGTCATATTTAGTATTTCATTAATGCATTTGTTTCTAACTGCAATCACAGGAAACAAATTATTTTGTTTAAGTAATACATACATTATTTAAAAAGAAGCATCAATACAATTGTAGCAATTGAGGACAAGCAGGCTTTAAATAATACCACATCCGGAAAGACAATGTCTTTAAGAGATTCGCAATGACATTTTCATATTTCTATTGTATATATTGACAGGTAGTTTATAGATCTTCCAAATAGTTTCAGGAAAGCATTATGTTGAAAAAATTGTGTGTGTGTGTGTGTGTGTGTGTGTGTGTGTGTGAAGTTTTATCACAGGCACAGAGAGAAACCCCAGTGCTATCTTAAAGAAATGTGTCTTTCACCAAAAGAGCATAAAACTGCCTTTATGTATTAAGCGTTGGCCACATAATGACACAAAGGCCTTCTCAGACCCCACAAGGAGAGCTCTTGACTTCTAGGAAGCTTCTTTATCGAAACAGTTAAGCATTGAAAAGAAACTTTAATGGACTTGATTTGTTTTAAGTTAAGAATCTGGTGGTCCATACTATAACAGGGACCATCTTTGTGCAGGATAGAGGCTAAATAAAGGCCACACAGCTCTTACTTGGCTTTCATTAAGAAAAATTCAATCAGTTAAAATACCTTCCTACTTTTCTGTATAAGTCGTGCCTATACCCATTTAAATAATGCCAGGAAAACAGAATGCTAATCTCCTCATTTATCTAAAATTATAAAATATTAGTGTTTCAAAAGTAAACTTATAAATGAAAAAAACGAAGACCAGAAGGAACATAGTTAAAACCACATACTAGTTAGTAGCAGAACCAAGAGCTATATATCTTGGGCCCCTCACCAGGAAAAGCTTTAGTAACACACTGCTTTAACTGCAAATTTTATTTTTTTCTTTAAATAATTAGAAACTAAAACTTTTTAAAATAATGTTGATAGCTTATATTGTGTTCAGATACTATCATCATATCAAAGTCAGAATGAGATTTAAACTCTGATTATTTTCAGTATAATCTTACAATAAAAGCACTTTTTAATCTGCTCAGTGAGAATGTCTGCATTATAATATCTAGTTCTCTTACAAGGTGAATAGAGGCATGATCACTTATGGAAGTAGTATATATTATACACTTCATTGCTTCAACTTCTAAGGAATTAGAACAGAAAGAAAAATCTGCTCTTGGATTAGATAGAGACCAATAAAAACTAACTGGCTTCTTTTGGTACATTTGATGACTTTAAATATTTCCTAATCTTGAACTCTTTTCCACATAGATATTAAAAATTTTCTGAAATACAATTAATTATGATGGGTATATTATCTGGGCAGGTAAACAAGTTTTTCATTATTAAAATACTGGGCCTCTGTGTTTGCAATATAAATGTGGTGCATAAAAAGCTTCTCACTGTCTGCATTGCATGTTAACAATATTCCACATTTAAATTCTCATTTAGCATCAGAGGTATATTTTTAAATGATATTAAATCAATATTCAGTACCTATTATTTGTTCAGTATGCATTTAGCACTGTCTTATTCTCACCAGGGATTCTATCTCCAGATGATCATAAATGTTCATTATCCCGGTCTGTGAAGTGAGTTTTTGCATAATGAGTACCTGTAGACTTTTCTCTCTTCGTTCCTCCCTCTTCAATCTATTAGCATTGAGACACGTGACTTTTAGTTTTGTATAAAGCAAACTGTTGCGACGGCTAGTGGAACAACATTGAATGTTTTATAGCGTACAAACAGAACTCCTCTTTTGTTACGTAAACCTACCTTCTCTTTATACATTTTTTGGTTCCTCTTCAGCTTGGTGCAGTGTGAATTTTAAACAGTAACAGTTTTCTTTACATAGAAGGTCTCCCATTACTAAACATCCTGCCCCTACATAATAGAGGGGCTAAAACGATGTTTAGCAATCTACTCAAGCCATCAAAGAGTATGCATTGCCCAAGGGTATAGATTGGCTCCTTTTAGATAACATGTCTAGGGAAGGTTGCTGCATGGAGGACCTTACACTGGTAAATCGAGTCAAGACATTATTGTTCTGGCTGTAAAATAGTACACATTTGTAAGTATTTGCAAGATTACACATGCTGGGTCTGAGAATCAAGCTGAAGGGTCATTATTCAGTTTCATCATGACTCAGAGCTACTTCAAGATCCAGAAAACCTTTCAAATCAGTAACTTGAAAAAATGCATTCACCATAGTATTAGGGCTAAGTTACATTACATTTTATTTCAATGCTGTGAGAAATGAAAGTTATATGTTGTATATACAGCAACATTTAATTAACAAGAAAACAAAATTAACCAAGAAACTCAGGCTGCTACAAATTTATTATCAACTACAGTTTCTTCATCTTCAAAATATTCCTAATATACTCTTTGGTATTTCCCAATATTCCAAACTATACAAAATCTAGAAAATTTCTCTATTTTTGACACATGGGAAATTTTAAAAGATAATAAAGTACCTTCCACCCAGAAAACACACAATTGATACATGTCAACTAAGTAAAAGACTTATTGAGGTATAGAGCAAGTCAATGTTAAAATTAGAATTAGGTCACGCCTGTAACCCCAGCACTTTGGGAAGCCAAGGCGAGTGGATCGTGAGGTCAGGAATTCGAGACCAGCCTGGCCAACGTGGTGAAATCTCTTCTCTACTAAAAATACAAAAAACATTATCTGGGTGTGGTGACGGGTGCCTGTAATCCCAACTACTCAGGAGGCTGAGGCAGGAGAATTGCTTGAAACAAGAAGGTGGAGGTTGCAGTGAGCCGAGATCACGACACTGCGCTCCAGCCTGGGCGAAAGAGCAAAACTCCGTCTCAAAAATAAATTAAAATAAAATAAAATTAGAATTAGGTCTTCTTTCACCTTATTGATTACCTTCAATTCATTAGGTACTATGTTAAGTTCTAGGGAGAAACCAAAAGGAATAAGATCCATCCACTACTCTCAAAAAGCAGAGAATCTAGTAAAGGAAATGTGCACCTGGTGTACATATCTCATAATTCACTAATTATACAGCCTTTATCAAACATTTACTGTTTTCTATATTTTAGGTGCTATACTAGGTTCCAGGTATACAACAAGAAATTAAAATGCAGTCACTGCATAGCTGAATGCGGAAGAAAACCATAGTAACAGAAAAAAAATAAATACACATAATATACAACAAACTGTCATGACTAGTTACTAAATGGTAAGTATTGGGGATATGAACTATGAAAAAAAATAGAAATGTTACCTGTCCTATGGAATCAGTCTAGTGACAATGTCAGCGTTTAAATAATATTTACAAAATAATTACAATAGTGAGGAGTGTTTTAAAGGAACAGCGCAATATGGTTTGTGCTATATTTGATATTAGTATAAGGCAGAGTAGTGGCACAAGTTAAGTGGAACTAACTTCACCTAAAAAACTACTTGAGGGGCCGGGCATGGTGGTTTACCCCTGTAATCCCAATACTTTGAGAGGTGGAGATGGGAGGTTTGCTTGAGACCAGCCTGGGAAACATAGGTAAACATCATCTCTAAAAGAAATTTTTAAAAAATTAGCTGGGCATGGTGGTGTGCACCCATGGTCCCAGCTACTCGGGAAGCTTAGGTGTGGGCGGGGGGTGAGGGGTGTCGCTTAAGGCCAGTAGTTTGAGGTTACAATAAGTTATTATCACACCACTGCACTCCATCCTGGAAGACAGAGTGAGACCCTGTCTCAAAACAGAGAAAAAAAAACAAAAACAAAAACAAAAAGCTACGTAAGCTGGACCATAAAGGATATGTAGGAATTTGCAGGATAGAGGAGAAAAAGAGCATTAAAGACCAGCATTTACAAAGGTCAAAATAAGCTCCTTCCAGTTTGGAACAGCCCCTCATATACCCACAACCTAATAAAAAATTTACAAAGTTTTAATTTGTTTTTCAGAATTATTCTTGTGATGTCTAGAGGTTTATCAACTTTCTTAAGTTAGACAAATGCAGAGTCTAGTTACTTCATCTATCCCAATACAGTTTACTGTAATTCCAACAGAAATATAGTAAAGGGAACAAAGAAATTGTTAGCCAGTGATGAATCAGAAAAGGCACTATAAGGAAAGTTCAAATTGAAGCTACCATGAATGAGTAGGTAGATATGTGTTTACTCTACAGGAAGCCAAGGTGTAAGAAATGTTGGAGAACAAACTTCATATGTACAAAAACAGATATAGCCCAAACATTTGGAGGCATTGTGGGAAGAAAAAATGGTGTCTCATCTAAAAATAGCTCGGGATATGACCCACTAATTGCAAAACTAATTGTTGAATGTCTAGCTGTTGAGGCATTCTGCTAGATTTCTCAGACTTTGGTCACTGTCCCTGCCCTCAGGAAATGTGCAAACTAGTTGAAAAGCTAAAGCAAAATACAAATAATCATGCTCTAAGGTAGAATATGAAAATCTCAAAAAGAGAAGTACAAATGAAATATCCTGAGAAGAAAGAAATAAAATTAAATGAAAGGAATTGTAAAAGAATTCCTAAAGGAATTAGCATTCAGGTTGAACTTTGAGTACTAAGTAGGATCTCAACAGGCAGATATGTAGGGAGGGCATTCCAGTCACAACAGCAAGATTGAAAGTATGAAGATGATAGTATTCAGATAACAGAATGTTCAAATAACTCAGTCCAGGTTTGCTTGAGCCTTGGGTATTTACAAGACAGAAAACTGAAAAGGTAAGTCAAAACAATATTATAGAAGTCAGAAGAGATTTATCTGATAACACTATTTTTTAATGAAGGAAGTGATGCAATGGAGCCAATACTTAGGGAAGATTAATCTAAAATAGTTTCTATTTAAGACGCAGCCTGTCTCTCTGAACTCGTGATTTGTTAATCAATAATAGACTACAACTACATGGACCATAGATTCACTTTGGAGTGATAGGAACAGTTGTTCTTTAGTTAATGAAAACTACTACTAACGGAATGAGATGTTTTGAATAAAACAGACTGATTTTGGTATTTCCTGCCCCACTCTCCCAGAAGAGACAGTGGCAAATGTCTATCTCTAAAGGCCCACTGGGAAGGGACAATGCAAAGTCATCCCAAATGGAGAGACGCACTTGGAGAGGTAGGTGGGGAAAGTAGCTGAGCCTGGGTAGGTGACTGTGTTTTCCGTGGTCTCCAAATAGCTGAGATACATGGTTTTGAGTCTCAAGAGTTGATGGGGAAGAGACGAAACTTCAGGTGAGTTCCATCTAGAGAACACATGAGCTAGACCTAGTCCCAGCCACAAACCTTGTGCCTGAGCCTGTCAAACAAGAAGCAGTGCTACAGCTCACAATGGAATATGAAAGCTGGGCTAATAAGCACATCGGCAGGGACATTTGAAATTCTGGATTGCATAAACTAAGGCCTTTTTACAACCTGGGGAGGTAGGACAGGAGACACAATAATAAGTAATATTAAATCTTCCCCATGGAATCCATAAAGGGGACTTCAGGTCAGATTTAGTTTGGTTTAGAAAATGAGAGTTGTTTCCAGAGTTTATGATAAGGTAAAATTAATACCTGATACACTAGCAGAAGTTTCTGGCTTTGATCTAGAAAATCTGAGTTTTAACAGAAATCATCAAGCTCTTTAAGAAGCCGCAGCACTACTGTTATTTAGCTATGATAGGAAACTACACTGGTATTTGCATGCTTTGCTGAGTGCAATGATCCCTTTTTATAAAACAACGAGCTTTGATAATTCTGTTCTCACAATGGCAGGTACCTGTAACAAAACATCTAGCTTTCTGACAGAATAGACACAGGATTCTACCCAGTTGACAGGTTTGGGTTTTTTTCTGAATATATCAAAAGGAAGCTATCCTTGACTCATCCTGCATGATAAGATAAAACTTTTATTTCCATTGAATTTCTACATATTCCCACCCCTGCCACTCCTGCATTCAGTGACCACTACTAAAGGAAAGCACACACACACACACGTGCACACACACACACACACACATTTTAGAGAATTCTTCTCTTTCATACTTTACTTAATGGGGAAAATTGCCGCCCTAGCATTTCAGTATTGGCAATAAGCCAATTATTCACCTCAGTCCTACAGCATCCCTATGTTCCTTGGTTAATGAAAATTACCAGCAAGTCTGTAACTATGGGCATGAATTGAAAAGTCTTGGGTCAACAGTTTTAGCACAGTCTAGAAACTACTTTCTAGTGCCAAACGACTAGATTAGCCTGAGAACCATCTATGGGTCTTCAGTATTCTCTGATGTATAAAAAATAATAACTTGGTTATACAGAGAATGTGGTCTCTCTTAACACTTCTCTCTCTCCACCCTCTATATGCCTTTTTAAAAATCTTTCTTTTCATCTTTCTGTCCACCCTACCAAAGTTCCGAGTCCCAAATGCAAACTCCCGTTCCAGATTATATATTCATCACAGCCAGTGCTCTTCATAGCCTAATACAATAAAATCAATGCAACAATGTCACTTGTCAGTCTCTTTGTGCATAAGATAAAATGATGCCATCTGTGAGACAAAGTAACATAGGGTTATGAGTCATCTCCAACTCCTGTAAAATAGCCTAGTCAGTCTGGGCCTAGGGAGAAAATGATGAAGAGAGAGCAATCAGAAAATCAGTGCACTAGTGATTCATTTGTTAATTTATAGAAATGTGAAGTTCTTTTAAGCTGATATGGGCAGATCAACTGACAAACCTGCTATGCGCATCTGCACTTTTATTATACTTTTATTATACCTGCTAAGCACACCTGCATTTTTATGATAGAGTTTGCCTGAGGCCATCATAGCAGCAGGACCGGGAATACATTAGTAAAATTAGAAGAAATATCATCAGGCAACTTCAGGCTGCATGTAAACAATTAACAGCTCATTAAGGAGAATTTTACTTTTGTGGGAGCCTATCCTTCCCTTGACCAAGTTTAAGCTGGCTAATAAATAGAGGCATCCACAATGAGGGTCAGGAGTATCTCAAATTCTGTGTCCCTGTTTGACTCAGGATTAACTTTAAGCATACTTATTACTCTATAATCATCTATTGAATTATACACTTTTATTATGACAGTCCAACCAGAAAAAAAAACTTACCTTCCTAAATTCTTTTCACAGTCCCGCTTCTGTAATATCCCTATTTGATTCTGAGGTGTAAGTTAAATATACTGAATGTATGCAGACATATTTTAGCCTCTGGAAAAGGTTTTAACTGAAATGTTAGTGGGAAATCTAAGAAGCAAAAGTGCTGATGAAGCAATAAAATGGGTACATATTAAAAGCAATGAACCCTCCCCCTCAAATAAGAGATTAAATGGTGTATAATTTCCAAACTCTTCACCACAGTCTCAATCAAGTTTAGATTTACCAGCATCACAATCTGCCTAATACATTCACTGAAGCACTTTGGGATTTATTTGACAGTTTAAAGCTTTCCTCCCAAATTACTAATTAATTGGACTTGAGTCTCTAATGCTAAGTTTGCTTATTTTCTAAATTTTTTTAAAAAAAAAACACCTTGATTTACAAATCTCTAGGTGAACTTGAAATGCATACTTTGAAATTGAGCATATAGTTAAAAAGAATGGAATGTACAAGATTTCATTGTATAATAAAATAGTACTATCTGACATGCAGGAGTTTAGAACATATAATAATTGAGGTAAAGAGGTCTTGTGGTCCTGCATCCTTGCTGAAAAATGTTGGCTTTGGATATAATTTTAACCTGTATTGCACTGTAGTAGGATTTATTTAGTCATTCAGTTAACATTTATTAAAACCTCACTGTGTGCTAAGCATTGGGCTCCTCAGAGGTACAGGGAGGGGTTAAATTGGTTTCTGTTCTCCAGGAGCTCACATTCTACTTGGGGAGACAGATGTGTAAATGGCTGATCACACTGACAAGGGTCATAAATTATGTATGACTTGAGTGTTGTGAGGTCCCAAAGGAAGAAGCAACTTCTTGAGGGTGACACCACTGAGGTCTCTAGTAGTGACTGGCTTGTATCTCTAGGTATAGTAGAGAATACACATAATACACAAAATGACACATACCATCTTATTCTCTTATAGCATCCTATTCTTTTCCTTTGGAACAGTTATATCAACTGATAATTATGTGTGTGATTAATTCATTAATGTCTGTCTTTATGACTAGACTATGAAAACCTGGAAGGTAGGGACTGGTCTGTTTTTGCTTACCATCCCCGGGGCCTATTATGATGCTGGCACATAATAGATAGTCAGTTATTGTTTGGTGACTATTGAATGAAGGAATATGTGTTTTCAAGCTATGGGAAGATATTTATTATGGGAAACTTCACTACAATATTATTGGCTACCACTTTGCCCTTTTAAGAAGCTTATTCTTGGATTTTCATTCAAATAGTTCACCCATCCCCAAACAGGTAGTTATCCTCTGACGTAAGCAGACAAAACTAACATGAGCACTACCACATGCACACCTACACCACACAGGTTACACAACATATGGTCGTTACACAACGTATGGTCATTACACATAGGTTATACAACAAAAATCACACCAAGTCATGACATGCAACACAGCTTATCTTTTGGGCACTGTATGTCTTAGCACAACACATGTACTTTACCCACCGCTTATCTCATAAGTACATGAACGTGTCCTTACTCACACTGTCCCCATGTCCTCCTTTCTCTCCTTAGCCCTTGTCACTCCCCGCCTGTGAAAATAAGTGAAGGTTTCATAGAAAATGTTATATTTGCTGGAGTCTTGGATTGAGCGGACTTTATTGAAATGAAAACTTAGATAATTTTGATGTTTTCATAAAGAGAAACTTCTGCTCTAGAAGCATCCAAATTCATAGCAGGAGACATCTGACCCTAGAAAATCACATCATAATGGAAGCAACCATCTCAAAATAATATGCCTAAAACTTTCATGGGGTGTTTGTGAAACTGAAATAGTCACTGAAACTCAATATACCCCTTGCTTTGCATGGAAATGCATAAAAATTGGCCATTATTTGTTAAGAAGAATATGGGACAAAGATTAATCAAAATGTGGTATAGATATATTCAAATGGATGTTGATGGAGTATCTCAATGCCTGTACTTGACATGTAATTGAGCTAAAAAAATCTGAACATTGTTCCCGAAATAGCCACATACAACACAACTTTTTCATCTTCTTCATGTGTCTAAGACCCAGTGCATATATGACTTCATCCATTAAACCCTGCCCAATTACTTAGACCTCAAGTAATATTCCCTTCTCTGAATTCCTGTAACTCGCATTGCCTGTATTACTTATTAGACACTTAATGTGTACAGTACTGTATTATTATCTAACATTTATGCATGTTGAAAGGCCATCATCCAAGGGATTAAAAAGACCAAAACCATGATTTTGCACAGGATGAATTCCTGAGAAGACTAGAGATATTTACCTTAGAGAAGTTTTGAGGATGGGCAAGAGGTGATATGCTAATTATCTTTGACTAATCTGTGTTCCTATATGGGTAGCAAATAGGATGGTTCTATAGGGCTCCAAAAGATAAAACCAGGGCCTATGGTTAAAAACTATTGGGATATTATTTTCAACCCAGTTCAAAAATGACTTTCCAGTAGTCAGATCTGATTTGACAGAGAATGGGCTACCGCCTCAGGAGATAATGAAGTCTCTGCTATTAAAAATATTCAATTAGAGAAGAGTTCAAGAGAAAACTTAAGGATCAAATAAGCAAAATGAGATTTAGAAACCTTTTCCACTCAGGGATTATCTGATTTTTAATATGCTTTGCCTTCTCAACTACTCTATAAATTTCTTAAAGACCCAGACTATCACATCACTTTCCATCCTTGGTACGTATTTCTTTATCTCAAACATAGTAGATGCTCATTAAACATTTCTTGATCAAGACAGACCCTGATATCAATACTGAAATAAAACTTTAAATGTTTGAGACAATTTTTGGAAAGCAGTTAACTACATTAACAATATAATTAAAAATGCGCTCTGAATATTCCACACCATGAAGTATCATGCAATTATTACTAACCCTAACAGTATATTAACAATAGTATTCATGATCAGCAATAAGGCAATAGCAATTACATTAGTACTGATAATATTAGTGATATTTACAATGATTATTAGGCCCTGACAAATTTTAGATGGATACACTATAATCATACATTGAATAATAACTTCATACCAGTAAATCAATCAGAAATAAAATGAAACTGAATGAGTTATTAGGTGTAAGTGATTATGGAAAATAAAAATTGAAAATTGTGACTTAGAGTTTGCCAGAAAATAGAACCAGTATAAGAAAAGTTTAACAGAACTTAGAAATAAGTTCAAAAGAGCTAAGAAAAATAAGGTCAACTAGTCAGTCTGGACCTAATGAATACGCAGTTGATGAGATTTCAAAACCAACCATTGAGGGCGAGATGTCAAAACATCAATGTAGAAATCAGACATTCAACCTCAACTAAGAAAAAAGTACAGTTTTAACTAAGAACACCTTGACGTATGAAGGGTGCTTGTGAACTCACCCTGTATTGTATAAAATATATCCCAGGAAATGGAACTCCTGGGAAATAAACCACCAACTCACAAAGCCTCCTTTTCCTGTCTACTGAATGTGTCATTCTAGAATAATAATATAAACAGAGGGTGCATGAGGGAATTTTTTGTGTGCATATACAGGGGATTTTGTGTGGAGCTGTATATGTGTAACCAAGAACTGAAATATTTGACTAATAAACCTGTTAAAATTTATTCCAATAGTTTTATTGGTAAGCCTAAAACAATCTGGTTTTCTTCCCAAGAACCATGATAAATCCAAGGACTTTCACAAGATTAACCTAAGTTAGAACTGGAGTGTTGTTGGAACTTCAAGGCAGCTTCAAGTGACAGCTGGAGGGAGAATTTCAATTTTTATCAAAATAATTGTTTTAAAAGATGTGAGGTTATAACCAGGAAAGTAAGAAAGCAGTGAAGTCCAAAAGGGTGGGTACTTCTAACCATTGCAATGAGGAGAACAAAATGATACCAAAAACTGGCAACGACATAATCCAGCCAAGTGATACTAGCCTGAAGTTGAGAATGCTGAAATATTAGTGTCCCATTTTTCTTCTGTGTCAGTTCATGGTCCAGGGGGATATCCCTGTAGACAAAGAAGCTCAAAAGGGCCAGATATAAGCAAGCTTGAGATTTCACATTGTGACATATGTTAGCTGTTTCATTTGACACTTCTTTTCCTTAAAGTTATTGTGTATACCAGACCATCAACCTAATAGCAATAATAAAATGAGTACCATCTATTGAGTTTTTCAATCTATCAGATGCTTTATAAATATAATTTGGTTTTTTTTTGAATCCTCACAATTTTTAACCTCATTTTACAGATGATGAAATCCAATAATTAAACTAATCATACAAATGAAGTAACATACTAAAGAACAATTGGCTGGGCCAGGTTCCTTTTGCCTCTGAAGCCTGGAGTGGTTCTTTCCACTCCAATCTTGCGAAGTAAATATTCAGAATCTGCATTTTAACACGGTTCCCAGGTGGTTTACATGCACATTAAATTGGAGAAACTGGATATCATTCTGCTTTCCTGCTGTTTCTCTCATCAGTCATACACAAACACAAACACACACACTCACACACTCACACTTACACAAAGAGAATGGGGGGTGGGGAGAGAAAGTAGTACAAGTCATTATCTACTTTAAAAGTTAGAAATATCGATACACTTTCTCTAACAACCTCTGCAAATTTTGAATACATCTGTTAATCAGGCTCATTAAAATAACATATATATTTTATCAGCTGTTATTAGCATTCAGAGTGTTTACTGAATAAAATAACTTTAGATAAAAATGAAACACCATATTTTACAACAGTTTATAGAGGAGCATAAAAAGGGAGAGAATAAAGGCATGAGTCATACAGAAAAACAGGAGTCTGGGTTTGCTGTGGTTCACACTTTGATAATAAGTACACCAGCAATTACAAATGATTTATAAACGGCTGTGGCTATAGAAAACCCACTGTCTGTAATAATTGCAATCCAAGCTTTCATGGAGCTATTTTCCCTGAAATTGCAGAGAGAATGGTACCATGAGAATTCTTCCTGTTTTCATAAATTCACCATCAATTTTGGTTGCCAGCAAACTTTATTTCCAGGTGCTGGACCTTTGCAATCCAAATTATTGTTATTGAAAAGAAAACTGAATGAGAAACAATCTGCATTTGGTCTAATTTTTCCTCCTTAATACATTTTCTAACATAAACTCTCACTTTTCTTTATCTATGCATCTCAATGAGTAGGTAATTTTTAAATTAAGTAGATTGGCCCTATTTGAAAATTCTATTTTTATTTCAATCTTGAGCATGCTGAAATCTGTTGAATATAATACCTAATATAGGAATTAAACAAATTTAGCATGGATGGTTCTCTTTTCTAAGACTAATGCCCTATCTCACTGCTTCTCCAAAATTTTTCTTCATAGTTATCACCTGAGAACCTTGTAAAAATGAACATTCGGATTCAGTAGGTCTTGGGTGCATTTCTAACATCCCAGGTAATGTCAATGCTGCTGGTCCAAGAACCCACTACACTAGCAAAGGCACTATACTTAATTTAGCAACAGTGAAATGTCTAATTTTCAGTCCGCTTTTTCACAAAGCAAAACTGAGTCACCTTTTAAAATAATAAAAGTAATACTTAGTCATGCATTATTATATACAACATGTAAAATCATAAAAGTAGGAAAACTAAACATAATCTTGCCAACCAGATATAACTATTATTAACATCTGGCTGTATATTCTTCCAGTCTTTCTTCAATGTACATACATCTAGTTTTACAAAATGGATATCTTGCCATTCATTATCCTTTGATTTAACAACCATATCTAGACCACCCCAAATTTTTGCACAGTTTTATATCAAACCTCCAAACCTCTCTTCACAGCCATATGTATCACTTAGAAATGTGAGTACAATACTATCAACCACATAATTCAACAAAGCAAACTCAACAGCTTTTTATCCAGGTGTTAATGCAGAACAGCAAGAATTCTATAAAACCTTGAAAACGGTGCAGCATAAATATTAATAGCATAATGCTGTCACAGCTTCATATGCACTGGGTATACACAGGCAGGGCCTCCTCTGCTCAAAAATACACTTCATTTCTTCAGAGTGTTGCATTTCTTTCTAAACCTGATCTCCAGAGGCATATTTGGGGTTATTTTAGTCATTCTCTCACATTCACTGGGGACCAGCTTCCTTAGAGAAACATAAGTTTTGTTCCGTTTTTATTTTTTTCTCTCTGCACGGCTTGCTCGCCTTTCTTGACCTTTTCTTGGCACGCTGTAGACCACAGCTGCTTCAACTGATGGGGCAAGAGTCTGATGCTCTGCTCTGCCCAGGTGTTCCTTTTCATTAACACTGCATCAATTCAGGCTGTCAGACAGGCTGTTATACCCATGACAACTAAACAGTTGGTAGAAAACAGGTACAGGTGGGCTACCAGTCACTTATACATGAATCGAAAGGGCTACTCTTGTCACTCATCCTTAGTGGCAAAATGGTATAATAGAAATGGATTACGTGCAATATTCTGTGCTATTTAGAGATGCATGTGACAAACTGGAAAAATGAGGATGCATACTTTAAAATTTAAATAAAAGTACTCTGCCAAAATGTAAGCATGACAATAAATGTGTTTTCTTATGAAAGCCAGGCATGATACAAAATCGTTTTTTAAAAAATAATTTTAGCTAGGGTAGTTAACACAGTTTGAAAGATTGAGTAAAATTATTTGGTGTCAGAAATAGAACAAACTCCTGTCTGGTAAGCTAATAATTTTATGTTAGCTATTTCTGGGTATATCGTCTCTATGTTAGCACAGCAGTTCTCAAACTTTAGTGTGTGTCAGAATCACCAAAAGACCTTGCTAAAACGAAGATTGGCGGGCCCCACCCCTAGAGTTTTTGGTTCAGTAGCTCTGGAGTGGCATCTGAGAATGTGGCATTTCTAAGATCCTAGGTGATAGTAATGGTGCTGGAATAATAAGAATGCTTAGAGTCGTGCAATAATTCACACTGCTTTAGAGAAGCGGTTCTCAAACCAAAGTTGGCAAAAGAATAACTTGAGATGAAAAGCTTAATAAAATGTAGATTCTAGTGTCTCAACTTCTAGCACTTTAATAAACGATTCTGCCACAGATGGGCCTACATAGTCAACCACATTCTGATGATATTATTAGGTTGGTGCAAATGTAATTGTGGTTTTTGCCATTACTTTTAATTATTGTAAAGAGATTGATTTTCACAACTGAAAGAACATCAAAATCACTTAAACTAGAGCTTCTCAAACTTTAAGGCACATACTAATCACCTGGAAATCTGCTTAGACTGTTTCAGTAGGCCTAGGGTGGGACCTAAGATTCTGAATTTTCAACAAAGTCCCAGGTGATACTAGAAAGCCTGTTAATAAACTATAGACTGACAAGTCCCATCCCAGACATTTTTATTCAGTAGAATGAGAATATATTTCCAATTTTTAAAAATGCACCCAGAATACACTCAGTATATTTAAATTCTTTTGGTCACTCCCTGTAACCAAATATTTTGAGATTGATTTTTGGAGATTCGATATAGTACCAGTAATATTGTATGTTTCTGTTGAAAAGGCAAAGCATCTGAGGCAGATGAGTGGGGATTTTTTTGAAATGAAAAAGACTTGATGTGATAGATTGCATTTTCCAAATGTCTGCAACAATAATCCTTATCCCACATGCTTTTCTACAACATAGACTTGATATTCTTCCTATTGAGTGGTAAGTTCTATGTACTCTCCTCTTGAATCTAAGTGGGCTTTTGACCCCCCCATGTAATTGACAGGATGTCAGAGAAGAAAAGATGCATGACTTCTTGACTTCCAAGGCAATGTCAGAAAAAGTGATGCAGTCTCCATCTTGTTCTTGGAAGACTCCTATCTGGAGTCCCAAGCCACCATAGAAGAATTTGACTACCCAGAGTCTGCCACGCTTTGAGGACACCAAACCACGTGGAGAGGCCAATCAGTGAATCTAGATAAAAGATATATAGGAATTCCTAATACTATGTTGCTCCTGTTGGTAGTTCTATGCTTCAGGGCCCTCCACTTTAGGGCAGGACATGTGAGTGAATAAGCCTTGAAATAATCCCAGTCTTTGACTATCAACTCACACACAGCCTTTGAGTCTTCTTTATTGAGGCCCTGAATATTGTATAGCAGAGAGAAGCTATACACCCTCTGCCCTTTCCTACTTCCTGACTCACAGATTCCATTAACATAACAAAATTCCTATTGTCTGCATCACTCAGCTTGAGGTGGTTTGTTACTCAGCAATAACAACATGAGCCCTAAGACAATACAACTTAATAAAACCATAAAATTCTCCTTAGGAAACACATGAGAAACTTAGACGTATAAACCACTTATTTTAGGCCCACTGTAAAGCTGATGAAAAGAAACGTTATAGCTATAGATCTGCATGATATAAATAGCTGACATGTATTTGAGTGTTTTTTACATGCCAGATCCTTTATGTATGTATCAGGGGAAAAAGTCAAAATGCCTCTTAGAGTATTCCGGCAGAGGGAAATAAGTTTCTACTCTCTCCCCAGTACTTTTCCATTTACTAACTATTGCCATGAAAATTGGCTTTCTAAAAAAAAAATAGATCTATGAAAAGGTAAGCAATAATTTTTAAAATTACAATTTTTATATAATTTCACATCAAAAGTTTCTAACATAATATTAGAAACATATATGTACTATTTATCCAGATTCACTGATTGCTTATACTTTCTATCTTTAAATACATATTTTTATATATAAATTATATGTAAATTGTATATATAAATTATTTATTTATGTATAAGTTACACATAAAATTATTTATAAATAAATTACATTTTACATATATATATATATCTTCTTAAACTGTTTAAGAGAAGGTTGAAGTCATTTGGATATATTGTACCCCTTTATTCCAAATACTTTAGTATTTTTTTCTGAAAATAAAAACAAGGAGAGGGGCCAAGATGCCCTATTAGAAGCAGCTACAGTCCATGGCACTCACGGAGAGGAAAAAAAGGGGCGAGCGAATACAGCACCTTGAACTGAAATATCCAGATTCTTGCAGTGGGACTGATTAGGGAAACAATTTGACCCATGAAGAACAAAGAAAAACAGGGTGGGGTGACAGCCCACACAGAGCCAAGGGACCCCCGACCCCCACCCAAGGAAAGCAGTGAGTGATTGTTTGATCCTGTAACACCATGCTTCCCCCATGGATCTTTCCAACCTGTGAATCAGAAGATCCCCTCGTGAGCTCATGCCACCAGAGGCTTGGGTCTGACACATAGAGCTTTGTGGAGCCTTGGCAGAGCAGCTTCTCAGGCATTCACAGAGACCCAGGAGCTTTACATACTCTAGCCCTGGGAACCCCAACAATCATGCCTGCAACTCAGGCAGGGCAGGAGGTCTTCACATACCCCTAGGGTAGTGCCAGAATCCAGGGAACCAAGCAGCATCATTCTGTGGGCCCCATGGCACCTCACAAGATAAGACCCACTGGCCTGAAATTCCAGCCGGCACCAGTAACACATTGGAGCCTTCCAGAGACTGGATGGAGCCCCCAGGCAGAGGATTGTGCACCATCTCTGCTGTGTGGTTGACTCAGCCATTCCAGCCTGTGGTCTTGGGAGAGTCCAAACTTGGGATGAGGAAGGGTCCCCCCAGCAGCGCAGCACAGTGGCTTTGCCAGATCATGGCCAGACTGCTTCTTTAAATGGGACCCTGATCCATTCTTCCTCACTGAGTGGGACCTCCCAGCCAGGCTTTCCAGCAATGCCAGCCTGCATGCTTAATGGACAGGGCTCTGATTTCTCTCTAGGAAGGAGTGCCCAGGAGCAGGGAGGGCCACCACCTGGGTTGGTTGGACGACTCAGCCACTGCAGCCTGTGGGCTTTGAAGAGTCTAAGCTGACCGGGGCAGAAGTGGTTCCCTACTACAATACAGATGTTTTGTCAAGGCATGGCCAGACTGCTTCTTTAAGAGGGTCCCTAATCCTATTCCTCCTGACTGGGTGAGACCTCCCAACTGGAGTCTAAATCTACCTCCTACAGGCACATGCAGGCCAGCAATAGGTCAATGCCTTCCCTGGGATGGAGCTTCCAGAAGAACGGGCAGGCTGCCAAACTTGCTGTTTTGCAGCCTTCACTGGTGATATCTCCAGGTACAGGAAAAGTCGAAGCAACTAGGGTCTGGAATGGACCTCCAGCAAACCACAGCAGCCATACAGAAGACTGGCCAAACTGTTAAAAGAAAAGCAAACAGAAAACAACAACAACAACAAAAACCACAAAAACCCCATCCACAGGTCGGCAACCTCGAAGATTGAAGGTAGATAAACCCATAAAGATGAGCAAGAATCGACACAAAAATGCTGAAAATTCAAAAAGCCAGAGTGCTCTTTTTCCTTCAAGTGATTGCAACACCTCTCCAGCAAGGGCTCAAAACTGGGCTGAGACTCCAATGGCTAAAATGACAGAAGTAGGCTTCAGAAAGTGGGTAATAATGGACTTCTGTTAGCTAAATAAGCATGTTGTAACCCAATGCCAAGAAGTTAAAAATCATGATAAAACAATACAGGAGCTGAAAGCCAAAATAGCCAGTTTAGAGAGGAACATAACCAAACTGCTAGAGCTGAAAAAAAAAAAAACACTACAAAAACTTCACAATGCAGTCACAAGTTTTAAAAGAAAAATGGTTTTTTCTTTCCATCTTTAGTGCTTCCTTCAGGAAGAAAAAACCATTACCAGCCACTACAAAAACACACTGACATACACAGACCAGTGACACTATGAAGCAACCACATAAACAAGTCTGCAAAGAAACACCTAGAATCATGATGACAAGATCAAATCTACACATAAGAATACTAACCTTAAATTGAAATGGGCTAAATTGCCCAATTAAAAAGACACAGAATGGCAACTGGACAAAGAAGAAAGACCCATTTGTATGCTGTCTTCCAGAGTCCCATCTCACATGTGAAGACACACATAGGCTAGAAATTAAGGGATGAAGAAAATTTACCAAGAAAATGGAAAAACAGAAAAAAGTAGGCATTGCAATCCTAGTTTCTGACAAAACAGACTTTAAACCAACAAACATCAAAAAAGACAAAGAAGGACATTACATAATGGTAAAGAGTTCAATTCAACAAAAAGAGCTAAATATCTTAAATGTATATGCACCCAATACAGGAGCACTTAGATTCATAAAGCAAGTTCTTAGAGACCTTCAAAGAGACATAGACTCCCATGCAATAATAGTGGAATACTTTAACACATCACTGACAATATTAGACAGATCATCAAGACAGAAAATTAACTCAGCTCTGTATCAAGTGGGCCTGATAGACATATACCAACCTCTCCACCCCAAAACAACAAAATATACACTCTTCTCATTGCCACATGGCAGTTACTTTAAATTGGTCACGTAATTTAAAGTAAATTACTCCTTAGCAAATGCAAAAGAACCGAAACTATAACAAACAATCTCAGACCACAGTGCAATCAAATTAGGACACAAGATTAAGAAATTCACTCAAAACCACAAACTACGTGGAAACTGAACAATCCATTCTTGAATGACTCTTGAGTGAATAATTATATTAAGGCAGAAATCAAGAAGATCTTTTAAACTAATGAGAATGAAGATACAATGTAACAGAATCTCTGGGATGGACCTAAAGCAGTGTTAAGAAGGAAGTTTATAGCACTAAATGCCTATATCAAAAAGGTAGGAAGATCTCAAGTTAAAAACCTAACATAACAACTACAAGAACTAGAGAATCAAGAGCAAACAAAACACATAGCCAGCAGAAGACAGGAAATAACCAAGATGAGAGCAGAAATGAAGGAGATAGAGACACAAAATCCCCTTCAAAAAATTAATGAATCCAGGAGATGTTTTTCTGAAAAAAAAATAAAAGAGATAGACTGCTAGCTAGACTAATAAAGAAGAAAAGAGAGAAGATTCAAATAAAGACAGAAATTATGAGAGGAATATCACCACTGGACCCACAGAAATACAAACAAGCATCAGAGAATACTATAAACACTTCTACGTACATTAACTAGAAAACCTAGAAGAAATGAATAAATTCTTCCACACATATACCCCCCCAAGACTGAACCAGGAAGAAATTGAATCCCTAAATACACCAATAATGAGAACTGAAATTGAGGCAGTAAAAAATAACCTGCCAACAAAAAAGCCCAGGACCAGACAGATTCACAGCTGAATTCTACTAGAGGTACAAAGAAGAGCTGGTACCATTTCCACTGAATCTATTCCAAAAAATTGAAAAGGAGGTACTCCTACCTAAGTCATTCTATGAGACCAGCATCATCCTGATACCAAAATCTGGCAGAGACACACACAAAAAAGAAAACTTCAGGCTAATATTTATGATAAACATCTATGCAAAAACCCTCAACAAAATACTTGCAAACTGACTCCAACAGCAAATCAAAAACCTAATCCATCATGATCAAGTAGACTTCATCCCCAGGATGCAAGATTGGTTCAACACATGCAGGTCAATAAATGTAATCAAGCACATAAACAGAACTAAAGACAAAACCATGTGATTATCTCAATAGATGCAGAAAAGGCATTTGATAAAATTCAACATTCCTTCATGATAAAAAAAACTCTCAATGAACTAGATATTGAAAGAACATACCTCAAAATATAAGAACCATATATGACAAACCCACAGCCAATATAATACTGAATGGGGAAAAGCTGGAAGCATTCTCCACGAAAACTAGCACAAGACAAGGATGCCATCTCTCACCACTCCTATTCTACATAGTATTGGAAATTCTGGCTCAAAGAAACCACTGCTCAAATAAATCAGAGATGACACAAACAAATGGAAAAACATTCCATGCTCTTGGATAGGAAGAATCAGTATCATGAAAATTTCCATACTGCTCAAACCAATTTATAAATTAAATGCTATTACCATTAAACTACCATTGACCTTCTTCATCGAATTAGAAAAAAAAAACTATTTTAAAAGTCATATGGAACCAAAACAGAGCCCGAATAGCCAAGACAATCCTTAGCAATAAGTACAAAGCTGGAGGCATCATGCTACTCAATTTCAAACTATATTACAAGGCTACAGTAACTAACACTGCATGGCACTGGTACCAAAACAGACATATAGACCAATAGAACAGAACAGAGACCTCAGAAATAACATCAAACATCAACAACCATCTGATCTTCAAGAAACCTGGTAAAAATGAGCAATGAGGAAAGTATTCCTGATATGGTTTGACTGTATCCCCAACCCAAATCTCATCTTGAATTGTAGCTCCCACAATTCCCATGTGTTGTGGAAGGAACCTAGTCGAGGGTAATTGAATCCTGCAGGCAGGTCTTTCCTGTGCTGTTCTCATGATAGTGAATAAGTCTCATGAGAGCTAATGGTTTTTATAAGAGGAAGTTTCCCTGCACAAATTCTCTCTTGCCTGCTGCTATGTAAGACAAGACTTTGCTTTTCCTTTGCCTTCCGCCATGATTGTGAGGCCTCCCCAGCCATGTGGAACTGTGAGTCTATTAAACCTCTTTCCTTCATAAATTATCCAGTCTCAGGTATTTGTTCATAGCAGTGTGAAAATAAACTAATGCAATTTCCTATTAAATAAATGGTGCTGAGATAACTGGTTAGCCATATGCAGAAAACTGAAACAGAACCCCTTCCTTACACCACAAACAAAGATCAACTCAATATTGATTAAAGTCTTAAATGTAAAACACAAAACTATAAAAACCATAAAATAAAACCTAGGCAATACCATTCAGGACATAGGAACGGGCAAACATTTCATGATGAAGACACCAAAAGCAATTGCAACAGAAGCAAAAATTGACAAATGGGATATAATTAAACTAAAGAGCTTCTGCACAGTGAAAGAAACTATCATCAGAGTAAACAGACAACCTAAAGAATGAGAGAAAATTTTTTCAATCTACCCATCTGACAAAGGTCTAATATCCAGCATCTACAAGGAACTTACATAATGGTAAAGGGATCAATGCAACAAGAAGAGCTAACTATCCTAAATATATATGCACCCAATACAGGAGCACACAGATTCATAAAGCAAGTCCTTAGAGACCTACAAAGAGACTTAGACTCCCACACAATAATAGTGGGAGACTTTAACACCCCACTGTCAATATTAGACAGATAAACAAGACAGAAAATTAATAAGCATATCCAGGACTTGAACTCAGCTCTGGACCAAGGAGACCTAATAGATATCTATAGAATTCTTGACCTCAAATAAAGAGAATATACATTCTTCTCAGCACCACACAGCACTTATTCTAACATAAACCACATAATTGGAAGTAAATCACTCCTCAGCAAATGCAAAAAACTGAAATCATAACAGTCTCTCAGACCCCAGTACAAGCAAATTAGAATTCAGGATTAAGAAACTCACTGAAAACCGTACAACTACATGGAAAGTGGACAACCTGCTCCTGAATGACTACTGGGTAAATAATGAAATTAAGGCAGAAATAAATAAGTTCTTTGAAACCAATATGATAGGAGAACAATGAGAACAAAGATGCAACATACCAGAATCTCTGGGACACATCTAAAGAGATGTTTAGAGGGAAATTTATAGTACTAAATGCCCACAGGAGAAAGCAGGAAAGATCTAAAATCAACACCCTAACATCACAATTAAAAGAACTAGCAAAGCAAGAGCAAACCAATTCAAAAGCTAGCAGAAGACAAGAAATAACTAGGATCAGAGCAAAACTGAAGGAGATAGAGACAAGAAAAACCCTTCAAAAATCAATGAATCCAGGAGCTGGGTTTTTGAAAAGATCAACAAAATAGATAGACCGCTACCCAGACTAATAAAGAAGAAAAGAGAGAAGAATCAAATAGACACAATAAAAAATGATAAAGGGGAGATCACCACTGATCCCACAGAAATACAAACTACCATCAGAGAATACTATAAACACCTCTATGCAAATAAACTAGAAAATCTAGAAGAAATAGATACATTCCTGGACACATACACCCTCCCAAGACTAAACCAGGAAGAAGTCAAATCCCTGAATAGACCAATAACAAGTTCTGAAATTGAGACAGTAATTAATAGCCTACCAATCAAAAAAAGCCCAGGACCATATGGATTCACAGCTGAATTCTACCAGAGGTACAAAGAGTAGCTGGTAGCATTCCTTCTGAAACTTTTCCAAACAATAGAAAAAGAGGGACTCCTCCCTAACTCATTTTATGAGGCCAACATCATGCTGATACCAAAACCTGGCAAAGACACACACACACACACACACACACACACACACACACACACACACAAAGAAAATTTCAGGCAAATATCCCTGATAAACATTGATGTGAAAATCCTCAAAATACTGGCAAACCAAATCCAGCAGCACATCAAAAAGCTTATCCACAATGATCAAGTCAGCTTCATCCCTGGGATGCAAGGCTGGTTCAATATATGCAATCAATAAATGTCATCCATCACATAAACAGAACCAATGACAAAAACCACATGATTTTCTCAATAAATACAGAAAAGGACTTCGATAAAATTCAACACCTCTTCACGCTAAAAACACTCAATGAACTAGGTATTGATGGAATGCATCTCAAAATAACAAGAGCTATTTATGACAAACCCACAGCCAATATCATACTGAATGGGCAAAAGCTGGAAGCATTCCCTTTGAAAACCAGCACAAGACAAGGATACCCTCTGTCACCACTCCTATTCAACATAGTATTGGAAGTTCTGGCCACAGCAATCAGGCAAGAAAAAAAATAAAGGGTATTCAAATAGGAAGAGAGGAAGTCAAATTGTCTCTGTTTGCAGATGACATGATTGTATATTGAGAAAACCCCATTGTCTCAGCCCAAAATCTCCTTAAGCAGATAAGCAACTTCAGCAAAATCTCAGAACACAAAATCAATGTGTAAAAATCACAAGCATTCCTATTCACCAATAATAGAAAAACAGAGAGCCAAATCATGAGTAAACTCCCATTCACAATTGCTACAAGGAGAATAAAATACCTAGGAATACAATTAACAAGGGATGTGAAGAAACTTTTCAAGGAGAACTACAAACCACTTCTCAAGGAAATAAGAGAGGACACAAACAAATGGAAAAACATTCCATGCTCATGGATGGAAAAAATCAGTATCATGAAAATGGCCATACTGCTGAAAGTAATTTATGGATTCAATGCTATTCCCATCAAGCTACCATTGACTTTCTTCACAGAATTAGGAAAAACTACTTTAAATTTCATGTAGAACCAGAAAGAGCCCATATGGCCAAGACAATCCTAAGCAAAAAGAACAAAGCTAGAGGCATCATGCTACCTAACTTCAAACTATACTACAAGGCTACAGTAACCAAAACAGCATGGTACTGGTACCAAAACAGATATATAGACCGATGGAACAGAACAGAGAACTCAGAAATAACGCCACACATCTAAAACCATCTGATCTTTGACAAACCTGACAAAAACAAGAAATGGGGAAAGGATTCCCTATTTAATAAATGGTGTTGGGAAAACTGGCTAGCCATATGAAGAAAATTGAAACTGAACCCCTTCCTTACACCTTATAAGAAAATTAACTCAAGATGGATTAAAGACTTAAATGTAAGACCTAAAACCGTAACAACCCTAGAAGAAAACCTAGGCAATACCATTCAGGACATAGGCATGGCCAAGACTTCATGATTAAAACACCAAAAGCAATGGCAATAAAAGCCAAAATTGACAAAAGTGATCTAAATAAACTAAAGAGTTTCTGCACAGCAAAAGAAACTATCATCAAAGTGAACAGGCAACCTATAGAATGGGAGAAAAATTTTGCAATCTATCCATCTGACAAAGAGCTAATATCCAGAATCTACAAGGAACTTAAACAAGTTTACAAGAAAAAAACAAACAACCCCATCAAAAAGTGGGCAAATGATATGAACATACACTTCTCAAAAGAAGACATTTATGTGGCCAACAAACATATGAAAAAAGCTCATCATCACTGGTCATTAGAGAAATGCATATCAAAACCACAATGAGATACCATCTCACACCAGTTATAATGGAGATCATTAAAAAGTCAGGAAACAACAGATGCTGGAGAGGATGTGGAGAAATAGGAATGCTTTTACACTGTTGGTGGGAGGGTAAATTAGTTCAATCATCGTGGAAGACAGTGTGGTGATTCCTCAAGTTTCTAGAACCAGAAATACCATTTGACCCAGCAATCCCATTACGGAGTATATACCCAAAGAATTGTAAATCATTCTACTATGAAGACACATGCATATGTATGTTTATTGCAGCACTATTCACAGTAGCAAAGTCTTGGAACCAACCCAAATGCCCATCAATGATAGACTGGATAAAGAAAATGTGGCACATATACACCATGGAATACTATGCAGCCATAAAAGAGGATGAGTTCATGTTCTTCGCAGGGATGTGGATGAAGCTGGAAACCACCATTCTCAGCAAACTAACACAGGAACAGAAAACCAAACACCGCATGTTCTCCCTCATAAGTGGGAGTTGAACAATGAGAACATATGGACACAGGGAGGGGAACATCACACACTGGGGCCTTTTGTGGGGGTGAGTGGCTAAGGGAGCGATAGCATTAGGAGAAATACCTAATGTAGATAACGGGTTGATAGGTGCAGCAAACCACCATGGCACATGTATACCTATGTAACAAACCTGCACATTCTCCACATGTATCCCACAACTTAAATATAATAAAAAAATTGACCCCTTTATCATTACATAGTGACCATTTTTGTATCTTCTTATAGATTTGTCATGAAATCTATTTTTTCTTATATAAGTATAGTGACTCCTGCACGTTTTTGTTTCCATTGGCCTCAAGTATCTTTTCTAGCCCTTTATTTTCAATCTATGTGTGTCTCAGTTAAGCTTTTATTGTCAAAATTGTTTCAGAAGCACTTTTACTATATAAATCTTTGTTCCTCAATTTTCTCTTCATGTGCCTGTCAACATCATAATCAGTCTTTAATTAATGAGATGAATAAAATGTTTAACTGTCATTTATTTATGATTTGTATGAGAGTCATACTTTTAACTTTTTAAACATTATATTTTAGTAGGAATTTTTACATCAAAAACTCATCACGTCCTTTAATCAAAACTGCTTTACCTTTTACTTTTTATGCTTTGTAATACTTTTTTGCTTTATTACATTGTTTTGAACTCTTGTACAATAAAATATTCTGTCTTTATATTTTTTCCAGTACTTTTTGAATGTGTTTGGGATTGGTGCTGCATATGTTTAAGTGAGATGGAACTGCACGATTTGTTTTTTAAAAATCTTCTTAACTTGTCCTTTTAGTCAAAAACCCAAGCTATCCCTGCCTTGCCCCCAGATCCTTTTCTCACAGAATAATCTAAGAGTTTTGAGAAACAGAGAAATTTATTTCTGTACATTGCAGAGCAACAGAAATCTGGGATTTGTTACCAGGATCTTGATAGTGAATGTATTAGTTCATTTTGTATTGCTATAACAGAATACCACAAACTGAGTAATTTATAAAATATATATATAAAAATCTATATATATATATGAAATATATATATCTTACAATTCTGAAGCTGGGAAGTCCAATCTCAAGGGGCTTATAACTGGTGAAGGTCTTCTTACTATGCCATCTGTAGAATAACAATACAGCACTTGTAAGAGAGCAAAAGAACAAGAGGGGGCTGAACTTGCTTTTATAACAAGGCCACTTTCTTGAAAATTAATCCACTCCTGCAATAACCCATTCCTGTAATAACCCAATCCTAAAATAGCATTAATCCATTCAGGGGGGCAAATCTCTCATTACCTAATCACTTATTTGGCCTCACCTCCCAACACTGTTGCATTGGGATTAAATTTGCAAAACATAAACTTTATGGGATATAGTCAAACCATAGCAGTGAGACTCAAAAATAACAATAAAAATATTCAGGAAATAGTGATATCTAACTTGCACTAGACCTTTTCTCTTTTGGGCAAAAATTACCCATCATTCCCCCAAATTTTCCCATGCATTTTGGTTATACACGACAGTGTTTTGATGGATTTGTATTGAAGAATAATGAAGATATTATTTTCCATGCTTAGAATGATGTAGACAACATAACAGTTGCAGGAAGTAAGATGACATCAGGTATCAAAAAACATATTGTAATAATAATTTGGAGGTGGTAGGTATCAGGAGAACAGAAATTCTTTCACATACATCCCCACCCCCCTCCACACACACATATACACACAGAGAGCTACTCTTCTCATAAATTCTCGAAATATTGCAGAGCCTGGTGATAGTCCAACAATATAGAAAAATAGAAGGATAAAGTCAAATTGCTTCAATATTAAAGGAAAGTGTGAATCCAGAAAAGTGGAGAATGTGTAGATTTTGGGGTTATGCATATATCATCTCATACAGCCTCAACATTATTATCTTAAATTTCATATATTAGAAGTTTAGGCTAACAGAAATGGTTATCGAATAGGAAATGCAAATAGCCAAAAGACATATGCTCATTCTCACTATTAACAATGTGAATACAAGTTGAGATACCATGTTATATTTCTCACGTTCACTAAATTAAATGCAAAATACCAGATATAAGTGAGGAGGTGGAAGAAGAGGACCTTGTTTCTTGGACCATAAATTGGTATAGCCTTTAGGAGATAAGTTTGAAGATATCTAATGTATTTGAGGATATGTATAATCTGAGACTCTGCAAGTCTACTTTTAAAGTGTACAACCCAGAGAACAGTCATACACGTGAAGCATTCTTACTGTAGCTTTTTTTTGTAATACTTAAAGACTGAAAAAATATTCTAATGTCCATCAGTAGAAGAATGATCCAATAAACAGTTACAGTCATACAATGAAATATCATAAAACAATAAGAAAAGAATGAACTAGAACTACATTTGTTACATGGCAAAATCTCAAAACCATAGCATGTTGAAAAGTTTCAGAAGGATATCTGTGTGTGTACAACAGAACATTTATGTAAAATGCAAAAATGCAAGACTACTAATTAAATATTTTATGTGTACATATTTATTTTAAATGTGTACTTCATCAACAAATGAATGAATAAAGAAAATATACCAATATTCCATTGGTATATATACACAATGGAGTACTATTCAGCCTTAAACAAAAGAAGGAAATCCTGCCATTTGTAGCAACATAGAAAAACCTTGTTCCTTGGAGCATAAATTGAAGTGAAATAAGCCATAAATTGGAGTGAAATAGGCATAAATTGGAGTGAATTGGGGTAAAATAAGCCAGGTGCAGAAAAACAAATACCACATGATCTCACATATATGTACAATCTAATGAAGTTGAACTCAGAAATAGAAAGTAAAATAGTGGTCACCACAGGCTGGGGGGTGGGAAAATTGAGAAAATGTTGGTCAAAAGAAACAAAATTTTAGTTTGACAAAAGAAATAAGTTCAAGAGACCTATTATCCATCATGGTAACTACAGTTTATAACAATATATAGCATACTTAAAAATTGTTTTGAAAGTAGATTTTAAGTTTACCCACCACCAAAATGGTATATTAGGTAATGCCTATGTTAAATAGCTTGATTTAGCCATTCCACAATGCATATATATGTATATATACACATATACACATATATATCAAAACATGCTGTACATCATAGATATATACAATTTTTATTTGTCAATTTTAAAATACATAAATGTGAGGGGACATCAGCAAGACAGCAAAATAGGATGCTATAGACCCTCTTTCCCCTAGAGAGACCCTGAGTTAACAACAATATAGGGACCAGAATAACTGAGAACTCTAGAGACTAGTTAGGAAGCTATGGAACCCAGGTTATTGTAAAACCCAGAAGGGATTCCAGTGAAAGGGGTAGAAAAAATCATTGCATTTTGTGCACCTGTTTCTGTCCCTCACCCTATGTTACATAGCACAGAGCAATAAGGAGAAAATCCCTCATGTCTGGGCTCCTCCCTCAGGAGAAAAACAAAAGAGTGCATAAAATGTTCTAACTTCCCTTGGGGCTTCCTAAGGAAAGGTTTTTCTGTCTTGCCTGATTTGGAGTGCTGATGGGACAGCAGCAGAGTTTGGAAGCCACTGAAGAAAGGGGTAAGCAGTGCATTAGAGCTGCAGTTCTACAGTTAAATGCCAGGAGATCCAAGAGATTGGAAAGTTCTGAGAGGTCCTGGAACCTCCAACCAGGCTGACTGGTGAAGATCTTTCCCTGCACAAAGCCAATACCACAAAGATTAGGAGAGGTGGCTTTTTTTTTTTCTTCAAAATGCCCAAATCCCAACAAAAAATAACAAAGCATATAAAGAAACAGGTAAAAGTGGCCCAATCAAAGGAACAAAATAAAACTCCAGAAACCAACACTAAAGAAATGTGTACCAAGGGGCTACTCAAAAAAAGAATTTAAAATAACTGTCATAAAGATGCTCAATGATCCAAAAGAGAACAGATAGACAACTAAATGAAATTAGAAAAATGATTAGTAAACTGAGAATATCAATAAAGAGAAACTCTAAGAAAGGACCAAATAAAAATTCTGGTTTAAAAATATAATAACTAAACTAAAAAATTAAAAGGGTTCAACAGCAGACATAATCAAGCAGAATCAAGTCCAGTAACTTAAAGACAATTTATTTGACATCATTGAGCCAAAGGGCAAATGAGAAAAGAGAATGAAGAAAAGCAAAATAGCCTAAGAGACTTATGGGACACTATCAAGCTGGGCAATATATGCATTATAGGGGCAACAGAGGGAGAAGAGAGGGGGAAAAAAAGAAGCATAGAGCGTATTAGGAGACATATTGGGATAAAACTCCCAAATCTGAAAAAAGAAAAAGATTCAACAGGTTCAAAACTGTGATAAAACCAAAGAGAATCACATCCAGATACTTTATAATCAAACTGTCTTAAGTCAAAGAGGGAGAATCTTGAAAGCAACAAGAGAAAAGTGATTTGTAACATACAAGGGAGCCCCAAGCATGGAGGTTTTGTATGCAATTGAAGTTAAGTTGTTATCAGTTTAAAACAGACAATTACAAATATGAAAGGTTTTATGTATACCCCATGATAACCATGGAGAAAAAACCTACAGAAGATACATAAAAGAAAAAGAAAGGAGTTAAAGTATATCAATACCAAAAAAAAAAAAAAAGACGAAGACAGCAAGCGAGGAAAAGAGGGACAAAAACTCCATGATAGTGAGAAAACATTATGATATTGGCAATAATAAGTCCTTAGACTCGCTTTAGATTTAAAGACACACATACACTGAAAGTAAGAGAAACAGATAAATGAGGGTGTCACAACTACAAATTTGGTAAAGGATAGTCTCTTCAACAAATAGTTTTGGAAGAACTGAATATATACTTGCAAAGGAATAAAACTGGACCCTTAACATACCCCATACACAAAAATCAACTCAAAATTGATTAAAGATTTAAATGTAAAGCCTGAAAGTATAAAACTCCCACAACAAAACATAAGGGGAAGTCTTCATGACACTGGTCTTGGCAATGACTTCTTCGATATGAAATAAAGCACAGGCAACTAAAACAAAAATAGATCAGTGCCATTTCATCATGAAAAAAAGCCTCTGAACACCAAAGAAAACAATCAACAGAGTGAAAAGACAACCTACAGAATGGAAAAAAATGTTTGAAAACCATGTATCTGAAAAGAAGTTAATATCCAAAGTATATAAAGAACACATATAAATAAATAGCAAAAAACCAAGTGACCTTATTTTTAAAATATGGGCAATGGACTTGAATAACCATTTCTCCAAAAAGCGCCTATTGGTTGACAGGTAAATTAAAAGATAATCAACATTACTAATAATCAGGGAAATGCAAATCAAAACCACAATGAGTTGTCACCTCACACCTGTTAGGATGGTAACATGATTTGGCTCTGTGTCCCCACCCGAATCTCACTTTGAATTGTAATAATCCACACGTGTTAAGGGCGGGACCAGGTGAAGGTAATTGGATCATGGGGGTGGTTTCTCCCATGATGTTCTCATGATAATGAGTGAGTCTTATGAGATCTGATGGTTTTATAAGCATCTGGCATTTCCCCTGCTTGCACTCACTCTGTCCTGCCACCCTCTGAACAAGGTGCTTGCTTCTCCTTTGCCTTCCACCATGATTGTAAGTTTCCTCAGGTATCCCCAGCAATGTGAAATTGAGAGTCAATTAAACCTCTTTCCTTCATAAGTTACCCAGTCTCAGGTATTTCTTCATAGCAGTGTGAGAATGGACTAATATGGATGGCCATTATTTAAAAAATTACAACTATTGGCAAGGATGTAATTGGTGAAAACATAAAATGATTCAGTCACTATGGAAAACAGTATGGAGTTTCCTCAAAAAATTCAGTAATCCCACTTCTGGGTATATATCCAAAAGTGTTGAAATCAGGATCTCAAAGAGATACATGCAATCCCATGTTGACTGCTGTATTATTTACAATAGCCAAGATATGGAAATTACTTAAACATTCATAGATGCATGAATGAATAAAAAATATTGTATATACATACAATGGAATACTATTCAGCTATAAAAAGAAGGAAATCATACTATATGAACCTGGAAAACATTATGCTAAGTGAAAAAAGCCAATCACAGAAGAATTAACACTGTATACTTCCACTTCTATGAGGTACCTCAAAAAGTCAACCTCATAGAAACAAAGAGTAGTTTGGTGGTTGCCACGCGCTGAGGAGAGGAGCAATTGGGGAATTTCTGTTCAATTAGTATAAAGCTTCAATTATACAAGACAAATAAGTTTTAGGATCCTGCTGTACTACACTGTGCTTATAGTTAACAATATTACATTATGCACTTAAAAATTCTGATAAGAGAACTTAACATGCAATATACATTTTTATGACATTAAACACACACACACACACACACACACACACACACACACACACACACCTCAACAAAGTCCAGGACTAAATGACTTCACTGGAGAATTTTGTCAAACATTTAAAAGAAAAGTCCTTCCTTCAGGAGCTCTTTTAGGGCAGGCCTGGTGGTGACAAAATTTCTCAGCATTTGCTTGTCTGTAAAGTATTTTATTTCTCCTTCACTTATGAAGCTTAGTTTGGCTGGATATGAAATTCTGGGTTGAAAATTCTTCTCTTTAAGAATGTTGAATATTGGCCCCCACTCTCTTCTGGCTTGTAGAGTTTCTGCCGAGAGATCCGCTGTTACTCTGATGGGCTTCCCTTTGTGGGTAACCCGACCTTTCTCTCTGGCTGCCCTTAACATTTTTTCCTTCATTTCAACTTTGGTGAATCTGACAATTATGTGTCTTGGAGTTGCTCTTCTCGAGGAGTATCTTTTTGGCGTTCTCTGTATTTCCTGAATCTGAATGTTGGCCTGCCTTGCTAGATTGGGGAAGTTCTCCTGTAAACTAGTTCAACCCTTGTGGAAGTCAGTGTGGCGATTCCTCAGGGATCTAGAACTAGAAATACCATTTGACCCAGCCATCCCATTACTGGGTATATACCCAAAGGACTATAAATCATGCTGCTATAAAGACACATGCACACGTATGCTTATTGCGGCACTATTCACAATAGCAAACATTTGGAACCAACCCAAATGTCCAACAATGATAGACTGGATTAAGAAATTGTGGCACATATACACATGGAATACTATGCAGCCATAAAAAAATGATGAGTTCATGTCCTTTGTAGGGACATGGATGAAATTGGAAATCATCATTCTCAGTAAACTATCGCAAGAACAAAAAACCAAACACTGTATATTCTCACTCATAGGTGGGAATTGAACAATGAGAACACATGGACACAGGAAGAGGAACATCACACTCTGAGGACTGTTGTGGGGTGGGGGAGGGGGGAGGGATAGCTTTAGGAGATATACCTAATGCTAAATGACGTGTTAATGGGTGCAGCACACCAGCATGGCACATGTATACATATGTAACTAACCTGCACATTGTGCACATGTACCCTAAAACTTAAAGTATAATAATAATAAAATAAAAAAAAAGAAAAGTTAACACCAATCCTCCCAAAACTCTTCCAAAAAGTTGATAAGAAGGGAATACTTTCAAACTCATTCTACTAATCCAGTGTTAGCCATGATACAAAAGCCAGAAAAAGATACTACAAGAAAAGAAAACTTTTCAGACCAATATCCCTGATGAAGATTGATGAAAAATATTCAACAAAGTATTAGAAAATTGAATTCTACAATACTTCAAAAGCATTATATACCATGACCAAGTAAGATTAATTCCTGGAATGCAAAGATGTTGCAATATGCAAAAATTAATAAATGTAATACACCACGTTTGCAGAATGAAGGACAAAAACCAAAACCACATGGTCATCTCAATTGATGCAGAACAAAAGTATTCGACAAGATTCTACACCCTTAATTAAAAAACTTCATAAAAAAGAAATAGAAAAAAAATGACTTAAATATAATACTCTTTATGAAAAGCCCAAAGATTTTTACTTTTTTTGGATAATACTCGATGATGAAGACCGAAAGCTTTTCTTCCAAGATGAGGAACAAGGCAAAGATGACTGCTATCAAAACTTCTATGCCACATAGTCTTGGAAGTCCTAGCATGAAAAATTAGGCAATGAAAATAAACAAAAGTCACCCAAACTGGAGAAGAGAAAGTAAAATTATCTTTGTGCACAGATGACACGATCTCATATGTAGAAAATCTTAAAGATTCCACAGAAAGCCTGAATTCAGCAAAGTTACAGGGTACAAAATCAACATACAAAAATCAATTTTGTTTCTATACACTAACAATGAATAATCTGAAAAGAAAATTAATAAAACAATTCCATTTGTAATACCATCAAGAATAAAATACTTAGGAATAAACTTAACCAAGGTGGTGAAAGACATGTACACTGAAAACAATAAGACATTGATGAAATTAAAGAAATCAAAGAAATGGAAAGACAAATCCATTCTCATGAATTGGATCTTATTATTTTTCAAATGTGCATAATACCCAAAATGATCTATAGATTTAACACAATTCCTGTCAAAATCCAACTGTCATTTTTCCAGAAAAAGAAAAATTCTTCCTAAAATTCATATGGAATCTCAATAGACTTAAAATAACCAAAACAATTTTTAAAAAGAACAAAATTGAAGGGCTCACACTTCCTGATTTCAAAACTTATTATAAAGCCACAATAATCAAAACAGTGTGGTACTGGTATAAAGACGGACAAATAGATGAATAAAATAGAACAGAGACCCCATAAAAAAAACCCTTGCATATACAATGAGATGGGATCTGGTGCATTCTGAGTGGTATGGCCATAGTCCATAGTCCTTTTTTTTTTTTTTTTTTTTTTTTTTTTTTTTTGAGGTAAGGCCTTACTGTGTTGCCCAGGCTGGTCTCAAACTTCTAGGCTCAATTGATACTCCTACTTCAGCCTTCTGAATAGCTAGGCTTACAGGAACACAACACTGCAGCAGCTTAGATGGTCAAATGGTCTTCAACAAGGGTGCCAATACCACTCAATGGGAAAAGAACAGTCTCTTCCACAAATGGTTAGAGGAAACACTTTCAGTCCCATCCAGTTAGGAAAACTGTATATCTACATGCAAAAGAATGAAGTTGAACACTTATCTTACAGAATGTACAAAAATTAACTTTAAAATGGATTAAAGACATAAGCATAAGACCTAAAACTATAAAATTCCTAGAAGAAAACAAGGGAAAAGCTGTATGGCATTGGACTTGGTGATGATATCATTGATATGACACCAAAAGCATACACGGCAAAAGCAAAATTAAACTAATAGGACTATATAAAACTTAAAATATTTTGTGCAGCAATGGACACAATCAGCCAGGTGTGGTAGCACTTGTCTATAGTCCCAACTACTCGGGAGGCTGAGGCAAAAGGCTGAGGCAGGAAGATCAGCCTGTAGTGAATTATGCCAATCAAGTGTCCACACTAAGTTCAGCATTAATCTGGTGAACTCCTGGGAGCAGGGTATCACCAGGTTACCTAAAAAAGAGGGAACTTGCCCAACTTGGAAATGAAGCATGTCAAAACTCCCATCCTGATCAGTAGTGGGATTGTGCCTGCATATAGCCACTGCACTCCAACCTAGGCAACACAGCAAGACCTGGTCCATTGCAAAATAAACAAAAAAGACACAATCAACAGGTGGAAAGGCAACCTACAGAATGGGAGAATAGGATAAATTATTCGTGAACCATATATCCGATTAGGGGTTAATATCCAGAATATATAAAAAAACTCACTCCTACAACTTAATAAAAAAGTCAAATAACCTGATTTAAAACAGGCAAAAAAACTTGAATAAATGTATCTCCAAAGATGACATACAAATGGCCAACAAGCATATGAGAAGATGCTCAACATCAGTAATCATCAGAAAAATGCAAATCAAAACCACAATGAGATATTACCTCACACTGCTTAGAATAGCTATTATCAAAAAGACAAAAGATACCAAGTGTTGACAAGGATGTGGAAAAATTGGTATCCTTGTTCACTGTTAGTGGGATTGTAAAATGATGCAATTGCTATGGTAAACAGTATGGAGTTTCCCCATAAAATCATAAATACAAGTACCATATGATCCAGCAATCCAACTTCTAGGTATACACTCAAAAAAATTCAAAGAAGAATCTCAAAAAGATATTTGCATACCCATGTTTATAGCAGCACTATTCATAGTAGCTGAGTTAGAAGCAGTCCAAATGTCCATCAAGGGATGAATAGATAAACAAAACATGATATATATCTAGAATAGAATATTACTCAGCCTAAGAAAGGAAGGAAATTCTGTCACATGATATATCATGGATGAACCATTAGTATATTATGCTAGGCGAAATAAGCCATTCACAAAAAGACAAATACTGTATAATTCCACGTACATGAGGTATTTAAAGTAATCAAATTTATATAAACAAAAAGTAGAATGGTGGTTACTGGGGCTGGGGAAAAGGCAAAAAGGGGAGTTGTTTAATGGGTGTAGAATTTCAGACTTGCTAGATGAAAAAGTCATGGAGATCTGTTTTATATCAATGTGAATATACTTAATACTACTGAAGTATACAGTTAAACATGGTTAATTTTGCTAATTTTGTTTTTTACCATAATAAAAAAAAGTATAAAGTCCTGCATGGGATGGATATATTACAACTCCAGGGTAGCTTTTTCAGTGGAGGATAGGAGGTGAATGAAATTAGGGCAGGGCAACTTTATTTATTATAAATAAATCTGAATCAAATAATAAAAACGTTAATATTTTCAAACATGGATGAAGAGTACGTAAGCATTTACTATATTATATCCTACAGTTTTTTGCTTGAAATATAACTATGCAAACATTCTTTTCAATCTTGAAATTTATGAAAATGTATTGTCCAAGTTTTCACAAATAGTAAAAGAAAGATTTGAATTTGTCTGCCTAATTTTAAATTCCTTAAAAGAAACTCCTATTCTGAACTAATGATTGACTAAATTACTGAGAGCACCTAAAAAGGTAGTCTGATTTTTCTTCTCTATTTATCTAGTAACAGCAGCATTTTCCACCATGCCTCCAACCTAGAGAGTTGATTACCAGCTAAATGAATTATGTTTGTTGGAAATCCTCAGTTTCCAAACTAATTTCTTGCCAATTCCTACTTGCACACGATATATCATTTTTATCTTTGCTCTATACTTACTATTTAGCTATCTATTTATGATATACTAAATGCCTAGAAGTTTCCCCTATATTTTTCATTCCTCAAATATAGATCCCTGCAAATCTCAAGCTTAATTGAATATGTACATAGAATAGTCAAGTTAGGCAATCATGTTGACATAGGAACATGCCCAGGAGTTGAGAGTGAAAACCACTCTTCATCTTCTGTGCACTATATGCTTTGATTCCACTGAATAGTGATCTACTTGTAAGTGCTGATTTTGAGGAATCATCATTATTTCTAGATTTTATTGCTTATCACTTGGCATTGGCCATACTATTATGTCAGATCATTTATCAACCACACTAAAGTTATAAAGTTATTGACTACACAGTTTAGTTTTGGCTTATTTTACTAAATATTTAATAAATTCCTTTTTTAGAGACAAAAATTCAATTCTTCAAAGTAATCTATGTTTATTATGTACCAAATAAGAGAATTCTATTTGGCTCCATTGACTTAAAGAAATCTAATGTAAGTCTTTATCTAATACTAACAGTGATCTCATTTTCCATGGTCCATATCCAGAAATAATTTTTACTGATAAGGAACATTGGGATTTCTGTGAAACTAATTCTGTATCTGTCATTATCATTAATTTATTTGTATTGCCTAAGTTTAATTGTGTCAATATTCCCTAAATGATTTTTATTAGAATTTCACCTAGGTCCTACACTTTCCTTATTAAATATATATGTATGTTTGTGTGTGTGTGTATATGTACATGTGCGTATATATATATGTGTGTGTGTGTGTGTGTATGCATATATATAGAATGAAGTCCAGATAAAACAGTGAATTTTATTCCCTTATATCATTTAATATTTTATATTTTTCTCATCACTACAATAATATTTTATATTTTATATTTTTCTCGTCACTACAAATAAAAATTATTTATGTATCAATGTTCTAATTTATTCTAATTATTTATTCTATCTATTTTCTACTTATTTTAGAAGATAATCTCTCATTTTTTATGATTAAGGTTTCCTGGATTGTTTAGTATGAATATAATCCCTTTCTTTGAGATTTAGATGTACTACACAAGTGTATGTTTTCTCAATCTTAAAATGTTTTCAATTTTCTAGTGTATTTATCCAAATGCCTCTTATGTTACTATCATGCATTAATTTGGAAAACTTGGTCACTGATATGATATACCTTAGCTTAGTGAAAGAGCTTCATTATTATTCAACAAGTAGAAAATTTTAGTGTATTTACATTCTTATGTTTAGTTACTGCTATTTCTGTGTTTAGATGGGACTGTTATTGACACATATTACATTACATTTCAAATAAACATTCTTTATATGTAAAAGTTATATCATACATGAAATGTAATATTTTTGCAAAATTGGACATCCTTCTTCAGAAACAAAAATTGAGTTAAAGGAAAAGTTAACTTTGAAAAGCTGTTTAATACTCCAATGCAAGCAACCAAGAACTAATCATTTTTACAATTAAATATCTTCAATATGTATTTTTATATGAGTCACTAGGGAAGTAGAAGTGCATAGCAACAAGGAGATCAATGGGAGTAAAAAGGAGAAAAAGAAAGGGCAGAGAACTTTGTTAGAAGTAAAAATAAATTAGGTGTCGAATTAAAGCACTTAGATGGAAAATGCACGTTAAAAAAAAATCGTTTGCCTTGACTTATTCTAGAAGTTAAGGAAGAAGTAGGTTGTTTAGAGTTGTACTACCTAATTATCTTAATATTCATTTAAGTTCATCTCCTCACTTTGATATAAGGTTTTTAAAGGATGATACAACAGATATAAGGCGCCCATTCCAGAAACAAGCTATTATCTGCAGTAGGCCCCAGTGTCTTCAGAGCCCCATAATACTATTCTTTGACCCCGACACCAGAGTCAATCCACAAAAGTCAAATTACACCACAGATTTCAGGGAAAAGTTATAATTATGTTCTGTTATGCCAACCTGGCCGTGAAAAATAACTAAAGTATTGGGAAGGAAGGCAGAGGTCAAAAGTGAGCTGTTAAGAGAACAAAATTAGGCATTTACTAAAAAGCTATTCACTAACTCTAAATTAGGAGCGGGAACCACTGCAGGCATGCATGTGTGCAACATTCAATACCTTTTTTTTTTTTTTAATCAAATGGACTCTGAAAAATTTACCCAATTATCTAAATCTTGGCATTCATAGAGTTTTCCCATTGGCCTCTAGCAATGCAATTTTGTTTTGACGTGATTCAGCCTGGAGAAAAATGTGTTCCCATGACACTGGTGTTGATTGCAGCTGTTTGATGATTGTTACAAGTGTATCTCAATGTTCTCTCACAAATGTATGTGATACTGCCAGTTCTGCAGCTCTAGTGTTCAACATACCCGGATGGTGTTTAAATGTTCCTCCATCTGACAGAGTGGTGCTGATGCAATCTGTTAAAAATTGTGACTACTCTGCCAAGTATTTGACAGATTTCTCTGAGAAACCTCCAGGATATCCATCTAGCCTCAACTGACATCCAAGGCTGTCTTGTTGCCAGTGCCTTCATCAAGTGGCATGGATTTCTGACAGGACAATGATCCATAGCAGATTTCTTCTGACTAGAGAAGAAACCCCTCAAATAGAGATAATCACGGCATTTTGTTAAATTAGACTAACTCAACAACATAGGAAGAGAATCAAGGCAAGAGCATAATTTGAAAAGAAGCTTTAGTGATTCTTTCCATATCTGAGACCTAGTTATTCTAAAATAAATGACACTCAAAATTCTTAAACAGAAAACAAGTAAACCACATAATGTTTTTGTTTTCAGAACTTACTTTGATATATGCATTTAAAATAAAATAGATTTCCATTCTTATTTCACAAAACCTGATTCAGAAAACCCCCTTTATTACTGTCGGTTTATAAATGCACTTCTGTATACAATTCTGTGTGTATATCCATGTAAGTTTCAGATGTAAGCCTTTTTCAAACAGATGGTTCTTGCTGTTAAAGTGTATAAATTATGAATTTGACAAAGCAGAGCATTTAAAAACACTACTATAGGAAGGAATCAAATCTTTAGAAAATTAACAAAAATGACATAGAAATAAGCCTTTTTTCATTAACTGATCAATCTAACTATTCAGACTCCAGTCACTAAACAAGAACCATGACTGAAAACAGAGAAGTCTCTTATCTTTGCTTCCTGGCTTTATAGCAAATCCCATGTTTTTGAGTTTTAATTGTTCATCAATGATATGTTTCCAAATTTAATCTACTTCTTGGCAGTAGAATCAGCAAAACATTTGTTCCCTTTCTTCTGGATACGGCTGCAATCAATTGGATGCACAAATGGCATAAAGGATGCTATAGGGAATATCTGCCCCTTCACGAAATGGGATAGATGTTTGGATGATGGTAGTTTCAAAAGAAACAAAACTGAAAGTCAGAGCAAAAAAGTTAATCAAGCCAACACTCTTCAAGTATACAACTGAAAATACATATTTGTCCCAATTCTTAATGATTTAAGTATTCCCACATATTCATAAACTCTGTTAAAGGACATGCCAAAGTTAAAGTCACTGGTAATATAATAACCATTTGTTAAATGGGTAGGTGAGTAGGAACACAAAGAATGATTATACATTGTCATTTATCCATTAAAAGCATTTACAAAATCTGTAAGCCATTAGGATGATAGCTCAGTACTAATGCTGAGAGAATAATTTTGCTTAAAATTCAGATATGTAGGTTTATGATAGTTCGGACTTACTAACTATCCCAAATACTATTTTTGTATCAAATTCCTTATAGTGATAAAAAATTATGAAAAGTGAGAATACAAAAAAAAACAATAAAATTAGAGATAGTTCCCAGAAAAGTAATTGTTTAGTACAATTATAGAAGGAACTCCATAGCTACAGTTGAATAACAGCAACAACCAGAGATGAGGAAGTAATTGTATATCTAGGTGTGAGGAATAAAACAATGAAGTTTCTAGATAACAAACATATGAGGTTATCGGCATGACTTTGGGATAGGAGAGAATTTCTTAAGTGGGAATCATAAATCATTAACTATAAGTAGTAAGAATGATAATTGGATTACAGTATAATTAAGAAATTCTATTCAACAAAAGACACCATTAAGAGAGTAAAAGGCAAACCGAGAGTGGAAGAGATATTTGCAATATAACAAGAGGCTCATTTTCAAGATATATCAAAACACTTACAAATAAAAAAAGACAACCCAACAGAAAAACGGGTAAGAATCATGAACAGGCACTTTTCAAGATATGATATTGAAATGACCAATAAACATTGGAAAAGGTGTTCAACCTTATTGGTCATCAGGGAAATGCAAATTTATACCACAAATTCAAGTCATAACAAACCCACTTGCTCAGCAAAACTTATAATGACTCCAAAAAGATTCCAAGCATTGCTGCAGAATTTTCATACACTGCTAGCGAGAGTATAAAAAACATTTTAAAATCTAGATTGGCATTATCTACTACAGTTGAAGATACTGTGTATTCTGTGGCCCATCAATTCCACTCATGCACCAAATACATGTATTAGGTTGGTGCAAACGTAATTGCAGTTATTGCAATTAGACTATTCTTGATTTTCTTGTATTTTTTTGTAAGTGGTTAATGCCACTTTTAATGGTGAAAGCCACAGTTACTTTTGTACCAACCTAATAAAATAAAGAGTAGCATTGTTTGAAATAGCTAAAGATGGAAAACAATCCAAATGTTCACTAATAGTAAAATGGATAAATAACTTGTGGAGTATTCATGCAATTGAATACTATTGAGCAATGAAAATAAACTACAGCTATTTGCAACAACATAGATGAGTCTTATAAACATAATGTAGAACAAAAAAAGGAGCAAGACAAAAAAGAGCATATACAATATGATAACTTTCATATAAATTTTTTTAAGACAGGGTCTCACCTTGTTGCCCAGGCTGGAGTACCATGGCGTGGTCACAGCTCACTGCAACCTCGACCTCCCAGGCTCAAGCAATCTTCTCACCTCTGCATCCCAAGTAGCTGGGACTACTTGGGATGCATGCCATCCCAAGGTGCGTGCCATCATGCCCACCTAATTTATTTTATATATTTTTGTAGAGACAGGGGTCTTACTATGTAACCCAGGCTGGTTTTGAACTCTTGGGCTCAAATGATCTTCCCACCTGAGGCTCCCAAAATGCTGAGATTACAGGTATGAGTTTCTGTGCCCTGCCCATATAAAGTTTAATATGGGCAAATCTAAACTATAAAATTCTAGGGAGACATATATTAGTGGCAAGTCTATAAAGAAAAGCAAAGAAATAACTATCAGAAAAACCACAATAACAATTACTTCTTGCGGGGAGGGAAGGGGTTATAATCAGATTGGGGCACATAGGGATTTTCTGTGTGGCTGGCAATGTTCTATTTCCTGACTTTGGTGGTAGTTGCATTGAAATTCACTTTATGATTCACTCATCTAACTTCATTTATGTTTTATGGAATTTTAATATGTATATCATATTTCACAATAAAATGTGTTTAAAAGGTAAAAGGCAATTCAGTAAAAGTTGGAAAACTGTGAAGTTTATAAATATACTTCTACAAGATTATTTTCAATTGTGTTAATGTTACGCAAATGGTACTTGTTTTGGAAAAATTGATAGTGGCATACATAGATTCAGAAAGCGGGATCTCAAACTATTTAGCAGAACAGAAGAAGAAATGCTTTAGAAAACCATGATAAATGACCAAAAAGTGGCTGTAACGATGATAGACTGATATCAAAGATATATATGCAGAATTACAATAACGTTATTTCATGAAGTAAAATGCATTTTAATATCTTTTATATGAAATGTGATTTTAACAGTCATGCCTAACCAAATTAATAAATTAAATGTATGTTTAAAAAACCTGATCAAAGATTAAGAAGCCAGCAAGTGGAATTCTATTTTTCACCCATCTCTCTAGTCTAATCTGTTCAAACTTCACTGAAGTAAAAGCCTGCTGCTCTTGTTTCATTTTTAGGCCATCATTGCTCTTATTTTTCCTTGCCTGGAAATCACCCTTTCCCTCCCTGACCCCCAACTCCTCCTTCTCCACCTTTTTCAACTTCAACTGAGACACTGCATCCTCCACTTACTCTACTTACTTATTTTAGCCTTTGCTTCATATTTATATTTACACATATTTTAGCCTTTACTTTATATTTAGTGCTGATCTCACATCACCAAGTAGGTTGTTAGATTTATTTTATATAATTTACTCATACCATACAGAAGTTCTTCTCAACCCAGTAACAGTTCTGAAAGAAGTACCTGGGGAGTTTTATGTTTGTTTAAAATATAGATCCCACAGAATGACACCCAGATTTTCTTATTCAGAAGGTCTGTACTGGAGCTCAAGAATCTTCATTTTTGAAACAGCTCACCATTGATTCTGATATGCAGTCAAGATTGAGAATGGCACCATGGTTCCTAGCATGTGAGTAGACTGAATCATTATACAGGAAGCTAAATAAATGTTTATTACTCGAGTGATGAAACACAGAGTATAATCTGTAGAAGTTTTATTCCTTACCAAATATAGTTTCATAGAATGAATTTATGTTTCATCTTAAAGATGAGCAAACTAACTCATGGAAAGGTTAAGTATTTTGTCCAATGTCATAAAAATAGTGAACTAGTGTCAATTATAGAGCTATAAAAGATTTTCTTAATCCTGCTCAAAGGCTCTTTCTACCACACTAGATTTTTCAATGCCAATGGTGGAATTCCAATGAAATACAGTACTACACAAAATAATTAATTCAAAAATATACTCTAAAAGTTCCATCACTTATCAGGCACATCAAATGTTGCTGCATTTGGTTAGAATGGTCTGTAAATTACCATACCTCTGCCATCTATTAAACATTTTTGCTATGATCTAGTGAGATTTGCCCTTGGAAAAAAATACTTTTTTTTTTCTAGTCAAGTGAAGCAGTGGGAGTGGAGAAGCCTTGGAAAATTTAATGATTAAAACTGATGATAGAATCCTCCTAAACTTGTTATAAAGAATTAGATACATAATATATTTTGCAATGATACCAAATGTTCCAATATTTAATACAGATTTGATAAAATTTTTAAAATATTTTTTAAAAAACGGTATTTTATACTATAAGCCTTTCCTTCTTGCTGATTACTTTTTGAATAGGGAATTTTTATGTCTCTATTCATTATTTCTAATTGCTCTGATATTTTTGCAATCATGTTCTATTTCCTATCCAAAATATTCATTAGTATTAACTAGCACTTCTGATATAACCATTCTTCAACTGAAGATGATGCCACAACAATTTAGATTATGATCTAAAGTAAATTATCATTTTATAAATGGAATATTCACCTGTCCTTCTTTACCTACTCTCCTTTAATTTGCTTATTCCTCACTTCTAATTCATTCCTCTCAATATCATCACCTTTAATAAACACACCCCTCACCTACTTTATGATGACCAACAAGGTGATCTCGTCTTTATAATGCCAAGAGAGTGATGCTAGAATATTATGAGCATAGGCCATAATTTCAAATATTCTGTGATTACTAACAAATTAATTGGCCGAGTAAAACCAATTAAAAATAAATGCTTAACTTATATAGACAAACACACTCAACCATATTTTCATTGCATACAGAAATTAAATAAGATTTTGATTTAAAAACATTTAATTTGTTAGAAACCCATGTGCTAGGAAATTTTAAAACACACATCATATTATATTTAAGAAGTCAGGACTGGAATATTTAAATAAAAGATTTCCTCCAGACTTAACTAGGCTCTCAATTCATTAAGCAGCACATGTTTTACGAATTGTAAAATCAAGCAAATTGATTTTATGTTAAGAATAAGCAATAATAGGTAGTTGATTAATATATGCAAAGAAGTAATCAACCAGTATATACAAGGTATTATGCTAAGTACTATGAGGGATACATAGCCACTTGCCTCCAAGTGGCTAAATAATTACGGGAAAAAATGTATAATGGGATGGATGCTGCTAAGAGATTTTTATTATTATGCAGCCTCCTTTATATCTAGAGCACTGGTTCTCAACCAGGGCCAGTTTTAATACTCCGGGGACCTTTGGCAATATTTACAGACACTTTTAGATGTCACAACTGGAGAATGGGTGGGCATTGCTATACAATGGCTATACAATAGAATGTTGTTAAACATTCTATAATGCACAGAGCAGCCTCACCACCAACAAACAGTTAACAAGCACAAAATGTCAATAGCGTTAAAGTTGAAAAACCCAGATCTAGAGGCGGAGACAGAAAATTACTTTGGGATCAAATTCTTGTTATTAAGGGAAAACTCAGTTGAGCTACCTCCTTTAGTCATATAAATATAAGGCCAGTAGGTACATCAGTAGGCTGAGTATGTCATGTTGCTACATCTGGAATTGCCTTTGGACCTAGTCACCACCATAGAATGACATGCTTTGAGAACAATGAGGAAACACATAGGGGAGGCTAAAAGAGATGTTAGCACTAGCAAACATGTGACTGAGCAAGCGCATCACTGCAGTAGTGTATATTCAATTGGTTGGCAGGACCAACGGGTTATGCAGACTGACAATATGTAGACAGTACTAAAACAGCAAGACTAGTAAATTTTCTAGTTCTTTATATCTACAGTTAAGTATCGCTTAATGACAGGGATACATTCTGAGAGATGCATCCCTAGGTGATGCAGGGACATCATAAAAATGCATTGCTGGGAAATTTTGTCATTGTGCAAACGTCATAGAAAGTACTTTTACAAATCTAGATAGTATAGACTACTACACATCTAGGTTATATTGTATAGCCTGTTGCCCCTGGGCTATAAACCTGTACAGAATGTCACCTACTGAATACTGTAGCCAACTGTAACATAATGGTAAGTATTTATATGTCTAAACATATCTAAACATAGAAAAGAAAAAGTAAAAATGCAGTATTAAAATCTTATGGGACCACTGTTGTATATGTGGTCTGTTATTGACCAAAACGTCATTATGCAGTGCAAGACTGTATTTGGCTTTCGGAAGCAGGAGTGCTTTGATTAGTCGATAGTCTTCATGGATGAATCACTGGAGAAAGAGGCTTCTTGAAGGAGATAATAAACTTTGTATAAAGACAGGTGAGCAATTAAGTATAAGAAAGAAATGTATGGGCCAGGCACGGTGGCTCACGCCTGTAATCCCAGCACTTTGGGAAGCCGAGGCAGGCGGATCATGAGGTCAGGAGTTTGAGGCCACCCTGGCCAACATAGTGAAACCCTATCTCTACTAAAAATACAAACAAATTAGCCGTGCGTGGTGGTGGGCGCCTGTAATCCCAGCTACTTGGGAGGCTGAGGCAGGGAGAATCGCTTGAACCTAGGAGGCGGAGGTTGCAGTGAGCCAAGATCACGCCACTGCACTCCAGCCCGGGCAACAGTACGACACTCTGTCTCAAAAAAAAAAAAAAATAGAAATAAAGAAGTGTATGAAGCATACTGTATTGGTGCACCAAGCTGGCAAAGCAAGTTATATGTTGTTGCAAATGTTGTTGTTGATTCATTAAGAGACTTGGCCATTATACCTATTCCCCACCATTCTGTGAGTGTTGGCTGCTAATAGCTCATAGCTACCTCTGTTCTTGAGATAATTGCCCTTGGCTGACAGAAACTGTGCCACCTGGGATGTTATGCAGTCTGTCTCACTAGGTTATTGGCATAGGGTGCATAACCTCCCAGGGGTACAAAAGGTCTGGGACCCTTGTCTCAGAGAGAGACAATTCTATGCCGAGATTTATGCTCCAGAACTTTTGAATCCCACCCTACTCCACCCCTCAAGACCCTCTCCTGAGGATCAAGTGAAAGCTAGACTTTACCTGAGACCACATCCTTGCTCGTTTTTTTCCCCTTCCCTATCCTGCTTCCCTTTCTTTCTTCAGGTGTTTCATTAAGAGCTTTTGCTCAATAAATTATTTTCATGCCAAATTCCTGTTTGAGACTCTGCTTTTAGGAAAGCTGATTTACAACACACATGAAATCAAGAAACTAAAATAGAATGTAGAATATGACAGTCTGTAGAGAAAGATTCATGTTCTGATCAACTCCCACTTATGAGTGAGACATGGACACGGGGAGGGGAACATCACACACCGGCGCCTGTCAGGGGGTGGGGGGCTAAGGGAGGAATAGCATTAGGAGAAATACCTAATGTAGACAACGGGTTGATGGGTGAAGCAAACCACCATGGAACGTATATACCTATGTAACAAACCTGCACGTTCTGTACATGTACCCCAGAACTTAAAGTATAATAATAATGAAAAAGTTTTTGCAGGAAAGGAGACCAACCAGCCTTGTTGAGGAGCTATTGCCAGAACTTACTGTAAAATGCAAGGACATCCAAGTGGTACAAAGGGCGAATGAAAGTGGATGCTCTGGAGCACCAGCCTGATCCCCTTTAAGAACTGAAGCACTAATTTCCCCACCTGCTGGAAGTGCTGGTAGCTGATGGCCCTCAGCTGAAGAATGTTGACTCACACAAGCTTGTAGCCTCTGCCTGATGGAAACCAGCAGCCAACAGGTGGTCGAATTGAGGGTATAAAAGCCAGCACCTGCCCCCTAATGCTTGCCTCAAAGAAAGGCAACCATGGAGGGTTATCTCAATTGCAGGTTTCCCTGAGCTATGGACTGAAGCATCCATTGCAACTCCTTCACCATTCTATTTCTTCCTCTGTGTAATCATGTTTTTTTTTCAATCCTCACAAGTGTTATTACTGACAGCAATTTCCAATAAAGTTTCTGCCTACAAAAAAAATGATTCATGTTCTGTCATCCTTATGGAGACCGGGCTTGGGGCCCATGCAAGACAGACAGTTAAACATGAGATACTAGCACAAAGCTGGGACCCTTTAAAGGCCGCTTCCTCAGAGAATAGGTAGACTAGACAAACCCTACCCACCAACAGAAGGAGACAATGGGAAGCCTGCCCTTTGGGTAACAAAAAAGAATTTCTACTAGCAAATCCAAACCCCTAGGATTCTACCACACATGAATTTAGAATCCAAATTCATGTTACCTGCATGGCCCAGGGACTTATCATCTGAGAAATCAACATAACCTTTGTCTGGGGTAATACACGGCAGGTAATGATACATGGCAGATGCAAATGCATAAAGCTCTCTGGGGAATTTTTCTCAAGGTATTCCTACAGAAGAAAATGAGTCCAAATAACAATGTGTTCATATGATAAAGAATAAGAGAAGGAGAAGAAGGAAATTGCTTGACCAGCTATCCAGTCTTATAAAGCTATACAAGGGACAGAAAAATACTATAGAACAAAATGGTATCATATAAAGCGACCTGAGAAGTCTGGCTCTTGACCAAAAATCCGATGTGTGATTTTTTTTTTTTTTTTTTGGCCCAACTATCGGCAATTAGAGGCTTTACCTGACAGGCCTTATGAGGAAAAACTGCCCTCCCTACACCAGACTTAGAGCACAGCCAATGCATTGCAGTCTCTGAAGGAAGCTGCAGTAAAGGACCCAACTCAGCCTCCCCTATACCCCCTTTTCAGGAGCCTCTGCCAAAACCTCTTTATTGGGGGGAAGGGAGGATTTTTTTCCACTCTCACTTAATTTTCAATACTTTGCCACTCCTAGCCCTTTTCTCTTGCCCTCCCCTCAGTTCTTGGTTTCAGAAAGCAGGAGCCTTTTGTTTATGGCTCACTTAACAGTGAGAGGAGCCCCATGTCTGTGCCGATCCATCTGAACCTCGACTAGCACTAGCACACTATCACAAGGGGAAAAATAGAACAGGGTGCTTTCTCGGGTTTAACCTCTTGCTTATCTAGTCTTGACTGTTAACTTTTGTTTTGGCTTAAGGTTTTAATCAGCTACTCCAAGACTTAACAACTCAGCTTTCTCCAACTCAGCTGAGGTCCTGACAAGACCTAGATAAGTGTATAACACCTATCTTGGTATATAACTAAAGTTACATTATAACTCAGTGAGGAAAGGATGAATTAGTCATTAAACTATGCTGTGACAATTGGTTCTCCATAGGAGAAATGAGACAAAGTTAGATCCCTACTTCAAGTGATGGGCTGGGAAACGTTTAACAACCAGCTTCCTGGGACAGGATTGGAAACCTTATTTGTAGCACTTGCCAATTTCTGTGGTGTAAAGACTTTCACCATGGGTAATCAAGCTACCTATGTGATGTCATGGAATGCAGAGTTGGGAACAGATGCATTTAATTATCTCTAGCAAGCTGATTCTAGTACAACACTACTGCCCTCCACAATACACAAACATAAGCTGCAGATAGAGTGTATATTTAAACATGAAAAGAAAATTTTAAAACTTATAGAAATAAACAGATAAGTCTATATCATAAGTGGATAAGGAAGAAATTCATAGTAAGACAAAAATAAGTACAAACTTCTTTCACACTATTAGGACACATTGATAATAATAAAAATGTACTTATGTTTTCCGACTTGAAGTGTTCTATATTATTTTAGATCACCAAGGGAAACATAGTATTTATATAATACGAATGAATGAAGACAGATTTGTTTGAATGCACAGCTTTAGCTTCACACGTATAACAGATAGGTATGCTGTTGTTTAGAAGATGATCTTCAAAAGTCAAAAAGTTTACAGTGAGAAACACCTCACTGTAAAAGCCTTATTCTTGCTGCATTTTATTCAAGCTCATTTCTCACTACATTCACAAGAACTGGAATTCATGCCCATCCTGCAGTCAGTAAATGTCTCTCTTAAATTTCAATCAATGGCAGAAGGGTGTAGAATAAGAAAAAAAAAATCAGTTTCTGTAACTAATAAGATGATAATTTTTAGTGTAGAGTTATAATATTGTAAAAATTATTTCAATAATTAGTATATTTTATACATTAAAAGTATTATTCATTAAATTCATTTTATTATCACATTAAGTGACTTTAATACCTAAATGATGAAATGCATTAATAATCAGTTATGAACATAATCATAATAAATAACACTAACAACTAAAGTAACCAATAAACATTATAAGTCCTATGAACAAAATAGTTGGGTTCCAAACTTCCCCAAAAAGTTCCTCCTTTTGCTTTACTTACTATAAGCAATTGTACATTATTTAAGTATATGATTATTAGCACATATAAAGTATTTCATGGTAAGCCATCTAGTAGTGTCAAAAGTAAGTGAAAGAATGGAGAAAAGTGTTGAGTTTGCTGTAAAAGGAAATAAAAAATTATAAATAAGGCCACATTTTAGATGCACTGTCATTTTTAGTTCTATTTGATTCTATCCTCACAGTTACATAGAGCAGAGCCATAATTGAGAGAAACCACTTTATCCTTCTCTTCATTCTTGATTGAAGAAGAAAATCATTGAAACATAACCAATATCCTTTGCAAGTTCACGAGCTAGGACATTTTTCTGCCTTCCTTTTGCAGACTCATATTAAATGGATATAAAGGGTCCTGGGTCAGTCTAGAGTTTACCACCATGGTTCACAAACATGTCTGTGCATAAATATCTTAGGTACTTATTTAAAATATAGACTCCTGGGCCTCACACAAGTTATACTGATGTAGTATATAGTATCTAGAGATTGGTATGTTCAGTACTTGCCGTCCTCCAAAATTATTCTGATTTAGCCCATCTATAGATAGACTAGCATTTCAAAATTACTCCTAGAATTTCCTGGGAAATATTTATGTGTTTTAGGTAGGGGATTAAGGGCTGGACATGTTTATGTATTCATCTCAAAAAGTGGGAGCAAAAGAATATATGGTAGATATGTGGTTTTCATGTATAAACTCAAAAGTATCTTTGTTGTAATTGGGCTTATGGGCCAAAGAACAAAATTGAAGATTAGTATTCTTATGGGTTTACAATATTCCATATACCGTTGTCCAAGTGAATGTCATGGGCATTCCAGCCATTCAACCATCTAATTATCCACTAGGTATTATCTATTTTACCTTATAAATAACCTGTTATGTCTGTCCATTTTTCTTTTTGTTTATTGATACATAATGTTGTACCTACTTTGAGGATACATGTGGTATTTTGATACATGCATAGAGTGTGTAATGATCAAACCAGGGTAATGAGGACATCCATCACACTAAACATTCACTTCTTTATGTTGGGAATATTTTAATTCCTCTCCTCTAGCAATTTTGAACTGTACAACAAATTATTGTTAACTACAGTCATTCTATTATATTATCAAACACTAGATCTTATTCCTTCCGTATATCAGTATCTCTGTACACTTTAACCAATCTCTTTAATTCCTTTCATCCACTCAATCCTTCCCAGCCTCTGGTGATCACCAATCAAATGTCTACCTCCATGAGATCCACTTTTTTAGCTCCCACGTATGCTTTGAGAACATGAGGTATTTGTCTTTCAGAGCCTGGCTTATTTCACATAATACAACGACCTAGGTTGGAAAGTTTTCTGTTATTACATCTTTGAACAAGCTTTCTACTCTTCCTCAACTCCCTCTTGAACACTTTTTAATTTGCTCTTTTGTAGTTATTCCCTATATTGTGTTGGCATTATTTGTACTTTTTCATTCTTTTTCTTTTTTCTCCTCTGACTGTGTATTTTCAAATACAAAGTCTGTCTTCAGGCTTACTGATTCTTTCTTCTGCTTAATTCACTCTACTGTTGAAAACCACCAATGTATTCTTCAGTTCAGTATATGTATTTCGCAGCTCCAGGATTTCCATTTGATATTTTAAATTATTATTTCAATCTCTTTGTTAAATTCTTCTGATAAATTTGTGAATTATTCTTCTATGTTGCCTTGGAGTTCAGAGTTTCCTTAGGACTGCTATTTCAAATTCTTGATCTAAGAGTTCATATATCACCATCTCATTAGGTCATGGTTTCCTGTTTGCTGTCATTTCCTTTTGATGTGTCTATTATTTTGCATTAAAGGATTAGTTATTTATGCGAGTCTTCATTTTCTGGCTTGTTTTGATCTTCCTAGGCTGTGTTTGTTTGAGATGTTCTTTGCAGTTGCCTATTGAGGTCCCTTAATTCTTGATCACTGCCTCCTTTTTGTGCTGTCTGTGCAATTGATCCTGATTGTCAGTGAGAAATTCAGTTGCTTCTCCTCAAAATAGAGAAAATGTCTGGAAACCAGAGGATTTTATAGAGTGCCCATTAGTACTTCTATATTCAGTGGCTAAAATTAGTTGAAAATAACTAAAAGCCAATGCCAGCACCACCACTAAGAGCTGAGATTCTTCAGAAACGAAGCCATGTCTTACCATACCAGCAAATAACCATGGTCAGCAGAAGATATCCTTCAAGGCAAATGAATATGAAATGAAGAGTAAAGAAAGTTCTAAATTCCAACTATGAGTTGCAGAAATGAGGACTGCAGTAGACATATTCTCATCCTTGCTTTCTTTGTATATATTTGTATAATGAACAAATATCTTTTTTAAAATGTTGCCTCCCTCCTTCCCTTATTATATGAAGACATATTAGTGGTCACTAATCTTATAGTCTTTAGGCTACAGGATACCTAAAGTAGCATATGGCTACACTAGAAGAAAAATTAATATCCTCCAGAGATAGACACAGTGACAGATAGGACTTTGGGTCTCCCTTTATTTGCATTAAAGACAGTTGCAAAAGGTTAGGTATAATACATGTTTGCTATTGTTGCGGAAGTGTGTATATGGATTCTATTTGCTGACGAAGAGGACTTAATGAATGTTTTATGATGACTTTTGGCAACTGTTATATTACCTTCTATGTTCTCCCCTCCACTGTAAGAGCTGGAAACATTGGAACTACATTTTCCAGATTACCAAGCCTCTATCTTTTTACATATGCATTTTATATTTTAAAAATGAGATGTTTTCACATATAATTTGGACAAAGAGTGGCAAAATCCATCTTCTTCCTCTGATAGTAGTGGTAGACAGAGGTCTGGGCATCCCAGATATGAGAGTTTTTTAAAGTCATTTCTGTATTCTCCTGCTGTTTACTCTTCTTGGGATTAAAGAAGAGCTATGAAGTCTTTCAGAAGATTCTTTTTATTTCCTAATTCCGTGTGGTAGCAACTCTAATTCTTTGTGACAGTGAGCTTGAAAGCTGGTAACGTGACCTGAGACACTCAGTCCTCCACCTTTCCAACAATTTTGTATATATTAATTATGTCAAAATTTTTTGACTACATAATGGCCTGATAAAAAACTTGGTCCCAGGAAAATCTTTTGTATCCACTACAGTTTTCCAATAGTTATATAATGACAAGACATAGTCTCTGAGTGTCTCCTTTCCTTCCACTAGACTTGAATCAATACTATGATTTTGTACATTGTCTTCTTGGGTCCCAAGTTCTTTATCTTCCTCTGTTAAGAAAACTCATCAACCTTTCGGGTTAATTCAGGGATAGTAAACAGGTAGTATTGGCATTTTTAAAAAGTTAAAAATAATTCAGAAACACTGCACTGAGCATAATACTATTTAGTTCTAATTTTAAATGTTTTCAAGTTATCAGGTAGGAGGTGAAAAGTTATTGTGGCATATTATTTATTTTGTCTAACATCACATTTCTATTTAATCATCTAATTTTGTAATTAAGGTTCTCTGTGATATAGTTATGCAATTAATGATAGTTACAGTATTTAAAATATTCGAGTAAACCTAACTGTATAACTTTACGTGGAATCTTTAGACCTTTATTATACTGATGCTTACACTTTTATTTAATTGATCGTTGCCCTATCCAGAGTCCTCTTACTTCAGGTGTGAGTACTATTGTGCCTTGTCAACAGCATATACATAATGCACAGCTATGACCTTTTCCCTTATTTTCTTTTTCACATAATTTCTATTTCAGGATAAATATTAATCATATCAGGCAATAAGTTTTTAAAGATGACTATCCTACTCTCAGGAGGATTAAGGCACTGAATCTTTGGCTTTTTTCCATTATACAACCTATCTGGGTCTCAAAGAACTAAAGTGACGGTTTATGATTGTTATACCGACTGTCCCCCAGTTGGTCATTTTCCACAACCATCCTAATCAAACAAATAATAGGCCTTATTTTTAATTAAATGTACAAAGTTAAATAAGGAATTCAAATAATAGCAGCTATTATTTACTAGCTTCTATTTCAAATAAAATTCTGTGTTAAGTGTTTTGTATACCTTTATGTTTTTCACAAAAGGCCTTTGAAGAAGACATAATTATTTATAATTTATATACTAATAAATTCAGGTAAAATTATGTTAAATTACTGTTTAAGTAATTGGGATTAGAATCCAGATCCATCTTAAGTCAAATCACTGCCCTTTACAAAATATGATACTATACTGCTTTAAAAAGTCAATTTATAGTATTATAAGCCATGCTGATGAAATGAAGACCTAATATAATCAGTTTCACAACTGATTTAAATGAGACTATAAATAACAATTGTATAACTTTACATGATTTTAAATACTACATTATTAGAGTCAATATTGTCTAGTTTTCAGTATCTAAATCCATGAAAATATATAGTGAGAGTCGCTTACTTATGTCCGCTTTTCACACGTGAAATGACCACTTGCATCAGATATGAAGTGATTCTTAATAACGTTTGAAAACATTCTTACTAACATTTGAAAATATTTGCTCAAGACGCATATATTCAGCTGCTTATGTGCCACTTCTACGTTCCTTATCTGTTATAAAACTTATAACTATTTGTTACTGTTCAATCTCACAAAATACAGAACTCAAAGGATGGAAAGCAAAATCCAGGAAATGGATACAGCTGTAGATGTGCTAACATAGCAGGTAGAGGGCTCCAGAAAGAGCAAATATTTTCTATTGGGGAGGAGAGATTCTCACTTTAAGACATGGTTGCTCAGAGTGAGGATCACTGAGGAAAAAAGAAAAATAAATAAATAATAAAAATAAATAAAACATGGTTGCATGATTCAGAAGCATTTCTAGTTTTTTGTTCCTCTTTTTCCTCTAATTTATCCCTCCAGTCACTTGTGGTAATAGTGATGTTGCTTTAATGATGTGTAAATGGCCCCAGAGAGCTTCCTTATGAAATGACAATGAAGTTTTTCTTAAATCTAGACTTCCTTTGGCTTCAGGTTTTCCCATATCCAATAATCAGAATAATCATCATTTACCAACTTCATGAGGTACACACCTTCTGAATCAGTCAGGACTTTTACTGTTGTAAGCAACAGAAAACAATTCAAATTCTTTAAACAAACAAAAAATAAATTATTGGTTCATGTAAAGGAAAGTCTAAAGGTAGGATGAGCCTCAGCTGTGATTTGGTCAGTGATGCTCTCAGCTCTGGCCCTTTTGGTGCGCTGCCTTTGTCCTCAGGCTGGCTTACTTTGGTGGTGAGATAACTACTGCAATTTCAGGCTTCACAATGCATAGCATGCTTTCCAGAACAACAACAACAAAAATACTCTTCTGTCACAGCATTTTACCCTGATTGAGCCACCTTAGGTTACATGCCCTGAACAAAGCATTCTAGACAGAGGGTAGAAAAATTGTGATTGACTTAAACTGAAGATGGGATCTGCTTTGCTGAAAGCAGAAAAACTTCATGAGGAATGAGTTTGGGTCCAGAAATCTGTATTCTGAGTCCTGTTTTACTGATTCAAACTGGGTGTCTTTGTATTTCCTAGTAATGCATTCAACCATACTCGAGCTGTCTGGTATGAAAGTCAACCTCATATAGGATTCTAGTTTTATATATGTTTACCTTCTTGATTACATTCCTATCCAGGTTGATTTTTCATTGAAAATTTCCCTCAAACTATAGAATGCCATCATTTGAGGCACCAAACATCCAATGACTTCAATCAAAATCATCATAGTCAAAACTACAACAAGATGACACTCTTTCTTTTTTTACTTTCATTCTTGCTTGGCATCTAACTTCTGTTGTAATGACCTTTCTCAAAAACCAAACATCCTCCAACACCCAACAGAAAAATCAGTCATTTTTTTTTGTTTTTAGGAATAATTGTTTTCTGGATCCTTTCTGCAATAACAATGAAGAAAAAAGGTTTTGATTGCAAGGTAATCACATATGTTATGGTTGCTTTAAAAAGGACATGAAAGATAGCTTTTGTGAGAGTCCTTCATAAAGATATTGCCTTTTCTATTTATTTTAAAATAATACTGGTTGTTTATAATTGAATTTTAGCATGATCAGAATGGTGTAAATAAGGTAATATGTATCTCTACCCTTCTTTTTAACTGCAATGTTGTAATCCATTTAAAAATTGGGCTACTTCATTTTACAGTATTTAAAAAGTGATTGTAGTATAGGCAGAAGATCATCTAATATAAATTCAACACTCCAGTTTAGGGATATAGAATGACTAATTTGTGTCATATAAGGGGCCTTAAAGAATAACTAGTCATGATGAAAATAAACAAGAAGGATAAGTAAATAAGAGCATTATTATGCAGACATTTATGAACCATTAAGCATAATCATAGCTAAGGAAATAGCTTTCTGTTTGCTAGAGATAACCACTCTGAACTAGGATACATAATACTTTCAATGACTAATACAAGAATATTTATATTACAAGCAGAGTGAAATGCAATATCTATGTACAATATGATATGAGAAGCAAATAATAACAATGTCTTTTACTAATGGACTTCTGATTAATCAAAAAAGATGATTGAATAATAATCTTTAAAGATATATTCTAAGGATACACATTTCAAAAGTATATTTTATAAAATGTGTTTTTTCATTGAAAAATCTCAACGTTTACAGACTGTCACCATTTCATGCACCAAATACCCAATGACTTCAATCAGAATCATCATAGTCAAAACTGTAGTAGGATGACTCTCATTCTTTTTTTTCTTGACATTAAATTTAATGACTATCAACTCAAAGGCAATAAATAATCATACTGTATGTAGCTACAAAATATAGACAATATGTAAAGATATACTAATTTTGAAATTATTTTGCATATTTATTATGTCTATATAAAATGTGCAAATATGTTTAAAATGCAACACTAAATATAACCATGAATGGATTTATTTTTGAGAACAACAATGATCTTAGTAGCACTATCCTTTAAGAGAATAACATGCTAAAAGAACTATATCCAGATTTAAAAATATAACAATCATAATAACTTTACATTACTTTGTTTTTTAAAAAGTAATGAGCTATTTCTAGACAGTAAAGAGTTTTTCATAGTATTTATTAATTAAAATTTTTCCCACCAAAGGCATCCTGAATAATTTTATTTAATGGGAATTTAACCAAGTAAATGATGACAAAATATAACTCATTCAGAAATGGAATTATTATTTAAGTTCACAAGAAGTACATAATGATCATTTCCACTCTTATCTCCTAGTCATCCAAACAAATGAGAGTCCATTTAAAGGTGGTCACCTTGTTAATCTGGTGTCAGAGAAAATTTTTTCCTGAAAAAAATTCTGCTTTGGGCAGAATGCTGTACATTGACACAAATAAAACATTTTAATTGATGAAACTGACTATGTTTTAACACTACAGTTTTACTTGGTAAATATGTAACCTCTCAAGAGAAATAGTCTGAGGTTTTTAAGGATACTTTTAGTTTACTGCATCTTTCAAAATATTTGTACTAAAACCTAAACATTAACCTGACACGTCAGAATACTTACAAGAACTTGTGATATGAGACAATGACGGAAAATAGATGTCTTAAATAAAGAGGAACTTTTAAACTTAATCATTAGTTCAACGGTATTTCTGGAGTACTTGATAGATGCCAAGCTGTATTAATGATACAGAACTATCATCATCGTCATCATGATCATCATCATAGCTAACATTTATCGTGTCTTTATATATACAAGTACTCTGCTGTAGGTTTTGTTGTTGTTATTATGTCTGGTTTTTTCTTATTTCATTTAATCTTTTATTTTCTCCCCTATCTGTATAAAAGATAATACTTAGATTATTAATAGGTTTTACTATTATTATAGAAAATTCAGAAATAACTTGTTCACAGCTATATAGTAATTGCTGAAGCCTTTATTTAAATCCAGGAAATGTTATTCCAAAGCATGATATTTGAACTACTAAACTACAGTTGCTTATTACCAAGAATCCTACAATCTATATGGGAGACAGTACATACACACACCCGCTTGCTTGAATTTAAGGTTTTTTTTTTCTATCCTATAATACTCCTACTCAAGCAGTTGCTGATACCTAGAATATATATCTCAAAGCTGTCTACTTCTCTGTGTCTCCACCACCATCATCCTGACCAAACGATCTCTATCTGATCTACTGACATAGACTTATAACTAGTGTCCTTGTTTCTACCTGTGTCTTTTTAGCCCAAAAGTCAGCATCTTATTTAATGAGAAAACACTAGAGTCATTCCAACTAAAATACAAAATAATGCAAAGATGTTGATATGGTTTGGCTGTGTCCCCATCCAAATCTCATCTTGAATTGTAGTTCCCATGATCCCCATGTGTCATGGGAGGGCCCTGGTAGCAAGTAATTGAATCATGGAGATGCCAACCCGCATGCTGCACTTCTCATGATAGTGAGTGAGCTCTCAGAAGATCTGATGGTTTTATGAGGGACTTTTCCCCCTTTTTGCTCTGTACTTCTCTCTCCTGCTGCCATATGAAGGACATGTTTTCTTCCCCTTCTGCCAAGATTGTAAGTTTCCTGAGGCCTCCCCAGCCATGCAGAACTGTGAGCCAATTAAAACTCTTTTCTATATAAATTACCCAGTCTCGGGTATGTATTTATTAGTAGGGTGAGAAGAGACTAATACAAATGCTCACTATCTCCTCTATTCTTCAGTATTGGACAGAGATATCACTCAATGCAATTAGAAAAGATAAATTAATTAAAGGTAGTGAGAACTACAAGAATAAAAACTATGATATGATAGTATATCTGAAAAAAAATTAGAGATTCAAAACTAAAAGTAACAAAATAATTCAGTAAGGTAGCAAGATGTAAAATCATTATACAGAAGTCAATAGGCTTTACAAATAAAAACAATAATAGCTAGAAAATGTAATGGTATAAAAATCCCCATTTACAGGAAAAACAAAAATATGAAACACCTAAGAATAGGATTAATAGAAAATGTGGAAAGCCTATATGAGGAAATTTTTAAAATACTCTTGAAAGATATAATGAAATACCTCAAACAAAGAGATAAAGATTCCTTTTTCTTGGATAGGTTGACTCTATATGATAAAACGTCAGTTCTCTCTATAAGTTCCTTTATATATTTAGAACAATCCCAATACAAATATCAGCAATTTTTTTCGTGGATCCAAACATGTTGATACTAAAGTTTATATGGAAAAACAAAATCAAAATATCAACAGTAAACACTGAAAATAGAAACTTACAAGGTAAGATCAGCCTACCATACATTAAGTCATATCATAGATTTCTATTATTAAACCCGTACAGTATTCATGCATGAATAGACCAACAATCCAGTGCAATAGAATAGGGTGTCCAGAAATAGACCAAAGTACACATGGAAATTTAGTATATAATAATGTAGGCATCTCAAATCACTGGGATAAAGATAGACTTTTTTTTAATGGTGTGGGAACAACCAGTCAGCCATTTTAGAAGAAGACAAAAAGTCTATTTCCGAATAACAAATTCCGAATGGATCAGGGGTTTAAATATAAAAAATAAAACTATACAGGTACTAGAATAAAATCTGAATATAGGGAAAAAATGTCCACCTATGACTCAAATCCAGACTGAATAAAAGAAAAGATCAATAAATTTGTTAATACAAAAATTTTAAAGCCATCAAAAAGCTCCAGGCCCAGAATCAAAGGATAACTCACAAACTAGGAGAAAATTTTCAACATATATCACAATTAAAGGGCTAATAGCTCTACCTTTATAACAACTCCTAAAAGTTGAAGAAAAAATCCAAAAATCCAATTGAAAATGGGCAAAAGTCATGAATAGACAAGTCACTATATCTATATCTATAACTATCTCTCTCTCTCTCTCTCTATATATATATATACATATATACATACATCCCTTAAACATATGAACAGAAGTTCAACCTTATTCATCATTACAGAAATGCAAATTATAAGTACATTGTTATATTATACTTCACCTACGTGACTGGCAAAAATTATAAATTACAACAATACATTTTACCGGTGAACTGTAGGAAAACCATCATTCTCATATATTGTGGGTGGGAATGCAAACTCATCCAACATCTATGGAAGGGAACTCAGTAATGTCTAATGAGCGCTACATATGCATTTATCTTCTGATCCAGCAACCCAACATCTAGAACTTTACCCTGAAGATATAATTCCGGAAACAGGAAAATGCATATGCATAAGGTTCTTCCTTGCAGTGTTGTATGCAACTGTAAAATATTGGAAACAATCTAAATGGCTATACCTAGAAAACTATGGCAGAGCCACATAATAGAATATTATGTAAAGTGCAAAGGTATGCTAGTTTTTGCTTAAGGAAAAGGGGGAAATAAAACAATGTATATCTACTCAGTTACACCAAAGGAAACATAAGAAGGACAAATCGGAAACAAATGAGATTTGTTACCTCTAGATAGTGCATGAGAATGAAGTGGAAAGGGTGGGAGAGTGAGAATGGGATAGAAGATAACACTTCTCTCCCATGTAGTTTTGCTTACAGCTCTGAAATCATATCAACATTTCACATATTTAGAAAGTAAAACCAATCAGGATGGGGAAAATAAAAACAAAAGGAAATATAAACAAACAGAATAAAAGAGAACTTACTGGTATTTCAAATAAATAACATCCTCAGACTGAAGGGGAGCAAAAAAAAAAATAACCCAATTAACCTATTAACATAGTATTTTGGCTATACACCTCTGGGCTGTAGACACACACACACACACACACACACACACACACACACACACACACACACACTGGACACTAAGTTAAAAGGGTTGTTGTTTTTCCCAGTGCTATGGGTTAACAATTCTCAAACTGTGTGTGTGTGTGTGTGTGTGTGTGTGTGTATCTTGTGTGTGTATCTTGTAGGATTGAGCAACAAGTGGAATGTATTGCAGAGAAATGGAGATAGATTTGTTACTTTTGGAGAAGTGAGTTACAAATCTGGAAAGAGTGGAGGTTAGAATGAGTTTTGTGGTTTTATATCAGAATTGGAGACAACAGTATGAACTCATGGTTTTTCAGATAGATAGGTAGGCACATATGCATATATGTGTGTGCGCGCACACACACACACACACACACACACTTTCTAGGTCTATCAGGAGGACCTAAAGCAATGGCACCCCAGAAGCAATGAGTACCTAGTGTCCAAATGTTGGTCTCTAAATATTAGTTTCCAAGACTTCTTAATGCAGGACGATTTGAGCATTAAATAAATAATGACAACAAGGATTAATAACCCATAGATTAAAATAAGAATACTTATATACAAAAATGAATAAATGGATGAGTAGGGAAAGCTGTTATTGAAATAGTAAATGACAATTAGTAAGTGCAAAAGGAATTATAGATTTATAAAATTACTAATAGCATTTGTCTCCACCTTTGGAAGTAATAATTCAGACAAGAATCATCAATGGATTATAAATCTAGTGGGTGCATGTTTAATGAAAACCAGCATATTAAATCATCTTAAAGTATCTCTCCAAAATATTGATTACAAAAACTATAGCAACTTCAGAATTGGGAAACTTGCCTGATACCGTCATATCCAAGTTACCAAGGTTAACATCATTTCTAATGGTGCCATCTGATAGGATGCATTGAAACACATAATAACACTTCTCTGGTATCCCCGCCAAAGATGCATAAACCGAATATAATCATGAGGAAACAACAAACACACCCAAACTGAGAGACAAAATGACTGGCTAACATTCTTTTTTTTTTTTTTTTTTTGAGGTATGTTTTATTTTATTTTATTTTTTTTTGCATTGTGGGTTTATTTATTTATTTATTTACTTATTTATTTATTTATTTTATTGATCATTCTTGGGTGTTTCTCACAGAGGGGGATTTGGCAGGGTCATAGGACAATAGTAGAGGGAAGGTCAGCAGATAAACAAGTGAACAAAGGTCTCTGGTTTTCCTAGGCGGAGGACCCTGCGGCCTTCCGCAGTGTTTGTGTCCCTGGGTACTTGAGATTAGGGAGTGGTGATGATTCTTAACGAGCATGCTGCCTTCAAGCTTCTGTTTAACAAAGCACCTCTTACACCGCCCTTAATCCATTTAACCCTGAGTGGACACAGCACATGTTTCAGAGAGCACAGGGTTGGGGGTAAGGTCACAGATCAACAGGATCCCAAGGCCGAAGAATTTTTCTTAGTACAGAACAAAATGAAAAGTTTCCCATGTCTACTTCTTTCTAGACAGACACGGCAACCATCCGATTTCTCAATCTTTTCCCCACATTCCCCCCTTTCTATTCCACAAAACCGCCATTGTCATCATGGCCCGTTCTCAATGAGCTGTTGGGTACACCTCCCAGACGGGGTGGCGGCCGGGCAGAGGGGCTCCTCACTTCCTAGTAGGGGCGGCCGGGCAGAGGCGCCCCTCACCTCCCGGACGGGGCGGCTGGCCGGGCGGGGGGCTGACCCCCCCACCTCCCTCCCAGACGGGGTGGCTGGCCGGGCGTGGGGCTGACCCCCCAACCTCTCTCCCGGATGGGGCGGCTGGCCGGGCAGAGGGGCTCCTCACTTCCCAGTAGGGGCGGCTGGGCAGAGATGCCCCTCACCTCCCGGACGGGACGGCTGGCTGGGCAGGGGGCTGACCCCCCCACCTCCCTCCCGGACGGGGTGGCTGGCCGGGCGGGGGGCTGACCCCCCCACCTCCCTCCCGGACTGGGTGGCTGCCGGGCGGAGACGCTCCTCACTTCCCAGACGGGGTGGTTGCTGGGCGGAGGGGCTCCTCACTTCTCAGACGGGGTGGCTGCCAGGCAGAGGGGCTCCTCACTTCTCAGATGGGGAGGTTGCCAGGCAGAGGGTCTCCTCACTTCTCAGACGGGGTGGCCAAAAATATCAAGATGATGGAAAACCTGGGACAAAATGTCTTCACCATGACTGAAGAACACTTTTTGAGTAAAGAGAACTAGAGAGACAATTAAATGCAATGTGTGATGCTGGATTGGTGTTTTTTTTTTTCTGCTGCTGTAAATATCATTGGCGAAATTTTAATAAGGTGTAAAGATTAGACACCAGCATTGTATCAGCATTTATTTCCTGATTTTGGCAATTCTACTGTGGTTATTTAAGTGAATGTCTTTCTTTTTAAGAAATAAACACTGTAGTATTTAGGAGTCAGAGGGGATCCTGTCCATTTATCATCAAACAAATTTTAAAAAGACAGTACGTATCTACAGAGAGAATGATCAAGTAAAATTTGGTATTATGTTAACATTCAAAAAATTTGGGTGAATGACTATTCAGACATCTTTGGTACTATTCTCACAACTTTTCTGTGAATATAAAATATTTAAAAGTTGAAAGTTAAAAAGAAAAATATATTGTATTTAAAATGGAGTAATAGATAAAAATGGCAAAATGTTGATATTTGATGACAGCTGATAGCTTCATGTGTATCATTAGATTGTTCCCTTTTGTGTATATTTGAAGTTTTCAATAATAAAATATTATAAAAGCCTATAATTAATTGGATTCAGAAGTCTCAACTAACTAAAGTATGGAAAAACATGTAGAACTTTTTTTTCCAGAAACGGATACCTACTTTTCTCTGCAGCATCTACTGCCTTTTGGGTACTGGGGGATAATTTATTCTAATTTCATAACTTCTCAGACATTTTTATTATTAAACGACTCTAATTTCAGGTTAATGTTTAATAACTTTAGGTATTATCATCTATCATCATTACTTCAACTTCCTCTTCCTTCCTCAGGTCTCTCTACAACTGCATTAGTCATCCGATCAGGGATGTTGAAAGCATGTAACCTGTTTTTCCTCATCTCTCTCTTCCTCCTCATTCCTCCCCTATTCTTTGTCCACCTTGCAAGCAATGGCTGTGGAGAAGGTATATAATTGCTTAGGAGATTATCTGTATCCAGTGATCACATAAGCTATTTCAAAATACAATTAAGACTTGTGGGAATTTGTTGTCAATTTTTAATTTTTTGGGTACATAGTAGGTGTATGTATTTACGGAGTGCATGAGAAATTTTGATATGGGCCTGCAATTTGAAACAATCATGTCATGGAGAATGGGGTATCTGTCTCCTCAAGCACTTATCACACATTGAGTTACAAACAATCCAATTAAATTCTTTTAGTTATTTTTAAATGTATAATTAAGTTGTTTTTGACTATAGTCACCCTGTTGTGCTATCAAATAGTAGGTGTTACTCAATTCTTCTGGCTTTTATTTGTACCCATTAACCATCTCCACCTGTCCCCCAGTCCTCTAATAAGCTTCCCAGCCTCTGGTAATCATCTTTCTACTCTATCTCCATGAGTTCAATTGTTTTGATTTTTAGATCCCACAGATAAGTGAGAACAAGGAATGTTTGTCTTGCTGTGGCTGGCTTATTTCACTTAACATAATGACCTCCATTTCCATCCATGTTATTGCAAGGGAATGGGTCTCATTCTCCATTGTGTATATGTACCACATTTTCCTTATCCATAAAAAACAGAAATACAGATATCTCTTTGATATACTGATTTCCTTTCTTTGGGGTATATACCTAGTGGTAGGATTACTGGATCATATGGTAGCTCAATTTTTTGCTTTTTTGAGAACCCCCAAACTGTTCTCCATAGTGATTGTACTAATTTACACTCCCACCTACAGTGTATGAGCATTCCTCTTTCTCCACATCCTCACCAGCATTTGTTATTGCCTGTCTTTTGGATATAAGTAATTTTAATTGGGGTGAGATGATATCTCATTGTCGTTTTGATTTGCATTTCTCTGATGATAAATGATGTTGAGCACATTTTCATATGCTTGTCACTTGTATGTCTTCTTTTGAGAAATATCTATTCAAATCTTTTGCCCATTTTTCGATAAGATTAGATTTTTTGCAATAGAATTGTTTGAGCTCCTTATATATTCTGGTAATAAATCCCTTGTCAGATGGGTAGGGTGCAAACATTTTCTCCCATTCTGAGGGGTTGCCTTTTCACTTGGTTGATGTTTCCTTTGCTGTGCAGAAGCATTTTAACTTGCTGTCATCCCATTAGTGCATTTTTGCTTTGGTTTCCTGTGTCGGTAGGGTACTGCTCAAGAAATCTTTACCCAGACCAATGTCCTGGAAAATTTCCCCAAAGTTTTATTGTAGCAGTTTCATAGTTTGAGGTCTGAGATTTAAGTCTTTAACCAGTTTGATTTAATTTTTGTATATGCCAAGAGATAGGGGTCTAGTTTCATTCTTCTGCATATGGATATCCAGTTTTCCCTGCACCATTTATTGAAGAGATTGTCTTTTCCCCAGTGTATGTTCTCGGCACTTTTGTCAAAAGTGAGTTTACTATGAGTGTGTGAATTTGTTTTTGGGTTCTCTATTCTGTTCCATTGGTGTATGTGTCTGCTTTTACACCAGTACCATGCTATTTTGCTTACTATGGCTCTGCACTATAATTTGAAGTCAGGTGATGTGATTCCTCCAGTTTTGCCCTTTTGGCTTAGGATAGCTTTGTCTCTTCTAGGCATTCTGTGGCTCCGTATAAATTTTAGGACTGTTTTTTCTATTTCTGTGAAGAACGGCATTGGTATCTTGATAGGGATTGTATTGAATCTGCAGATTGCTTTGGATAGTATGGACATTTTGACAATATTTATTCTTCCAATCCATGAACATGAAATGTTTTTCCATTATTTGGTGTCCTCTTCAATTTCTTTCAACAGTGTTTTATAGTTTTCATTATAGAGATTTTTCACTTCTTTGGTTAAGTTAATTTCTAGGTATTTAATTTTATGTGTGGCTATTGTAAATCATAATTTTTATTTCTTTTTCACATTGCACACCATTGGCATATACAAATGCTACTGATTTTGCGTGTTTGTTTTGTATCCTACAACTTTAATGAATTTTTTAGTTCTAACAGTTTTTTTGTAGAGTCTTTAGGTTTTTTTTCAAACATAAGATTATATATATCATCTGAAAACAAAGATAATTTGACTTCTTCCATTCCAATCTGAACACAGTTTATTTCTTTCTCTTGTCTGATTGTTTTAGCTGGGACTTGCAGTACTATGTTGAATAACAGTGATGACAGCGGGCATCCTTGTCATGTTCCAGATCTTAGAGGGAAGGATTTCCAGGGATATTTCTTCCATTTAGTATAATATTAGCTGTAGGTCTCTCATCTACAGCTTTTATTATTTTCAAGTATGGTCGTTCTATACCCAGTTTTTTAAGGGTTTTTATCAGAATGGGATACTGAATTTTATTTATTTATTTTTCTTTTTATTATTATTATTATACTTTAAATTTTAGGGTACATGTGCACAATGTGCAGGTTAGTTACATATGTATACATGTGCCATGCTGGTGTGCTGCACCCATTAACTCGTCATTTAGCATTAGGTATATCTCCTAATGCTATCCCTCCCCCCCTCCCCCCGCCCCCACCCCACAACAGTCCCCAGAGTGTGATGTTCCTCTTCCTGTGTCCATGTGTTCTCATTGTTCAATTCCCATCTATGAGTGAGAATGTGTGGTGTTTGGTATTTTGTCCTTGAGATAGTTTACTGAGAATGATGATTTCCAATTTCATCCATGTCCCTACAAAGGACATGAACTCATCATTTTTTATGGCTGCATAGTATTCCATGGTGTATATGTGCCACATTTTCTTAATCCAGTCTGTCATTGTTGGACATTTGGGTTGGTTCCAAGTCTTTGCTATTGTGAATAGTGCCACAATAAACATACGTGTGCATGTGTCTTTATAGCAGCATGATTTATAGTCCTTTGGGTATATACCCAGTAATGGGATGGCTGGGTCAAATGGTATTTCTAGTTCTAGATCCCTGAGGAATCGCCACACTGACTTCCACAAGGGTTGAACTAGTTTACCGTCCCACCAACAGTGTAAAAGTGTTCCTATTTCTCCACATCCTCTCCAGCACCTGTTGTTTCCTGACTTTTTAATGATTGCAATTCTAACTGGTGTGAGATGGTATCTCATTGTGGTTTTGATTTGCATTTCTCTGATGGCCAGTGATGATGAGCATTTTTTCATGTGTCTTTTGCCTGCATAAATGTCTTCTTTTCAGAAGTGTCTGTTCATGTCATTTGCCCACTTTTTGATCGGGTTGTTTGTTTTTTTTTGTAAATTTGTTTGAGTTCATTGTAGATTCTGGATATTAGCCCTTTGTCAGATGAGTAGGTTGCAAAAATTTTCTCCCATTTTGTAGGTTGCCTGTTCATTCTGATGGTAGTTTCTTTTGCTGTGCAGAAGCTCTTTAGTTTAATTAGATCCCATTTGTCAATTTTGGCTTTTGTTGCCCTTGCTTTTGGTGTTTTAGACATGAAGTCCTTGCCCATGCCTATGTCCTGAATGATATTGCCTAGGTTTTCTTCTAGGGTTTTTATGGTTTTAGGTCGAACGTTTAAGTCTTTAATCCATCTTGAATTAATTTTTGTATAAGGTGTAAGGAAGGGATCCAGTTTCAGCTTTCTACCTATGGCTAGCCAGTTTTCCCAGCACCATTTATTAAATAGGGAATCCTTTCCCCATTTCTTGTTTTTCTCAGGTTTGTCAAAGATCAGATGGTTGTAGATATTCGGTGTTATTTCTGAGGGCTCTGTTCTGTTCCATTGATCTATATCTCTGTTTTGGTACCAGTACCATGCTGTTTTGGTTACTGTAGCCTTGTAGTATAGTTTGAAGTCAGGTAGCGTGATGCCTCCGGCTTTGTTCTTTTGGCTTAGTATTGACTTGGTGATGCAGGCTCTTTTTTGGTTCCATATGAACTTTAAAGTAGTTTTTTCCAATTCTGTGAAGAAAGCCATTGGTAGCTTGATGGGGATGGCATTGAATCTATAAATTACCTTGGGCAGTATGGCCATTTTCACGATATTGATTCTTCCTACCCATGAGCATGGAAGGTTCTTCCATTTGTTTGTATTCTCTTTTATTTCATTGAGCAGTGGTTTGTAGTTCTCCTTGAAGAGGTCCTTCACGTCCCTTGTAAGTTGGATTCCTAGGTATTTTACTCTCTTTGAAGCAATTGTGAATGGGAGTTCACTCATGATTTGGCTCTCTGTTTGTCTGTTATTGGTGTATAAGAATGCTTCTGATTTTTATACATTGATTTTGTATCCTGAGACTTTGCTGAAGTTGCCTGTCAGCTTAAGGAGATTTTGTGCTGAGACAATGGGGTTTTCTAGATATACAATCATGTCGTCTACAAACAGGGACAATTTGACTTCCTCTTTTCCTAATTGAATACCCTTTATTTCCTTCTGCCTAATTGCCCTGGGCAGAACTTCCAAGACTATGTTGAATAGGAGTGGTGAGAGAGGGCATCCCTGTCTTGTGCCAGTTTTCAAAGGGAATGCTTCCAGTTTTTGCCCATTCAGTATGATATTGGCTGTGGGTTTGTCATAGATAGCTCTTATTATTTTGAGATACAGCCCATCAATACCTAATTTATTGAGAGTTTTCAGCATGAAGGGTTGTTGAATTTTGTCAAAGGCCTTTTCTGCATCTATTGAGATAATCATGTGGTTTTTTGTCTTTGGTTCTGTTTATATGCTGGATTACATTTATTGATTTGCATATATTGAACCAGCCTTGCATCCCAAGGATGAAGCCCACTTGATCATGGTGGATAAGCTTTTTGATGTGCTGCTGGATTCGGTTTGCCAGTATTTTATTGAGGATTTTTGCATCAATGTTCATCAAGGATATTGGTCTAAAATTCTCTTTTTTGGTTGTGTCTCTGCCAGGCTTTGGTATCACGATGATGCTGGCCTCATAAAATGAGTTAGGGAGGATTCCCTCTTTTTCTATTGATTGGAATAGTTTCAGAAGGAATGGTACCAGCTTCTCCTTGTACCTCTGGTAGAATTCTGCTGTGAATCCATCTGGTCCTGGACTCTTTTTGGTTGGTAAGCTATTGATTATTGCCACAATTTCAGAGCCTGTTATTGGTCTATTCAGAGATTCAACTTCTTCCTGGTTTAGTCTTGGGAGAGTGTATGTGTTGAGGAATTTATCCATTTCTTCTAGATTTTCTAGTTTATTTGCATAGAGGTGTTTGTAGTATTCTCTGATGGTAGTTTGTATTTCTGTGGAATCGGTGGTGATATCCCCTTTATCATTTTTTATTGCATCTATTTGATTCTTCTCTCTTTTTTTCTTTATTAGTCTTACTAGTGGTCTATCAATTTTGTTGATCCTTTCAAAAAACCAGCTCCTGGATTCATTAATTTTTTGAAGGGTTTTTTTGTCTCTATTTCCTTCAGTTCTGCTCTGATTTTAGTTATTTCTTTTTTTTTTTTTTTTCTTTATTTTTTTTTTCTTTTTTTTTTTTTTATTATACTCTCAGTTTTAGGGTACATGTGCACATTGTGCAGGTTAGTTACATATGTATACATGTGCCATGCTGGTGCGCTGCACCCACTAATGTGTCATCTAGCATTAGGTATATCTCCCAATGCTATCCCTCCCCCCTCCCCCGACCCCACCACAGTCCCCAGAGTGTGATATTCCCCTTCCTGTGTCCATGTGATCTCATTGTTCAATTCCCACCTATGAGTGAGAATATGCGGTGTTTGGTTTTTTGTTCTTGCGATAGTTTACTGAGAATGATGGTTTCCAATTTCATCCATGTCCCTACAAAGGATATGAACTCATCATTTTTTATGGCTGCATAGTATTCCATGGTGTATATGTGCCACATTTTCTTAATCCAGACTATCATTGTTGGACATTTGGGTTGGTTCCAAGTCTTTGCTATTGTGAATAGTGCCGCAATAAGCATACGTGTGCATGTGTCTTTATAGCAGCATGATTTATAGTCCTTTGGGTATATACCCAGTAATGGGATGGCTGGGTCAAATGGTATTTCTAGTTCTAGATCCCTGAGGAATCGCCACACTGACTTCCACAATGGTTGAACTAGTTTACAGTCCCACCAACAGTGTAAAAGTGTTCCTATTTCTCCACATCCTCTCCAGCACCTGTTGTTTCCTGACTTTTTAATGATTGCCATTCTAACTGGTGTGAGATGATATCTCATAGTGGTTTTGATTTGCATTTCTCTGATGGCCAGTGATGATGAGCATTTTTTCATGTGTTTTTTGGCTGCATAAATGTCTTCTTTTGAGAAGTGTCTGTTCATGTCCTTCGCCCACTTTTTGATGGGGTTGTTTGTTTTTTTCTTGTAAATTTGTTTGAGTTCATTGTAGATTCTGGATATTAGCCCTTTGTCAGATGAGTAGGTTGCAAAAATTTTCTCCCATGTTGTAGGTTGCCTGTTCACTCTGATGGTAGTTTCTTTTGCTGTGCAGAAGCTCTTTAGTTTAATTAGATCCCATTTGTCAATTTTGGTTTTTGTTGCCATTGCTTTTGGTGTTTTGGACATGAAGTCCTTGCCCACGCCTATGTCCTGAATGGTAATGCCTAGGTTTTCTTCTAGGGTTTTTATGGTTTTAGGTCTAACATTTAAGTCTTTAATCCATCTTGAATTGATTTTTGTATAAGGTGTAAGGAAGGGATCCAGTTTCAGCTTTCTACATATGGCTAGCCAGTTTTCCCAGCACCATTTATTAAATAGGGAATCCTTTCCCCATTGCTTGTTTTTCTCAGGTTTGTCAAAGATCAGATAGTTGTAGATATGCGGCATTATTTCTGAGGGCTCTGTTCTGTTCCATTGATCTATATCTCTGTTTTGGTACCAGTACCATGCTGTTTTGGTTACTGTAGCCTTGTAGTATAGTTTGAAGTCAGGTAGTGTGATGCCTCCAGCTTTGTTCTTTTGGCTTAGGATTGACTTGGCAATGCGGGCTCTTTTTTGGTTCCATATGAACTTTAAAGTAGTTTTTTCCAATTCTGTGAAGAAAGTCATTGGTAGCTTGATGGGGATGGCATTGAATCTGTAAATTACCTTGGGCAGTATGGCCATTTTCACGATATTGATTCTTCCTACCCATGAGCATGGAATGTTCTTCCATTTGTTTGTGTCCTCTTTTATTTCCTTGAGCAGTGGTTTGTAGTTCTCCTTGAAGAGGTCCTTCACATCCCTTGTAAGTTGGATTCCTAAGTATTTTATTCTCTTTGAAGCAATTGTGAATGGGAGTTCACCCATGATTTGGCTCTCTGTTTGTCTGTTGTTGGTGTATAAGAATGCTTGTGATTTTTGTACATTGATTTTGTATCCTGAGACTTTGCTGAAGTTGCTTATCAGCTTAAGGAGATTTTGGGCTGAGATGATGGGGTTTTCTAGATAAACAATCATGTCGTCTGCAAACAGGGACAATTTGACTTCCTCTTTTCCTAATTGAATACCCTTTATTTCCTTCTCCTGCCTGATTGCCCTGGCCAGAACTTCCAACACTATGTTGAATAGGAGCGGTGAGAGAGGGCATCCCTGTCTTGTGCCAGTTTTCAAAGGGAATGCTTCCAGTTTTTGCCCATTCAGTATGATATTGGCTGTGGGTTTGTCATAGATAGCTCTTATTATTTTGAGATACGTCCCATCAATACCTAATTTATTGAGAGTTTTTAGCATGAAGGGTTGTTGAATTTTGTCAAAGGCTTTTTCTGCATCTATTGAGATAATCATGTGGTTTTTGTCTTTGGCTCTGTTTATATGCTGGATTACATTTATTGATTTGCGTATATTGAACCAGCCTTGCATCCCAGGGATGAAGCCCACTTGATCATGGTGGATAAGCTTTTTGATGTGCTGCTGGATTCGGTTTGCCAGTATTTTATTGAGGATTTTTGCATCAATGTTCATCAAGGATATTGGTCTAAAATTCTCTTTTTTGGTTGTGTCTCTGCCCGGCTTTGGTATCAGAATGATGCTGGCCTCATAAAATGAGTTAGGGAGGATTCCCTCTTTTTCTATTGATTGGAATAGTTTCAGAAGGAATGGTACCAGTTCCTCCTTGTACCTCTGGTAGAATTCGGCTGTGAATCCATCTGGTCCTGGACTCTTTTTGGTTGGTAAACTATTGATTATTGCCACAATTTCAGAGCCTGTTATTGGACTATTCAGAGATTCAACTTCTTCCTGGTTTAGTCTTGGGAGAGTGTATGTGTCGAGGAATGTACCCATTTCTTCTAGATTTTCTAGTTTATTTGCGTAGAGGTGTTTGTAGTATTCTCTGATGGTAGTTTGTATTTCTGTGGGATCGGTGGTGATATCCCCTTTATCATTTTTTATTGTGTCTATTTGATTCTTCTCTCTTTTTTTCTTTATTAGTCTTGCTAGCGGTCTATCAATTTTGTTGATCCTTTCAAAAAACCAGCTCCTGGATTCATTGATTTTTTGAAGGGTTTTTTGTGTCTCTATTTCCTTCAGTTCTGCTCTGATTTTAGTTATTTCTTGCCTTCTGCTAGCTTTTGAATGTGTTTGCTCTTGCTTTTCTAGTTCTTTTAATTGTGATGTTAGGGTGTCAATTTTGGATCTTTCCTGCTTTCTGTTGTGGTCATTTAGTGCTATAAATTTCCCTCTACACACTGCTTTGAATGTGTCCCAGAGATTCTGGTATGTTGTGTCTTTGTTCTCGTTGGTTTCAAAGAACATCTTTATTTCTGCCTTCATTTCGTTATGTACCCAGTAGTCATTCAGGAGCAGGTTGTTCAGTTTCCATGTAGTTGAGCGGCTTTGAGTGAGATTCTTAATCCTGAGTTCTAGTTTGATTGCACTGTGGTCTGAGAGATAGTTTGTTATAATTTCTGTTCTTTTACATTTGCTGAGGAGAGCTTTACTTCCAACTATGTGGTCAATTTTGGAATAGGTGTGGTGTGGTGCTGAAAAAAATGTATATTCTGTTGATTTGGGGTGGAGAGTTCTGTAGATGTCTATTAGGTCTGCTTGGTGCAGAGCTGAGTTCAATTCCTGGGTATCCTTGTTGACTTTCTGTCTCGTTGATCTGTCTAATGTTGACAGTGGGGTGTTAAAGTCTCTCATTATTAATGTGTGGGAGTCTAAGTCTCTTTGTAGGTCACTGAGGACTTGCTTTATGAATCTGGGTGCTCCTGTATTGGGTGCATAAATATTTAGGATAGTTAGCTCCTCTTGTTGAATTGATCCCTTTACCATTATGTAATGGCCTTCTTTGTCTCTTTTGATCTTCGTTGGTTTGAAGTCTGTTTTATCAGAGACTAGGATTGCAACCCCTGCCTTTTGTTGTTTTCCATTTGCTTGGTAGATCTTCCTCCATCCTTTTATTTTGAGCCTATGTGTGTCTCTGCACGTGAGATGGGTTTCCTGAATACAGCACACTGATGGGTCTTGACTCTTTATCCAACTTGCCAGTCTGTGTCTTTTAATTGCAGAATTTAGTCCATTTATATTTAAAGTTAATATTGTTATGTGTGAATTTGATCCTGTCATTATGATGTTAGCTGGTGATTTTGCTCATTAGTTGATGCAGTTTCTTCCTAGTCTCGATGGTCTTTACATTTTGGCATGATTTTGCAGCGGCTGGTACCGGTTGTTCCTTTCCATGTTTAGTGATTCCTTCAGGAGCTCTTTTAGGGCAGGCCTGGTGGTGACAAAATCTCTCAGCATTTGCTTGTCTATAAAGTATTTTTTTTCTCCTTCACTTATGAAGCTTAGTTTGGCTGGATATGAAATTCTGGGTTGAAAATTCTTTTCTTTAAGAATGTTGAATATTGGCCCCCACTCTCTTCTGGCTTGTAGGGTTTCTGCCGAGAGATCCGCTGTTAGTCTGATGGGCTTTCCTTTGAGGGTAACCCGACCTTTCTCTCTGGCTGCCCTTAACATTTTTTCCTTCATTTCAACTTTGGTGAATCTGACAATTATGTGTCTTGGAGTTGCTCTTCTCGAGGAGTATCTTTGTGGCGTTCTCTGTATTTCCTGAATCTGAACGTTGGCCTGCCTTGCTAGATTGGGGAAGTTCTCCTGGATAATATCCTGCAGAGTGTTTTCCAACTTGGTTCCATTCTCCACATCACTTTCAGGTACACCAATCAGACGTAGATTTGGTCTTTTCACATAGTCCCATATTTCTTGGAGGCTTTGCTCATTTCTTTTTATTCTTTTTTCTCTAAACTTCCCTTCTCGCTTCATTTCATTCATTTCATCTTCCATTGCTGATACCCTTTCTTCCAGTTGATCGCATCGGCTCCTGAGGCTTCTGCATTCTTCACGTAGTTCTCGAGCCTTGGTTTTCAGCTCCATCAGCTCCTTTAAGCACTTCTCTGTATTGGTTATTCTAGTTATACATTCTTCTAAATTTTTTTCAAAGTTTTCAACTTCTTTGCCTTTGGTTTGAATGTCCTCCCGTAGCTCAGAGTAATTTGATCGTCTGAAGCCTTCTTCTCTCAGCTCGTCAAAATCATTCTCCATCCAGCTTTGTTCTGTTGCTAGTGAGGAACTGCGTTCCTTTGGAGGAGGAGAGGCGCTCTGCATTTTAGAGTTTCCAGTTTTTCTGTTCTGTTTTTTCCCCATCTTTGTGGTTTTATCTACTTTTGGTCTTTGATGATGGTGATGTACAGATGGGTTTTCGGTGTAGATGTCCTTTCTGGTTGTTAGTTTTCCTTCTAACAGACAGGACCCTCAGCTGCAGGTCTGTTGGAATACCCTGCCGTGTGAGGTGTCAGTGTGCCCCTGCTGGGGGGTGCCTCCCAGTTAGGCTGCTCGGGGGTCAGGGGTCAGGGACCCACTTGAGGAGGCAGTCTGCCCGTTCTCAGATCTCCAGCTGCGTGCTGGGAGAACCACTGCTCTCTTCAAAGCTGTCAGACAGGGACACTTAAGTCTGCAGAGGTTACTGCTGTCTTTTTGTTTGTCTGTGCCCTGCCCCCAGAGGTGGAGCCTACAGAGGCAGGCAGGCCTCCTTGAGCTGTGGTGGGCTCCACCCAGTTCGAGCTTCCCGGCTGCTTTGTTTACCTAAGCAAGCCTGGGCAATGGCGGGCGCCCCTCCCCCAGCCTCGTTGCCGCCTTGCAGTTTGATCTCAGACTGCTGTGCTAGCAATCAGCGAGATTCCGTGGGCGTAGGACCCTCCGAGCCAGGTGTGGGATATAGTCTCGTGGTGCGCCGTTTCTTAAGCCGGTCTGAAAAGCGCAATATTCGGGTGGGAGTGACCCGATTTTCCAGGTACGTCCGTCACCCCTTTCTTTGACTCGGAAAGGGAACTCCCTGACCCCTTGCGCTTCCCAGGTGAGGCAATGCCTCGCCCTGCTTCGGCTTGCGCACGGTGCGCACACACACTGGCCTGCGCCCACTGTCTGGCACTCCCTATTGAGATGAACCCGGTACCTCAGATGGAAATGCAGAAATCACCTGTCTTCTGCGTCGCTCACGCTGGGAGCTGTAGACCGGAGCTGTTCCTATTCGGCCATCTTGGCTCCTCCTCTCCCTGATTTTAGTTATTTCTTGCCTTCTGCTAGCTTTTGAATGTTTGCTCTTGCTTTTCTAGTTCTTTTAATTGTGATGTTAGGGTGTCAATTTTGGATCTTTCCTGCTTTCTGTTGTGGTCATTTAGTGCTATAAATTTCCCTCTACACACTGCTTTGAATGTGTCCCAGAGATTCTGGTATGTTGTGTCTTTGTTCTCGTTGGTTTCAAAGAACATCTTTATTTCTGCCTTCATTTCCTTATGTACCCAGTAGTCATTCAGGAGCAGGTTGTTCAGTTTCCATGTAGTTTAGCGGTTTTTAGTGAGTCTTAATCCTGAGTTCTAGTTTGATTGCACTGTGGTCTGAGAGACAGTTTGTTATAATTTGTGGTCTTTTACATTTGCTGAGGAGAGCTTTACTTCCAAGTATGTGGTCAATTTTGGAATAGGTGTGGTGTGGTGCTGAAAAAAATGTATATTCTATTGATTTGGGGTGGAGAGTTCTGTAGATGTCTATTAGGTCTGCTTGGTGCAGAGCTGAGTTCAATTCCTGGGTATCCTTGTTAACTTTCTGTCTCATTGGTCTGTCTAATGTTGACAGTGGGGTGTTAAAGTTTCCCATTATTATTGTGTGGGAGTCTAAGTCTCTTTGTAGGTCACTCAGGACTTGCTTTATGAATCTGGGTGCTCCTGTATTGGGTGCATATATATTTAGGATAGTTAGCTCTTTTTGTTGAATTGATCCCTTTACCATTATGTAATGGCCTCCTTTGTCTCTTTTGATCTTTGTTGGTTTAAAGTCTGTTTTATCAGAGACTAGGATTGCAAGAATTTTATTAAATGATTTCCAGCATCAATTAAAATAATCACGTTTTTTATTCTTCATTCAATTGATATGATACACCACATTGATTGATATGAGTATTTTGAACCACGCTTGCATTACAGTGATAAATCTCACTTGTTCATAATGAATGACCTTTCTAATGTATTGTTGAATTTGGTTTGTTAGTATTTGGTTGAAGATATTTGCCTCAATATTCATCAGAATTATTGGCCTTTTTCTTTTTCTTATGTGTCTTTCTGTGTTTTTGGTATCAGGGTAATATTGGCCTTGTAGAATGAGTTTGAAATTATTCCTTCCCCCTGTATTTTTTGAAATAGTTTGAGTAGCATTGATATTAGTTCTTCTTCATATGTTGGGTAGAATTCAGCAGTGAAGCCAGTGGGTCCCAGGCTTTTCTTTACTGGGAGACATTTTGCTACGGCTTTGATCTCATTTGTTGGTATTGGTTTGTTCAGGTTTTGGACTTCTTCCTGGTTCAATCTGTGTAGGTTGTATGTGTCTGGGAATTTGTCCATTTCTTCCAAATTATCTAATTTATTGGCCTATAGTTGCTCATAGTAGCCAGTAAAGATCTTTTGAATTTCTACAGTATCAGTTGTAATGTCTTCTTTTTCATTTCTGAGTTTATTTATTTTTATCTTCTCACTTTCTTTCTTAGTTAGTGTAGCTAAAGGTTTTTCAATTTTGTTTAACATTTCAACAAAACAACTTTTTGTTTCATTGATCTTTGTAATATTTCCATTTTATTTATTTCTTCTCTGATCTTTATCATTTATTTTCTTCTACTAATTCTGGATTTGGTTTGCTCTTGCTTTTCTAGTTCTTTAAGATGCATCATTAGAGTGTATATTTGAAGTTTTTCCTCTTTTTTAATATAGGCACTTACAGCTGTAAACTTCCATATCAGTACTGCTTTTGCAGTATCCCATAGGTTTTCGTATGTTGTGTTTCCATTATTATTTGTTTCAAAAATGTTTTTCAATTTCTTTCTTAATTTCTTCCCTAACCCACTGGCTAATCAGTTCATTCACGTCATTCAGACATATTGTTTAATTTCCATGTGTTTGTGTAGATTTCAAAATTCTTCCTGTTATTAATTTCTAGTTTTATTCCATTGTGCTCAGAAAAGATACTTGATATTCTTTCAATTTTTTGAACATTTTAAAACTAGCTTTGTGACCTAACATATGGTTTGACCTTGAGAATGATCCATGTGCTGAGGAAAAGAATGTGTATTCTGCAGCTCTTTGATGAAATGCTCTGTAAATATCTATTAGATCCATTTGGTCTACAGTGCAGATTAAGTCCAATGTTTCTTTGTTGATTTTCTGTGTGGAAGGTCTTTCCCATGCTGAAAGTGGAGTGTTGAAGCCTCCAGGTCTGATTGTATTGGTGCCTATCTCTCTAACTCTAATAATATTTGCTTTATATATCTGGGTTCTCCCATGTTGGGCGCATATATATTTAAATTGTTGCATCCTCTTGCAGAATTGACTCCTTTATCATTATATAGTGACCTTGTTTGTCTCTTCTTATAGTTTTTGTCTTGAAATCTATTTTGCCTAGGTATTGCTACTAAGACTTGTTAAAATTAAAAACACAGAAGACAATGTAAATGGTATAACCCTTAACAATGTAAAAATAATCATTTAAATAACAAATTAGGTAAGAGGAGGCAAGCTTACAGGTAGACAAGAGAAGTGGCCTAAGATTAAACCTCATTGAGTTTTTTAAAACGAAATAAAGAAAAACTTCAAAATCTCAGGTTCCCCCAAACTTCTTATGCAAAAGGGAGGATGATTGCAACACTCTCTTCCAAATGTATGGCTGTTACTAACATTATGCATCAGTCAGATTGCCATGGAAAGGTAAAAGACCTCAGGCATCTGGGATCAGGCTTCCTTGATCATTCATAAGTAAGTTATTGGCTGGCCTCTCAGAAACAAAGACATGCTAATTTTAAGTTTAGATCTAAGTGTAGCTCTTAAAACTAAAGTCTGTTCCATTCCACACTGACAATGTCATTACGGTTTTGTCTTCCCAGGTAATAGAACAAAGTCAGGACTCATTCCTCTGCCTACCAGAGACGTCTGCATAATTGACTTTCTTTACTCCCCTTTTCTTATCAGACATTCACTTTAACTTACGGAAAATGTAGATTTAGTGGGCACTAACTAAAGTCTCACAAGAATGTAAGTATTTACCTAACTGGCTACCTGTCCCTCTTTCTACATGCCGCCCCTCGTCCCCTTAATGAAATGTATAAATACTAAACCTCCTGAAAAACCTCTTCGGGAAAACAGCCACAGATACATCTGTGGCTCATGTTTTTCCCAGTTGTGCCCTAAAAGTCGCTTAATAAACCTTGATGATTAAGAATTAAGCTTCAGTCACTCATTTTGTTTGTCAAAGACAAAACCCAATGAAATCGTCTTTGCAAAAATTCAAATAGTGAGAAAATTATGACAGTGAAAGAGAACTGACCTAACCAACTCCATCTTGCCTTTAACCCTAAACTGCCCTTGTTCATTGCTGTTCTTGGACTGAGGTAACTATAGAAAGAATTTAGTTTTCACTTTAACTTTGAAACAAAGATGACAACAGCCCTTTTCTGAAATAAACTGCCTTCTTGCCTGGGGACAAAACGACCTTTGTAAGACTTACAAATTAGCCACAAGATTAGAAATTATGGTTTAGGAGTTATACAACCAGAGGCCATGAGATTCTGAACCACCCCAGTTGCTCCTAGTGATAACATCACTATGGTAAAACCTAAGATTGGTGTTCGAGATATTTTCCAGACCCTGCATTCTGATGCATCACCTGGTGCCACCCAGACCGGTAATGTGGTTAAGCTAGTTATGCGATTCTACCAAGGAACAGAAGCCAGCAAGATGAACCAGCTCTGACCTCCTATGATGTCACCTCTGACCTGACCAATCAGGTCACTGAGGTCCTCACTGCCTAACCCCTTCTCAGTCTTTAAAAAACTCAGTCTCTGAATTTTCGGACAGACTGATTTGAGCAGTAGAACTCCTCTTATTTAGACACCTCTGCATGCATTAAACTCTTTCTCTATTCCAATTCCCCTGTCTTGATAAATTGGCTCTGTTTGGGCTGCGGGCAAGATGAATCTGTCAGGTAGTTACACCAATTTAAAGGCTTTCAAAATCATTTCTCTTAAATTTAAAGTATGTTTTAAATACTAATCTCATTTGCAATAAAGAAAAATTTATCTTAAGTAAATCAATTTCTTCAGCTGCATTAATGTTCCTCTTTGTCAAAATCAAGCAAAAGAAGCTTAAAATTTTTAAAATTAAAATTATATATAGAGTTTATTTGCATACTATAGCTTATAAACTACTTATGGTTTGTTTATGTATATATAAATATTATAAATATATATATAAATACATTTTTGGAAAAACATATATTTCCATTTATCTATCCATCAATCCATTCACCCATTCTTTTATCCATTTATATCTAGATTTACTTTTATTTGCTTTTCTATCTGTATATTTACATAGATGAGATGTATGACTGAAATATTTCTCACCAACTATTAATGATAGTTATTTCTAGATGATATTCTGTGCAAAATGTTTACATTTTCCTCTTCATACTCTTCTGTATTGATTGAATGTTTAAATTCTACCCATATATCATTTTCAAAAAATGAAGTCATTATTCCTTTAAAAAAAAACAGTGTACTGTACAATGTCATAATACTTTTCAGGTACCATGAACCTCACTTTAAATCATAATCCCAATTCTGTGGCAGCTTCCACTCAAAGTCATAGAATAAAGGTATCAGCTCTTTAGAACAAAGCAATATGCCATTATAATATCCTTAATTTAAGGAACCTAAAATATTGAGTGTAGTATAGTTAACTGTATAACTCCAATGCAGTTAAATTAGAATTTCTGATTAAATTCTAAATGGTTGTGCCAAATTCTTAGCTGAGAGAACTGAAATATATCTCTATCATAGACAATTCCTTTCCAGGAAAGTTAAATGAAAAGGGGAGATAGAGGAGTCTTTGAATTAAAAAGCTCCAGTAAAGAATACTTTGCTGTGAATGCAATAATATAACAAGCTAGAACTAGAATCACTAATGAGAAAGTGTATACCAAAATACTGTAAACAAGCAGTACCACTAGCTGAGAGGAAATAATCTCAAACACAGCTGAGTAGAAAGCAAAATTCAAGTATCTGGGGATATCTGTAAAACAAAGTGTATATATGTGCATATATGATACTAAAAAGCACTACATCAAGTATATGTTAATTCATTTATTCAGAATTCAAAATGTGTACTACCATTCTAGGGTAAAAATGTTGATTAACAGTGATGACATGAAATCTATCACTTGAAATAATAAACAAAATTTATTATCTCCAAATTATGTTACTCATAGATGTTAGACAATCTTAAGCATTTTGCTTAAGATCATAGTGGCATGGAATAGAGCTAATGAAATGTGGTAATGCCACCATAGGCCATCAGGTAATAATGTCATTAAAATTACACTAAAAAGGAAACAAAGAAAAACGTGTTTTCTTCATGTGACCAGATTTTAATTTTGAGAAATAAACTCTGAAAGCATTTTAAGCCATAAATTAGTCTCAAATGAATAGGAAAAATAACAATTTTTGCTTATATCATGCAGAGAAAGGCATTCATTTATTATCCAGAAGAAAATTTCATGTGGTGCATTTATAGTTAAACATCTTGAAGCAAATCATCACTTAAATTCACAGTGTCTCCATTGGCCTTTCATCAAAAGAGAAATATACTTCAAAAGTTTACTTCAATTTGCTCGTTAACTATGATTTCGCCTTTTCTACCCTATAGCATTTGATAACTAGATTTAAAAGAATATCACACAAACCTTCTTAAAATATTGATAAACATGTTTAGATAAGATGTTTTTCTTATCAACCGACCATATCAGAAAAGAAGAGATAAACTGTTAGACTTTCTTTCTTGCCCCTAATTATGTGTCAGAAAGGAAAATAAGGCCGGGTGCAGTGGCTCACACATGTACTCCCAGCACTTTGTGAGGCCGAGGCGGGCAGATTACCTCAGGTCGGGAGTTCAAGACCAGCCTGACCAACATGGAGAAGCCCCATCTCTACTGAAAATACAAAATTAGCCAGGTGTGGTGGTGCACGCCTGTAATCCCAGCTACTCGGGAGGCTGAGGCAAGAGAATCGCTTGAACCTGGGAAGTGGATGTTGCGGTGAGCCAAGACTGTGCCATTGCACTCCAGCCTGGGCAACAAGAGTGAGACTCTGTCTCAAAAAAAAAAAAAAAAAAAAAAAAGGAGAAAAGGAAAATGAATCACACCTTTCTCCTTCTGCAAGTCACAAGATTCTTTTCCATTAAATGTGGTGGTGCAAAAAAAAGTAAAGCTTGATGAAAGAAAGACAATGTTTCCATGGCACCCTTAGTACAGCAAATTTCAAAATAAACCCATTTCCAATTGGCTGCTTTACAACTTAGTTTAACTTTTTTTGGTAAGAATCACTTTGACATAGGTTAACAACATAAACAGGTTGACTTCTTTTCCCAGAGTAACATAAACATGTTGTTTCCAACTAGTTTACCAGTTTTGCCTCCATGCCCAAAAGTTCAGGCAAGCCCCAGATAATTTTGTCTTAGCCAGTAAACAGGATATATGTGGAAATGAGAAAAATGAGTTTAATTAGGAAACAATACTTTGTTACAGCTGAGATGATTTTAAATGAAGCAAATGGTTGTAAACCATGAATGACAGAGCATCTATTTTGGGACATTATGGCTTATTAACAGAATGCTATTTACTTTCAACTTCACAAATAAACACAGCTGTATTGTTCTGAAACATGATGAAAGGCATGCACCTCTACTAGCAGATTTAGCACTTCTGACCATCAAAAACACCAACTTCCTTAAAAATGTGCTTCATGCACTGTATTAGATTTCATTAAGATATACATTTTAATGCCTTATTTCTTTTTTGAACTTGAATGGGAACCAGAATGGAATGATCCAGAAGATGACCTGTGGTGCTTGGGTAAAGTAATGTGTTCTGTAAGGGTTGGCCCTGGGCTCAGGGTTGTTTAGTGAGCCCCTGTGGGACCTGGAACTGGATCTTGATTTCAACCCAGAGGATCTTAAATGTTCTCTGGAACTGAAACAAGATCTTGACTGTGAACTAGAACTTCTTGAAGGGAACCTGGACCTAGACCTTGAATTTGAAAGGGAGAATGAACATGATGAAGATAGTGAATGTGAAGATTGAGATATTGAGTGACTTTTTCTATTAGATTTCTTTTTATTACTATCGCCTTCTTCACTGACGTCAATATTATATTTTGAGAGATCAGCATCATCTTCATCCTCATCTTCATCTAATTTATATTTAGAAAGATCTTCATCCTCATCCTCTTCTTCTCCCTCTGATTCTTTACTTCAACCTCCTTTCATATAGATGCAGGACCAACAGGCTTCCCTCTGCATTTTTTCTTTTTATATCCAAACTCATCATATTTACCTTCGGATTCTTCTCATTCTATATATTCAACATTATCTTTTTTTTTTTTTTTTTTTGAGACAGAGTTTTGCTCTCGTCACCCAGGCTGGAGTGCAGTGGCGCAATCTTGGCTCACTGCAACCTTCGTTTCCTGGGTTCAAGCGATTCTCCTGCCTCAGCCTCCTGAGTAGCTGGGACTACAGGTGTACGCCACCACGCTCGATTAATTTTTGTATTTTTAGTAGAGACGGGGTTTCAACATGTTGGCCAGGATGGTCTCGACCTCTTGACCTCGTGATCTGCCTGCCTCGGCCTCCCAAAGTGCTGGGGTTACAGGCGTGAGCCACCGCACCCAGCCAACATTATCTTTTATTAAAGCCACCAACATATCTGTTCTTTCTTCTAATTTATCATACTTTGGAGTATTACATGTTACACTCTGATCTTCTGGTCCAATTCACATTACTGCAAGTTATACCTTGCCAGTCATTAGCATTAAATAGGCATCAGCTATTTTCTGTAAATATTTTTGCTATTTTAAAATGTGCCCCCAGCTTTCATCATCTTGGCCTGTCGTTTTCTTTTTAAGTATTACTATTATTAATATTATTAATAGTTGCTTTTACAAATTATGTTTTTGTTTTCATGAAATGATATTCATAAAATTTGGTCAAGTTGTATTTTTCTATTTTCAGTGCTCACCCTCATACAATTATACCATAGCTTCCCCTTTCTGGAGATAATTTTGATTATTCATGTTTTTATTTTCCTTATGATCTCCAGGTAATGACTTGTACTTTTGTGGTTTTCTATTACAGGCTTTCAAATTCTGATTTTGAATGAAACAATATACTGTCCTATCTCTTTGCTCTGCTTAGATCCTATTTTGGATTTTTGCTAACAATATAATCATAGCTTGTGATAGACCTCTTCTGATTGAATCAATGGTATCTTTAACAAAAACTAGATCATATCTAAAGTTTTGGCACTAAATTGACCGTATGCACTTTGAAATATACTTCTGACACAATTTTCTCCATGAAAAAATTAGTTGCCATTGGGATATAATAAATTCACTTGATATTTGGGTACAATATTGCTGCTTGATTACACTATTTCACTGTCTTCCTACCATCCATAGTCGGTGCTCTTCCCCTTGAAAGGTGGAGCATAAGGTGGTAACCCTCTCTGTTAGTTTATATATTCCATATGCAGAATGGAAATATATATGGTGGAAATATTTGATAATGTTTATACACTAAGTCATTAAATTGATGTTTTTAAATAATGAGAGTCAACCTTTTTAAGTCCTCTTATTAACTGCAGCATTTTCAGGGAATTAGTCGGTAAAACTTTAATATAATCTTTTTGATTAATTTTATGTATTTTTTTCTAATGAAAGGAAATTGGATGCAATTCTTTAAGTTCACATAATATTTAATATTATAGTTTTGCCTGGAATATTAACTGCCTTTGGGGGAGATTTTCAGAGATTCGATTTGGTAATCCAAGGGTCCTAGCTGATATTTTAAAAATAAATAAAATTTGCAAATTAATAAGTAGTGTAGATTCCCATTATCTTATTACATTAGGTCCAATTAAGTAATTTACACAAGGAAAATTAGTCTTGAAGTAACCTGGTCAGGAATACAATAGAGGTAGTCCGGTTCGACATTATGTCCTTTTTTTTTTTTTTTTTTTGAGACGGAGCCTCACCCTGTCGCCCATGCTGGAGTGCAATAACATGATCTCGGCTCACTGCAAACTCCACCTCCCGGGTTCAAACAATTCTCTTGCCTCAGCCTCCTGAGTAGCTAGGATTACAGGCACCTGCCACCATGCCCAGCTAATTTTTGTATTTTTAGTAGAGACGGGGTTTGACCATGTTGGCCAGGCTGGTCTCGAACTCCTGACCTCGTGATTCACCCGCCTCAGCCTCCCAAAGTGCCAGGATTACAGGCATGAGCCACCACGCCCAGCCTGACATTATGTTCTTAGACACTACAAAATACCACCTTACATTCTTTGTATGTTTGTTAAAATCTTCTCCAATACTCATTGTAAATACTTGAAAAAAAAAGAAGACAAACCTTTAACTTCTCTTTCTTCCCAAGAAGATGCTAAATTTACTTTATTTTACTCCATAATAGAATGAGAAATATCATAGTCCATATGTAATTTATAAATTACTAATCAAGATTTATAGAAAGTAGATAAAATCAACTTGAATTAATTCATATTTCCTTAACCCCTTCTCTAGAATAAAGAATATATTCTTTGGTTATTCATTTTTAACATCTAACACACAAGAGAATATATATATTTTTAAAATATGAAATTTTTTGATATGTTGTAATCATTTTGGTATAAGTGCTACATAGTTTTCAAAAAAGGGGAAAAAACCTTATGCAGTGTTTTATAGTATGACAACCCAGAAAGATCAAGATTGGAAATTCATAAATGTACTATAGCACTATTTGTTATTTTTATTAGGTTTATATTTAAATACTTTCATACTAAATGTTGGGCTAATTATTAATCCTTCTACAACTCTAATAATTTTGAGGATTAAAAGGCAAAATAAAAATCTACTCTAAAAGAAAACTAGAACATAATTATAGGAGAGCATGAACAACTTTATACAAAAATCTTTTAAAACATACAGGCTCACACTTGTAATCCCAGCACTTTGCCAAGGCAGGTAGATTGCTTGAGCTCAGGAGTTCGAGACCAGCCTGGGCAACATGGTGAAACCCTGTCTCTACCAAAATAAAAAAAATTAGCTGGGCGTGGTGGTGCCCCTCTGTGGTCCCAGCTACTCGGGAGGCTGAGGTGGGAGGATCACTTGAGTCTGGGCGGCAAAGGTTGAATGAGCCAAGACTGTGCCACTGCACTCCAGCCTGGGTGACAGAGTGAGACCCCATCCCGAAATTTTTTTAAAAACATAAATAAAATATAAAACCAATTTTCTAAAGTATGTAATTTTCCAAAACCAACAGAAAAGAAGCTATGACTAGACATAAAGCTACTTAAAAATCATGTATTTGTACTTTGAAATCTACCCAAAAACAAACTAACAACCCACTACACTTCTTTAGGCAGGCATTTTTATAGGTGAATTACATAAAAACTCAAAGATCATGAAAAAATGATGGCATAGATGTTAGCTGGCTTCACTTTCCCCCAACAGAAAAGCAAAAATGAATATACAGTGCTGAGATTATCACCAGCAATATCCCAAAACTCAAATATAGGTATGGTCAGTTCCCGAAGTCACAGAGAAGTAAAAAAAAAAAAAAAAAAAAAAAAAAAAAAAAAATCCAAGCAGACAGCAAAATAAGCACATTTTCACATCTTCAGTGACCCTCCTCCCAATTTTCCCAACACCAAGTGCATGGAAAATTTCCTCTGCCTCACAGTTTCTCCACTGGAAAAAGTGAGATCAAGGTGGACAACCAGCTTCCTCACCATCTTGAATATGCTGGAAGGAGATCTATCCCTACCTCAAACCACAGGAAGCATTTGGGAGTACCAGAATTGAGAAATATCCTCGAGGATAGCCAGAGACAAAGAGGGAAGGCAGGACTGCCATCCCCAACCTTGGAATTTCTGCTCTATAACTTGGCCAGAGGAGATAGTAAATTACAGCAGCTATTCAGCAGCATCATGTTGTAGGAGGTTTGTTCCACAGGTCCCCTGGGCAGGAACCCCCAAGCCAGCCTTCCCACAACACCACTATATTTTGTTTGGTATGACACTCATTCCATTCAGGACAGGCTGCTGCACTCTGTTTACTAGAACCAAGGAAAACCTGGGATTCAAGAGCCATCTAATGCCAAAAAGAAAAAAAAAATAGTAGAAAAATTAAAAAAAAAAATCAGTAGATAAATTACAAACAATATCTAAGAAAAAATATCTAATAAATACCAAAACAAGACAGACTGGAATAAATAACTAGTCCTTCAATTCAAAGACATAGATATACAACCACAAGAAACAACGGCAAACAGGGAACTATGACCTCAACAGATGGAAAGAGCAAGGAATCAGTGACGGACCCTAATGAGATGGCAATACGTAAATTATCTAAACAAGAATTAAAAATAGCGGGGTTGTTTTAAAATTATACTTTAAGTTCTGGGGTACATGTGCAGAACTTGCAGGTCTGTTACATAGGTATACACATGCCATGGTGGTTTGCTACACCCATCAACCCAGCATCTACCTTAGGTATTTCTCCTAATGCTATCCCTCCCCCAGGCCTCCACCCCTCAACAGGCCCAGGTATGTGATGCACCCCACCCCCCGTGTCCATGTATTCTCATTGTTCAACTCCCACTTATGAGTGAGAACATGCAGCGTTTGGTTTTCTGTTCTTGTGTTAGTTTGCTGAGAATGATGGTTTCCAACTTCTCCATGTCCCAGCAAAGGACATGAACTCATTCTTTTTTATGGCTGCATAGTATTCGATGGTGTATATGTGCCACATTTTCTTTATCCAGTCTATCATTGATGGGCATTTGGGATGGTTCCAAGTCTTTGCTATTGTAAACAGTGCCACAATAAACATACGTGTGCATGTGTCTTTATAGTAGAATGATTTATAATCTTTTGGGTAAGGAATGCTTTTACACTGTTGGTGGGAGTGTAAACTAGTTCAACCATTGTGGATGACACTGTGGCGATTCCTCAAGGATCTAGAACTAGAAATACCATTTGACCGAGCAATCCCATTATTGGGTATACACCCAAAAAAATAGCGGTTTTAAGGAAACTCACTGATTTCCAAGATAACACAAAAAGTAATTCAGAAATTTATCAAATAAATTTAACAGAGATAGAAATAATTTTTAAAAGATCAAACAGAAATCTAGGAAATTAGATATGCATTTGCTGAACTGAAAATTAGAGGCTTTCAACAGCAGAATGAATCAGGCAGAAAAAAAAATCAGTGAATTTGAAGATAGAATATTTGAAAGTACAGAGTCAGAGAAGAAAAAGAAAAAAAGAATGAAGAAGTATGAAGAATCGTTAGCTCTTTAAAATAACTTTGTGTGTTTGTTTGTTTTTGAGACAGGATCTCACTCTGTCACCCAGCCTGGAGTGCAGTGGCATGAACATGGCTCACTGCAGCCTCAACTTCCTGGATTCAAGTGATCCTTCCCCATCAGTCTTCCCAGTAGCTGGGAGTACAAGCATGTGCCCTGACACTTGGCAAATTTTTTTTTTTTTTTTGTAGAGATGGGATCTCGTTGTGTTGCCCAACCTGGTCTCAAACTCCAGGACTCAAGCAGTCCTCTCACCTCAGTCTCGCGAAGTGCTGGGATTATGGGAGTGAGCCACCACACCCAGCAAAATAACTTGTTACATTAATAAGATGTTCTCAGTAAGCTTCATGCAAACAAAATGCAAAATCTATGACAGATTTAATAAAAATTAAAACCTACTACCAAAAAAAAAAATCACCTAACCCCAAAGGAAGACAATATAAAAGGAAAGAAGAAAAAGAAGAACCATAAAACAACCAGAAAACAAGCAACAAAGTGGCAGTAGTAAGTCCTTATTTATCAATAATAACGTTGAATGTAAATTTATTTAATTCCCCAATTAAAAGGCATAGAGTGGAAGAATGGGTAAAGGAAAAAGACACAATGGTATGCTTCCTACTAGAAACTCACTTGATCTATAAAGAAACACATAGGCTGAAAATAAACAGGTAGAAAAAGGTATTCCTTGCAACTGGAAACCAAAAAAGAGCAGGAGTAGCTATATTATATCAGAAAAAAAAAGACTAAAAATCAAAAATTGTAAAGAGATAAAGACTGTCATTATATAAAGACAAAGGGTTCAATTCAGCAAGAGGATATAACAACTATAAATGTCTGTATACTCAAAACTGGAGATTCTAAGTATATAAAGCAAACATTAATAGGTCTGAATCAGAGAGACAGGCTTCAATGCAATAATAGTGTGGCCTTCAATACTCCACTCTGAGTAATAGACTGATCATTCAGACAGAAAATCAACAAAGAAACATTAAAATTAAACTACGCACTACACCAAATAGTACAAACTGACATTTAAGGAACATTTCTCCCAATTGCTGCAGAATACACATTCTTTTTATCAGCATATGGGACATTCTCTAGAATAGACCATACCTTAGGCCACAAAACAAGTCTCAACAAATTCAAAAAAGTTGGAATCATATCAAATATATTTTCTGACCACAATGGAATAAAACTAGAAATCAATAATAAGAGGAACTTTGAAACAATGCTAACACATAAAAATTGAACAACATGCTCTGAAATGACCAACAGGTCAATGAACAAATCAAGAAGAAAATTTTAAAATGTCTTGAAACAAATAAAGATGGAAATAAAACATACCAAAATCTGTGAGATACAGCAAAAGCAGGACTAAGAGGGATGTATATAGCAATAAATGCCTATATTAAAAAAGTAGAATGACTTCAAATAACCAACCTAACAATGTATCTCAAGGAACTAGCAAACCAAGAAAAAAACAGACCCAAAATTAGCAGAAGAAAAGAAACATTAAAGATCAGAGCAGAAATAAATACAATTGGAGACTAAAAAATTACAAAAGATTAATGAAATAAAAAGTTGGTTTCTTGAAAAGATAAAGAAAATTCACAAACTTTTAGCTAGATTAACTAAGAAAAAATAGAGAAGACCCAAATAAATAAAATCAGAAACAAAAAGGGAGACATAACAACTGAGACCATGTTAGCAAGTACAAAGAATCATTAGAGACTATTATGAACAACTATATCCCAACAAACTCAAAAACCTAGAAGAAATGTATAAATTCCTGGACACACGCAGCCTACCAATATTGAATCATTAAGAAATAGAGAACCTGAACAAACCAAAGATGAGTAATGTTATCAAAGCCATAACAAAAAGTCTCCATCAAAGAAAAGCTCAGGACCGTTTGACTTCCTCTTTTCCTAATTGAATACCCTTTATTTCCTTCTCCTGCCTAATGGCCCTGGCCAGAACTTCCAACACTATGTTGAATAGGAGTGGTGAGGGGAAGTCAAATTGTCCCTGTTTGCAGACGACATGATTGTATATCTAGAAAACCCCATTGTCTCAGCCCAAAATCTCCTTAAGCTGATAAGCAACTTCAGCAAAGTCTCAGGATACAAAATCAATGTGCAAAAATCACAAGCATTCCTATACACCACCAACAGAGAGAGAGCCAAATCATGAGTGAACTCCCATTCACAATTGCTTCAAAGAGAATAAAATACCTAGGAATCCAACTTACAAGGGATGTGAAGGACCTCTTCAAGGAGAACTACAAACCACTGCTCAAGGAAATAAAAGAGGATACAAACAAATGGAAGAACATTCCATGCTCATGGGTAGGAAGAATCAATATCGTGAAAATGGCCATACTGCCCAAGGTAATTTATAGATTCAATGCCATCCCCATCAAGCTACCAATGCTTTTCTTCACAGAATTGGAAAAAACTACTTTAAAGTTCATATGGAACCAAAAAAGAGCCTGCATCACCAAGTCAATCCTAAGCCAAAAGAACAAAGCTGGAGGCATCACACTACCTGACTTCAAACTATACTACAAGGCTACAGTAACCAAAACAGCATGGTACTGGTACCAAAACAGAGATATAGATCAATGGAACAGAACAGAGCCCTCAGAAATAATGCCGCATATCTACAACCATCTGATCTTTGACAAACCTGAGAAAAACAAGCAATGGGGAAAGGATTCCCTATTTAATAAATGGTGCTGGGAAAACTGGCTAGCCATATGTAGAAAGCTCAAACTGGATCCCTTCCTTACACCTTATACAAAAATCAATTCAAGATGGATTAAAGACTTAAACGTTCGACCTAAAACCATAAAAACCCTAGAAGAAAACCTAGGCAATATCATTCAGGACATAGGCATGGGCAAGGACTTCATGTCTAAAACACCAAAAGCAATGGCAACAAAAGCCAAAGTTGACAAATGGGATCTAATTAAACTAAAGAGCTTCTGCACAGCAAAAGAAACTACCATCAGAGTGAACAGGCAACCTACAACATGGGAGAAAATTTTCGCAACCTACTCATCTGACAAAGGGCTAATATCCAGAATCTACAATGAACTCAAACAAATTTACAAGAAAAAAACAAACAACCCCATCAAAAAGTGGGCAAAGGACATGAACAGACACTTCTCAAAAGAAGACATTTATGCAGCCAAAAATCACACGAAAAAATGCTCATCATCACTGGCCATCAGAGAAATGCCAATCAAAACCACAATGAGATACCATCTCACACCAGTTATAATTGCAATCATTAAAAAGTCAGGAAACAACAGGTGCTGGAGAGGATGTGGAGAAATAGGAACACTTTTACACTGTTGGTGGGACTGTAAACTGGTTCAACCATTGTGGAAGTCAGTGTGGCGATTCCTCAGGGATCTAGAACTAGAAATACCATTTGACCCAGCCATCCCATTACTGGGTATATACCCAAATGACTATAAATCATGCTGCTATAAAGACACATGCACACGTATGCTTATTGCGGCACTATTCACAATAGCAAAGACTTGGAACCAACCCAAATGTCCAACAATGATAGACTGGATTAAGAAAATGTGGCACATATACACCATGGAATACTATGTAGCCATAAAAAATGATGAGTTCATGTCCTTTGTAGGGACATGGATGAAATTGGAAATCATCATTCTCAGTAAACTATCGCAAGAACAAAAAACCAAACACCACATATTCTCACTCATAGGTGGGAATTGAACAATGAGATCACATGGACACAGGAAGGGGAATATCACACTCTGGGGACTGTTGCGGGGTGGGGGGAGGGGAGAGGGATAGCATTGGGAGATATACCTAATGCTAGATGACGAGTTAGTGGGTGCAGCACACCAGCATGGCACATGTATACATATGTAACTAACCTGCACAATGTGCACATGTACCCTAAAACTTAAAGTATAATAAAAAAAAAAAAAAGAAAAGCTCAGGACCTGATGGTTTCACTGCTGAATTCACCAAATAATTAAAGAACCACTAATGCCAATTCTACTGAAACTCTTCAAAAGAAATTGAAGAGTTGGGAATACTTCCAAACTCACCAGCATTACACGGATACACAGGATGAGGACACACACACACACACACACACACACACACATTCTCTCTCTAAACCTATTGGCCAATACCCCTGATGAACATTGATGCAAAAATCCTCAACAAAATACTAGCCAACCAAATTCATAATCAGTTGGGATTCATCCCAGGAATATAAGAATAGTCCAACATATGCAACACAGTAAACGTGATACATCACATTAACAGACTCAAGAACAAAAGCCATATGATTATTCCAATACATGCTGAAAAAGCATTTGACAAAATTCAACATCTCTTTATGATAAAAGCCTTCAACAAACCGGGTATAGAAGGAAGATACCTCAAAACAATAAAGGCATGTGTGTGTGTATATATATATATATATATATATATATATATATGACAAACTCCTAGCTAACATCATACTGAATGGGGAAAAATTGAAAGCCTTCCCTCTAAGATCTAGAAAAAGATAAATGTTCCCACTTTAACCACTTTTATTCAACAGAATCCTTGGAGTCTTACCGAGAGAAATTAGGCAAGGACAACAAATAAGAGGGCATCCAAATTAAAAGGGAAGAAGTCAAAATAGCCTTGTCTGTAGATGGCATTATCTTATATTTAGTAAAACCTAAAGATTCCACCAAAAAACGTTTATAACTGATAAACAAATTCAATAAAGTTTTAGGATACAAAATCAACCAACAAAAATCAGTAGTATTTGTATACGTCAACACAAGCAATCTGAATAGGAAATCAAAAAAGCAATCCCATCCACAATAGCTACAAAGAATATAAAATAAATATATAGGAATCAACTTAACCAAACATGTGAAAGTTCTACACAAGGAAAATTGTAAAACAGTGGTGCAAGAAATTGAAGAGGACACAAAAACAATGGAAAGATATTCCATGATCATTAATTGAAAGCAAAAATATAGTTAAAATGACAATACTACCCAAAGCAGTTTACAGATTAAATGAAATCCTTATCAATATTAATGACACTTTTCACAGAATTTCTTTTAAAACCAATTCCAAAATTTATGTGGGGCCACAAAAGATCTCCAAATAGACAAAGTCATCCTGAGCAAAAGGAACAGATCTGGAGGCATCACACGGCTTCAAGATATACTGCAAAATTATTTAAAACAAATCAGCATGGTACTGGCATAAAAACAGACACATGGGCCACTGGAACAGAATAGAGAACCCAGATATAAATTCATGCTTTTACAGCTAACTCATTTTTAACAAAGTTGCCAAGAACATACAATAAGTAAAGCACAGTCTCTTCAACAAATGGTGCTGGGAAAACTGAGTAACCATATACAGAAGAATGATACTAGGCTCTTAACTCTCACCATATACAAACGTCAAATCAAAATGGATTACAGACTTAAACGTAAGACCTAAAACTATGAAACTATTCGACAAAAAGATTGGGGAAATGCTTCAGGACATAGATCTATGCAAAGATTTAGGGCTAAGATGTCAAATGCACAGGCAACAAAAGCAAAAATAGAACAGTGAGATTACATCAAGCTAAAGAGCTTCTGCACAGCAAAGGAAGCAATCAACAAAGTGAAAAGGCAACTCTCAGAATGGGAGAAAATAGTAACAAACTATTCATCTGAAAAGTGATTAATATACAAAATATACAAGGACTTCAAACAACTCAACTGCAAAACAACAACAACAACAACAACAAAACACAAATAATCTAATCTAATTTTAAAAATGGGCAAAAGAGCTGAATAGACATTTATCAAAAGAAGTTATACAAATGGCCAACAGGTATATGAAAAAATGCTCAATATCACTAATTATCAGAGATATGCAAATTAAAACCACAATGAGATATCATGTCACCCAAGTAAAGTTGGGTTTTATAAAATGACAGGGAGCTGGACATGGTAGTTAATGCCTATAATCCAACATTTTGGGAGGCTGACGTGGGAGAATCACTTGAGCCCAGGAGTTTGAGACCACCTTGGGCAACATAGTGAGAATTTATATCCAAAAAAATTTAAAAATTAGCCAGGCATGACAGCATGTGCCTGTAGTCTTAGCTCCTTGGGAGGCTGAGGTGGGAGGATTGCTTGAGCCCAGGAGGTCAAGGCTGAAGTGAGCTATGATCACACTATTGAACTCCAGCACAGGCAACAGACTGAAACCCTATCTCAATGTGTGTATATATATATATATATATCATATATATATATGATATATATATATGATATATATATATCATATATATATATATATTTTAAAAGTAAAAAGACAAGGAATAATGGATGCTGGCAAGTGTGTGGAGAAAGGGGAATGCACGGCTGAACACAGTGGTGTGCACCTGTAGTCCCAGCTACTGGAGAGGCTAAGGTGAAAGAATTACTTGAACCCAGGACTTCAAGACCAGCCTAGCCAATATAGCAAGACCCTGTTTCAAAAACAAAATTTTTAAATAGGGAAATGTTCATATGCTGTTTGTGGAAATGTAAATTACCACAGTCAATATGGAAAGCTATATGGAGGTTCCTCAAAAAACTAAAAATAGAACTATCATATGATCCAGTAATTCTGCTACTGGATATATAACCAAAAGAAGGAAATTCGGTATACTGAAGAGACATCTGCACTGCCATGTTTATTGCAGCACTATTCACAGTAGCCAAAATATTGAATTAACCTTGGGGTCCATCAATGGATGAGTGGATAAGGAAATCATGGAATATATACACAACAAATTTTTGCTCAGCCATAAAAAGATAAAGTCCTGCCATTTGCAGCAACATAGATTGAACTGGAAGCCATTATGTTAAGTGAAATAAGCCAAGCACAGAAAGACAAATATCACATATTCTCACTCATACGTGGGAGCTACAAAAGTGAATCTCATGAAGATAGAGAATAGATTGATTGCTACCAGAGGCCAGGAAGGATAGGAGAGAAGAAAGTATGAGAGAGTTTGCTTCTAACCTCCAATCTGCCCTTGTTCATTCCTGGACATACGTCAAGCTGACTATGGGAGGAATTTATAGTTTACCTTTAAAACAAAAATGATAACAGCCCTTTCCCAAAACAAACCTCCTCCTTGCTTGGGGATCAAACCTCCTTTGCAAAACTAACAAATTGGCCAGAAGATTAGAAATTATAACTTTGGAGTCATGCAGCCAGGAGACACAGGATTCCTAACCTTCCCTTCCCAATTGCTGCTATAGATAAGATCACTAGTAGGAAATCTAAAATTGGTGTTTGAGGTGTTTTTCAGACCCTGCATTTTGATAGACCAGCCGGTGCCACCCAGACCAATAAATTGGCTCATCTGGTCCTGTGGCTCCCTTCCAGGAACTGACTCAGTACAAGAAGACAAGCTCCAACTCCCTATGATTTCATCCCTGACCCCAAAAATCAGCATTTCCCATACTCTATCCCCCTGCCCACCAAACTATCCTTAAAAGATCCTTGCCTCTGAATTTTCAGGAAGGCTGATTTGAATAATAGTAAACTCCTGTCCTTCCACTTAGCTGGCTCTGCATTTATTAAACTCTTTCTCTATTACAAAAACCTGATGTTCTCAGTATGTTGGTTTTTCTGGGCAGTGGGCAAGATAAACCTGTCAGGTGATTACATACTTTTAAGATATTCTCTTCTTGGTGTTTGAGTTTTATCCCTGCTTTGTGGTCCCTTTCAATCTGCAAACATACGTCTTTATTTAATTCTAGGGTCCCTTTTTAGAGAAAACTTTCTTCTATTATTAGTTTGATTGTTACCCTCTGTTTGTTTTATTAATAGCTTTTTTTAATTCATTCAAATTTACAAACAAATATTGGAACACTTGCATTGATTTTATAAATTTATATTTTCTATCTCAGATATTTTATTCCATTATTTTTGCCTGTGCCTCATTTTTTTCTTCCAACTCCTTGATTGACATTTCTTAGTTTGGTATTTATAATTTTTAATTTCCAAGATACCTTTATTCTATATTTGCTTCTTTTTCATAGCAGCCTGCTCTCATTTTATCAGTTGTATTATTTCTTAAATGTTTCCGAGGATAGAATTTTTATCTTTTGTTCTTTAGATTTTATGTGATTCTTCTAAGAATAATTATTCCATTAGTTCATGTTGGTCCTACCAAAAAGAAAAAAAAATGTTTTTTTCTCAAATACCTACAGATTCTTAGTTGCTCATTCATATATATGAATTAATGACTAAGTAGCATAGGTTTCCTGTGTGTTTACATATATATGTTTCCTCAATGGTTTCCTTCTCTGAATGAAAGAGATCACCATCAGCTCTGTGTATGCAGAGAGAGTATATCATTGACAGACTGCCTTTGCTTTATAGTTTGTAGCTGAAAAGTGAGCAGGCACTCCCACCCCTCATTCCAAAATGAGGAGTGTTTTACTGTGAAGTTCCATTCCTGTTAAAATAAGTGGATATTTTTAGGATTCCTGTCTTATTTTTTTTGTAATTTAGATCTCATTATAATTGAAGGTTAAATTTCATAACTGCATATAAAGAGGGCCTGACTGGTTAAAGCGCCCCAAAACAGTCATTTTAATAATCATTCCACTTGTTACTCCTTATACCTGCTTACCCTGAATTTGCAGCCGTTTTATGAAATTCCATCTATTCTGTAGCTTTCTCCTGTGTCTGTACTTGGAAGTAACTTTTGATGTAGTTTATCCACCAATAAAATGTATGTGCCTTTCCAAATCCAGAAATGCACACATATTTAAATGTGGTAAGGCCTATTCCTCTCATCTTTGGTGCTGTAACAAATTTATTACAATTCGTATTCCTTTATTGACATTTTAAATAGGGCATTTGGAAGGAGGGGAGAAAAACACATATGTTCAGCAAAAGCCAATATACATTATTTTTAGTTTTTATTTTTTTTCCTTTTTCTTTCTTTTTTTAACTTTTATCTTAAGTTCAGGGGTACATGTGCAGGATATGCAGGTTTGTTACATAGGTAAACTTGTGTCATGGGGGTTTGTTGTACAGATGATTTCATCACCCAGGTATTAAGCCTAGTACCCATTAGTTATTTTTCCTGATCTTCTCCCTTGTTCCATCCTCCACCCTCCAAAAGGCCCCAGTGTGTGTTGTTGTCCTCTACATGTTCATGTGTTCTCATCATTTAGCTCCCACTTGTAATTGAGAACATGAATTTGATGTTCTGTTCCTGCATTTGTTTGCTAAGGATAATGGCCTCCAGCTCCATCCATGTCCCTGCAAAAGACATGACCTTGTTCTTTTTTACGGCTGAATAGTATTCCATGGTTTATATGTACCACATTTTCTTTATCCAGTCTATTATTCATGGACATTTAGGTTAATTCCATGTCTTTGCTATTGTAAATAGTGCTGCAATGAACATATGCATTCATGTGTCTTATAATAGAATTATTTATATGGGGGGGGTGAGTCTATACCCAGTAATGAGATTGCTGGATCGAATGGTATTTCTGTCTTTAGGTCTTTGAGGAATTGCCATATTCAATTTCTGGTTATCTACCCATTTTCTTAAAAGATCTATATTATTGTAGATCCTGCCAAGTACTTATAATATATGCTAGTGAGTGCATTGAAACCTGGCTGATATCTCAAGGATAAAGACAAAGGCAACCAAATTGAAAGATATTTTATGTTACCTTATGCATGTATGTGTAATTTCATATTCCTATGAAGAAGTAAAGATAAATATCTCCATATTTGGACTATAAATTTTATTAAGTATAAATAAGATGTATTATTTTCCAAGATAGTGGATTGGAAGCAGTGTTAGCATGCCTCTCCCACTGGGAAAGATAAAGTAGTGTGTAGAGATTCACACTGCAAACTTTTTTCCAAGAAACAACACAGGAACTTAACAGAAAGACTGAAAGAAACCACAGTCCCTTTGAAAGAAGCATCAGACTGCAGCCTACACCATGAACCAGGAGAAAAACTGTAAGTCCCCAGAGTGTAAGATGGGGATAAACAGCCTCTGGCATATACACTCTCACTGGGGAACTTGGCAATGTAGGCCATAAGGGAAGATCTTAACCCTACTAGCACTGGAGCTAATTTAGTGAGCAGTGGGGAGTATATGAGAAGAAGTGGCATCTGGATACGCTTTGCATGCACTCCCAGTCTCCAGCAGGATGGAAGGAAGCCACTCCTGATTCTACCTCACAGGGGACCACCTAGAAGTCTTCCAACTAATTCGGGCAGTAATCACTGGATGAGAAAACCTCTCAACTGAGATTTGCAATAATCTTGAGTGGGGATGAACTCCCTTGTGCAAAACTGAGGGGTGGGTAGAAAATGTGCCACAGCCATGGGCACAGGAGCTGGGTGCCCCTGCCTCATGGGCAGACCAAGTGGGGCATGGCTCAGTTTCTGTTTCCATGGGGAAGGCTTATGGCCTGGGGTGTTTTGAGTTCTGAGCATAGACTGCCTGGAGCCTAGCTAACTGCTGCTAGCAGAACACAGCTGGTGTGAGACCTGCCTTGCAATGTGTGCGGGAGCTGGATGGGGCTTACTGTTGCCTGCTACTTCCCACTCCCAATGTGGACTCTTCCGTACAGCAGAGGAAGCTGCACTCTTCCCTATAACATTACCCCAGCAGCCAGAGAACTGCCCTCCAATGCTCACTGGGGCTGCTGCTTGCCCTGCACATGGAGAGCCCTGACACATAGACTTTCCTGATCCAGCCCCTACCTGGCTTTGCCCCTCAACAGGCCCTGGCAGCTTAACACAAAAGACAGAAACTTTTGGGACCTCTCTGGCCCCACCCATTGCCTGAAACACCAGAAAACCTCCCCGGGTAACATAAGGCAAGCACAGATCCCACCACTACCACCACAGCTGGGCTCCTTTGTAAGCACCAACTCCTGGCTGGAGGCCAACCAACACAGTCCATGACAGCATCTGCAAGTAGAATAATGCAGTGCCCAGAAAGGAGAAAACTTGTGTGTGACCTCAGCTATCATCATTGCCTGCATCACCCTGGCTAATACAGAGGTCCTGAGTCTGCACATTTGACTAGATCATTAATACTACAACCAGTATTTGAGAAATTCAAAACTCTAATGCTATTTATAACCAAGAAATTTCACAGTCTCCATCACTGCCCTGCCATCCCCATAAGAGCTCGTGCTGGTAAACACTGCTATGAGACTTGAGGACAGCTCACATCACTGGATGGGACCAGACATCCCCAAACATCAGCCTGGTGTGTGGCAGCCCCACTGGGTAGCTAGACCCAGAAAAGCAGCAGCATTCATAGTAGTTTGGTTCTCAGGGCCTGCTACTCCTATGGAAAGGGAGAGTGCACCACATAAAGGGAACACTCTGTGCGACAAAAGAGTTCAAATAGGCCTGCAGTCCCAGAACCTTCCACTTGCAGAAAGTTTCCTTCAGCAGAGCCACAGGTGCAGTATTGGGCTCAGCGAGGAGTCTGTAGCTCTTCAACAGTCGGGCAGCCCTGGTGCTCATAAATGATCTTAAAAAAGGGGAATTCTTTTCCCCATCATCTACCACTGCATACACATCTGGGGCTTCCCCCATTGGAGCTCAGCATGGGTGCACCTGTAGATAGCCTTTCTGGAACACTTCATGGTGACCAGATCCCCACAGGAGGAGTGCCCTCCTGATTCAGGTTTGTATGAGGGGTAGAATCACAATCCCACCCACCCTCCATGATACATCAGCATTTCTGCAGAAGAAAATAGGTGCCTGTATGATCTGAGCAGCTGAAACACTGAGTCAGGAGGGTGACTGGAAGGAGGATGCTTTTCTGCTAGTCTGGAAGGGAAACTGAGGTGGCTCCCTCCCTTACCCCTGAAAAGACCTCAGTACACTTCACTAAGAGCTCCCAAAACACCTCTGTCAAGGCTGGAACCACTGCCAACTGTTGGGTATTTGCATTTACCCATTTGCTTTATCAACAATCAGTTTTTACCTGTGGAAACCTCCACTACTGGACTGAAGCATGAAGTGGTCAAACCAATAAATAAAATACTGGGTAATAAATAAATAAACAAGCAAATGAATGAATAAATAGGTGCACATCACTGGGGAATGAGATAAGCTTCAAGAAACCTCTGTCATTCCAACCTCACGGGAGAGAGTGAATCTGCTCATCCAAGGAGCACATTGCTACTACAACCAGCATCTGAGAAAGCCATTATACAAAGACTCTCTATAAACAAGTCATTCATATAGAGTCTTCACCCATGAAAGCAACAAATGCTGAATTACGTTACAATAAACTATAAATATTAAAGTCACATCCTTAAGGGAGGAAAAAGAAATTAAAAAACACAGTCAAACCAAAAACAAAGTTAAGAGTAATTAGAATATACAGTCTACCCAAATGAGAAGGAACCAGAAAAACAATTCTAGCAATGTGACAAAACAGGGTTCTGTAACACCCCTAAAATATCACACTAGCTACCCAGCAGTGGATCAAAACCAAGATTAAACCTTTGAAATGCCAGATAAGGAATTCAAAAGGTTGATTATTAAGCTACCTGATGAAATACAAGAGAAAGTTGAAAGCCAACATAAAGAAACTTAAAAAACAATTCAAAATATGAATTAAAAAATTAGAGATCTGGATATTATAAAGAAAAAACCGTCAGAACTTCTGGAAATGAAAAGCACTTTTGGGGAATTACAAAATTCAGTGGAATGTTTTAGCAATAGACTAGACCAAGTAGAAGAAAAAATTTCAGAGCCTGAGGACAAGGCTTTTGAATTAACACAGTCAGACAAAAATGAAGAAAAAAGAATGAAAAGAAATAAACAAAGTCTCCAAGACATATGGGATTATGTATAATGGCCAAACCTAAGAATCACTGGTGTTCCTGAGAGAGAAAAGAAAGCAACATTTTGGAAAACTTATTTGAGGGAATAAATGAGAAAAAATTCCCTGGCTTTGCTAGACATTTAAACATCCCAAATACAAGAAGCTAAAAGAACTCCTTGCAGATTCATTGCAAAAATGACATCACCAAGGCATACAGTCATCAGGCTATCTAAAGTCAATGTGAAGGAAAGAATTCTAAGAGCAGGAAGACAAAAAAAAGAATTCTAAGAGCAGGAAGACAAAAGCATCAGGTAACCTATAAAGGAAAAACTATCAGACTAACAGCAGACTTCTCAGCAGAAACCTCACAAGCCAGAAGGGATTTGGGTCCTTTCTTTAGCCTCCTTAAACAGAAGAACTGTCAGCCAGAATTTTGTATCCAGCAAAACTAAGTTTCATAAACGAAGAAGAAATTGTCTTTTTCAGACAAGCAGATGCTGAGGGAATTTTCCACTATCCTATGAGCCTTACAAGAAACACTAAAAAGAGTTCTCAGTCTTGAAACAAAAGGTTGTCATGCAACAGAACAGAACCTCTTGAAAGCATAAAACTCACATGACCTAAAGAACAAAACACAATGAAGAAAACAAAGTATCTAGTAACAATCAACATGATTAATGGACCAGTACCTCACATCTCAATGTTAACATTGAATGCAAATGGTCTAAATGTTCCACTTAAAAATACACATTGGGAGAATGGATAAAAAGTCACAAACCAAATATTTGCTGTCTTCAAGATACTCACCTAACATGTAAATCTTCTTATAGGCTCAAGGTACAGGGATGGAAAAAATAAATTATATGCAAATGGAAATGAAAAGTGGGTAGGAGTAGCTGTTCTTGGATAAAACAAACTTTAAAGTAACAACAGTAAAAAAGGAAAAAGAAAATCATTGTATGATGAAAGGCTCAATCCAACAAGAAGATATTACAATCATTAATACATATATACCTAACCCTAGAGCTCCCAGGTTCATGAATAAATTACTAGTAGACCTAAGAAAGGAGATAGACATCAACATAATAATAGTGGGGCACTTCAACACCCCACTGACAGCACTAGAAAGGTCATCAACGCAGAAAGTCCAGAAAGAAACACTGGAGTTAATCTACACTCTAGAACAAATGCACATAACAGATATTTACAGAACATTCTACCCCAAAAGTGCAGAATATACATCCTTTTCATCAGCACATGGAACATTCTCCAAGATAGGCCACATGATAGGCCACAAAACTAGTCACAATAAATTTAAGAAAATCAAAATCATATCAAGTATCTTCTCAGACCACAGTGGAATAAAACTGAAAATCAACTCCAAAAGGAACTCTCAAAACTATACAAATACATGGAAATTGCACAATCTGCTCCTGAATGACTTTGGGTTAAAAATGAAATCAAGATAGAAATTAAAAAATCCTTTGAAATGAATGATAATAGTGACACAACTTATCAAAAACTCGGGGGTACAGCAAAGGCAGTGCCAACAGGAAAGCTTATAGCACTAAATGCTGACATTAAAAAGTCTGAAAAATCACAAATTATTAATAACAACCTAATGTCACACCTCAAGGAACTAGAGAAACAAGAACAGATCAAATCCCAAGCTAGCAGAAGAAAATAAATAACAAAAATCACAGAATATCTAAATAAAATTGGAACCAAAAAAATTCAAAAGATAGATGAAACAAAAAGTTTTGTTATTTGAAAAGATAAACCAAATTGATAGACCATGGCTAGACTAACTAGCATGAGAAGAGAGAAGATTCAAATAAGCTCAATTAGAAATGAAAATGGAGACTTTACAACCAAGACCAAAGAAATACAAAAGATCATTTGAGACTACTATAAACACCTCCATGCATACAAACTAGAAAATTTAGAGAAAATAGATCAATTTTTGGAAATATACAAACCTCCTGGCTTGAATCAGGAAGAAATACAAATCCTGAAAAGACCAATAACAAAACAGCGAGATTGATTCAGTAATTTTAAAAATTGCCAGCAACAACAACAAAATGCCCAGAGCCAGATGGATTCACAGCTGAATTCTACTAGACATTCAAAGAATTGGTATCAATCCTACTCAATCTATTCCAAAAAATTAAGAAAGGGAATCCTCCCTAAATCATTCTATGAAGCCAGTATCACTCTGATACCACAACCAGGAAAGGACATAATAAAAAATGAAGACTACCAACCAATATCTCTGAGGAACATAAATGCAAAAATCCTCAACAAAATACTAGCAAACAAAATCCAAAAGCACATCAAAAATATAATACACCATGATAAAGTGGGTTTCATCCTAGGGATGTAGGGATATTTTAACATAAGCAAGTCAATAAATGTGATACATCACACAAAGAGAATGAAAACAAAAAACATATTCATCTCAATAGATGCAGGAAAAGCATTCAATAAAATCCAGAATTTCTTTATGAGAAAACCCTCAACGAACTAGGCATCGAAGGAACATACCTCAAAATAATAAAAGCTATATATGACAAACCCACAGCCAACCACATACTGAATGGAGAAAAGTTGAAACTATTCCCCCTAAGAATTGGAACAAGACAAGGGTGCCCACTTTTACCACTTCTATTCAACATAATACTGGAAGTTCTAGCCAGAACAATCAGGCAAGAGAAAGAAATAAAGTGCATCCAAATTGGAAAAGAGGAAGTCAAATTATCTCTCCTGTCCAGTGATATGATTGTATACCTAGAAAATCCTAAAGGCTCCTTCAAAAGACTTCTAGATTTGATAAATGAGTACAGTATAGTCTCAGGTTACAAAATCAATGTAAAAAATCAGTAGCACTGCTATACAGCAACAACAACCAAGCTGAGAATCAAATCAAGAAATCAATCCTTTTTAGATAGCTTTAAAAAAAATACATAGGAATATACATAACCAAAGAGGTGAAAGGTCTCTACAAGGCGAACTACAAAACACTGCTGAAAGAAAATAGAGATGACACAAATGGAAATACAACCCAAGCCCATGGATTGGAAGAATTAATATCATGAAAATGACCATACTGTCCAAAGAAATCTACAAATTCAATGCAATGCCCATGAAAATACCATTATCATTCTTCACGGAACTAGAAAACACAATCCTAAAATTCATATGGAACCAAAAAAGAGTCCACATATTCAAAGCAATACAAAGCAAAAAGAACAAATCTGGAGGCATCACATTACCTGACTTCAAATTATACTACAAGCCTATAGTTGCCAAAACAGCATGGTACTGGTATGAAAGTACATACATAGACCAATGGAACAAAATAGAGAACCCAGAAATAAAGCAAAATACTTACAGCCAACTAATCTTTGACAAAGCAAACAAAAACACAAATTGAGAAAAGGACACCCTATTCAATAAATGGTTCTGGAAAAATTCAAGCTATATGTAAGAGAATGAAACTAGATCCCTGTCTCTCACCTAATACAAAAATAAACTCAAGATGGATCAAAGACTTAAATCTCAGACCCGAAACCACAAACATCCTAGAAAAAAACTAGGAAAAGCTTTTCTGGACATTGGCCTATACAAAGAATTTATTACTAAGACCCCAAAACCAAACATAACAAAAATAAATAAATAGGTCTTCATTAAACTAAAAAGCTTCTGCTCAGCAAAATAACTAATCATCAGAGTAAACAGACAACCCACAGAATGGGAGAAAATATTTGCAAGCTATGCATCTGACAAAGGACAAGTATCCAGAATCTACAAGGAACTCAACTAAATCAGCAAGAAATAAGCAAGTAATTCCATCAAAAAATGGGCGAATAACATGAATAGACATTTATCAAAAGAAGATATACAAATGGCCAACAAATATATGAAAAATGCTCAACATCATTAATCATGCAAATTAAAACCACAGTGAGATACCACTCTACTCCAGTGATCGTAGCCACTAATAAAAAGTTAAAAAAAAACAATAGATGTTGGTGTAGATGTGGTGAAAAGAGAACACTTCTACACCGCTGGTGGGAATGCAAATTACTACAACCTCTGAAAAACAGTATGGGGATTTCTTAAAGAAGTAAAGGTAGATCTACCATTCAAACCAGCAATCCCATTATTGGGTATCTACCCAAAGGAAAAGAAATCTTTATATGAAAAAGACACCTGCATGCATATGTTTATCGCAGTAAAATTCACAATTGCAAAGATATGGAACCAACCTAAGTGCCCATCAACCAATGAGTGGATAAATGAAATGTCACATACATACACCATGGAATACTACACAGCCATAAAAAAGAATGAGATAATGTCTTTTGCAGCAACTTGGATGGAACTGGAGGCCATTATTCTAAGTGAAGTAACTCAGGAATGGAAAACCAAATACCATATGCTCTCACTTATAAGTGGGAGCTAAGCTATGGGTATGCAAAGATATACAGAATGGTATAAGGGACTTTGGAGACTCAGAAGGGAGGAGGGTAGGAAATGTCTGAGGGAAAAAACTTACATATTAGATACAATGTACACTACTTGGGTGATGGGTGCACTAAAATCTCAGATTTTACAATACAATTTATCTACATAACCAAAAACCACTTGCATCCCAAAAGCTATTAATATATATATGTAATTAATAAATACATAAAAATAAACTAAATGTAACTGTTTATACATATTTATACACTAGCTATTTTTCTGTCATTGACAATCTTTCTCTTTTGTTCATGTAACTTATAGCCATGATTCACTCATTCAACAAGAATACAGCAGTGAACAAGAGAGATCTCTGATTTTTATGAAGTTTACAAACTGTGATAAAGATACACCATAAACATGTAAGCCAACAAACAACTAAATAATGATAAATTGTATGAGTATATATGAACAAAACAAGTTACATATGAAGACAGCAAATAGGTTTCTGAGATTGAAAATATAGACTGTTATAAAAGCAAAAATGATTCAATTTCCTACCACCCATAGTAGTAGAAACTGAGGAACTGAGAAACATTACTGACGTTTTCAACTCCCTGGAAGTCACTGGCCAGGCTTCATGTACCAGGCTTTATATACTATGTCACAACTCAACATATGCCATCCGAAAAGATGCTAAGATTACATCTATTTCTTTATCCTGAAGCTAATATTCAATCTATACATCTCTCATGAAAATAAATATGTAAACTGGTGAATAAAACAATATTCACTTACCAGAAATGTGCCAGATTAAATGATGGTGGGAAGGGAAGAATCTACAAAAATATATTAATATGGAGACACTAATGAGCTTTAAAATGATGCACTGTGAACTCACTAGGTGAAATTGGCTATCTGCCAGCCACAGTAATAATATTTTGTGTACCAAATGGCATATTTGAGGTCAGAACAAAGTTTATTCCAAAGCAGTCAAATATTTCATTATTACTTTTGCTTTTATCTCTTAATTTTTCAAAGGTTTTTTTAAGCATGTTCTCATCGATCAGACTTAAGGTGTCTTGCTAGAATGTGTAAAGATAACAAACTGATCATAAATTACAATTCTATAACACTAACTGTCTGGCTTTAAAATGTTCTCAGCTTAAATGCAAATTGAGCGCAAATTCATTCCTCCCTTTCCTTCCTGCTCCTCCCACCCCACCCTACTCATTAGCACTAACTCTGAAACCGTGACATTTATAGGCGCACACAAGGAATCTTACATATTCTAAATCTATGAAGAACTGATTTTGATCATTTTTTTGCGTATATTTTCCTTCATGACCTTTTACATAAATCATGACTGTGACAAAAGGGTCAGTTTGTTTCTTCATATTGATACCTACTTGAAAGGAAAATCTCTGAGAATATAAAGCTTTTACATAGCTTTGTGATCATCATTTTAAAATACTCATATTTTTCACCATGTGAGAAGCAGGGAGAGGTAGGAAGATGACTGTAAAATTCAGCTTTTCCTTTTCAAATTTAATCCATAGCAAATTATTGAACTACACTGGAGTTTTGATATATATTTATCTGTTGTCTTTCAAATTTCACATTATTATTAAAGTGCCTCAAAATGGTTGCATTAAAATTTGATTCTAGTATATTAATTTTTAAAATGTAAGCCAGTTACTTGTTTTAGATCTTTTATTTTTTCCAGCTGGTGTGCCAGAAGAATGTATTAAAATTGCAATATATATTTCTCTTATATATATACTAAATATTGTCCATTCAAGGCACACTAAAATGTTAACTCATATTTATATTTTGTCTGATACACATAAAATTCACATTTTTAAAATAGAAAAGATGTGCATGTTCAAGAAATTGCTATGCCTAATGGTGAAATTTCTCCTTGCTGTGGTTTCATTTAAACAAACCTGTAAAAAAAAAGCCCTTTTAATTTTGTAATAACAGCCTAAAATAAAGACTAAAGTAAAAACTAAAATAAAGAAAAATAAAATTTTTTTATATAACATAAAACTTACACTCAAAACTATGTTTATTCAAAACCTTTTGAAATTTCTGAGACATTCTGCTCGGTAAATTTGCATCTGGGAACCTTCTTTTTATTCAAAATTCTCATAACGTTCTGCAAATACTAAATCAATTTACATCTGAATGAAATGTAAGTACCAAAGGTGTATGTAATTGACATGACAGTTGAAGAAAATTGTATTCTAGCATATCCTAAAAATTAGGGGCTGTGATTTCAGAGAACTACCGATCCAATTGTCTGAGTTCATTCTTTGTTGTGGAAATTTTGCAAGAAATGTTTATTTATAAACAGAAGCCTGTTTTTCAAATTACTGATGTAAATAAAAGAGTACTCAATTTATTATCCTTGGAAAATGTGATTAATTTTAGTAGTACTCCTGGTGCAAGAATGCAAAATACTAAAAGGATTTCTATCAGTGACTCTTATTTGTTCACCAAGATGAGACTTGAGGGTTTTCACAGGGCTGTTCCTGCAATAATTATATCTTAACCAAATCAGCAGGAGTCTAACATGCTTAATCTTCCTACAAGGAGGATGTAGCAACTGAAATATCGATAGCTGTACTTTCTTCCACAGTGTTCCCCAGATACTGGTCTATTTATATGTTAATTGTCATAAGAAAGTTTTATATTATACAGTATGCTCCATCAGAAGTTGTATTTAAGTTCATAAAAATAATAGAATATGAGGCAATAAATAAAAGTGCTTTAGAACACTAGCCTTAGAATGAGACTGATCTGGTTTTTTAATCCTATTCGAGAACTCCCCATGCCTGTGAACTTGAGTAAGTTAACCCAAGTCTTATTTGGGTGAGTTAATCTCTCTTATTTTTCATTTGCCTCATCTCTAAAATGGGTATTAGAATTTCTGTGTCACTGGATGTGAGAATTACATAAAATAATGCATTCGATGTGCTTAGAACAATGCCTGCTACATAGTATATTCTTAATAGATATTATTGATATTTGCTACCTAACAAAAGCATATTAGTATGCAGTGTGGCAATGAAAAATGAGAATTACTGTATAAGAAAGATTGTTCTGTCAGTTACTATTTCTGTGATCTTGAGCAACTTATTGAAATTTTATGTGCCTTCGTTTTTTCACACATAAAATGCAAATAATAGTACCAATTATCTCATAGGGTTGTTGTGAGGATTTGAATGAGATAATTCATGTAAACTGTTTAACATAGTGGCTGAGACATAATTAACACTCAGTAATCTGTTCGTGTGTGTGTGTGCGTGTGTGTGTTTAATTCTTAGTATCTTTCAGACTCCACCTAGCCCAATAACATGGAAAAATTCTCACTGTGACAAATCAAACTGTTAACAACATTTTTAAGAAAACTGAAAATGTGTGTACCTTATAGAGATCATTTTCTACGGAAAGTCTTCCAGCTAAAGTTTAATGAGTGGAAAGAGAATAAGCAAAGAACAAGATCAAAGAGCAGTGACATTTGCCAGGTTCTAACATCTTTATTATTAGATTCCTTGGGATATATTTTAATAGTCCAATTTCACCTATAAGCTCAAATAATTTCTAATATCATTTTATTAAAAATGTACAAATGCATATATCTAGATGTAACCATAAACTTTTAAATATATGTACAAAATACCATAGCATCAAAGGCTCTGACAGAGATTTTCCACCAGAAACACGCTTTTATTCACACTCGTCTAAAAAAAAAAAAACCCAGGTTCATCCATTCTTTAAAGCCTACATCAAAAACCAAATCCTCACTGAAGCCTTCCCAGATTCCATCACAAAAAAAAAGTCACTTTTATAAATTTTCATGGCTCTTTCATTATTCATATATTAATCACTCATAAAATCTACCTGTTTCATTTTTTCTGTATTTGTGTGTTTCTCTTATTTCCCAATTTAGGCTATAATCTGATGGAAGGCCCAGACTGAGTATTTTTATTTATCTTACAAATCATCTAGTCCAGTGTCCTGGACATAATGAACACTTTGATTATTTTGTATAATCATAAAATATTATAAATAGAAAATGTCAGAGGTAATCATATAATTCAAGAATTCTAATGATAACATTATGGAAGATAAGAAACAAAACTAGCTATATTTTAAAATATCCATAAATATAAAAACTCAATTCAAGTATAATTCTACCTCTTATATAACAGAATCAGTTTCACCCTCCGTTGGAAATTATGTTATTTTGGGTTGAAATGTCTGCACACTTTGTTCTCTTCACTTTTTAATGCTTTCTCCAAAAAGTCTTTCTTTTTCACTTTCACTGTTGACTACAATGATACAGTTAGTATTTCTTATAGAGGCAACTTTCCTTTCCAGGTAGTCTTATCAATAGTTGTGAAAAGAAATTTTAATACACAGGCTTAAGTTTCAGCTTTGAAAGATAATGTTTTTCTCCATATCATGTAGCTCCAACACAAACCAAAAGCATATAAGAAAAATCTGCTTCAAGTCATAATGGAATAACTGAAACCACACTTGCCCCCCTAACATAAACAAATAGAAAACTGACCAAAACGTATGAAACCATTTTTAGAAACTGATCAAACAGCAGCATAGGACTAGGATTCAAGAGACAAGGGAAAAAAAGAGATGATACCTATAATCACTTTGGTTCTACACCAGTGAGGTACTTTCCAGATCAGGATATAGAGAGGGAAAACCCAGGCAGAGCATAGCTGAGATTCACTGATTTGAGGAGACAGAAATCAGGGCGTGGGAGATTGCTGGAGCTAAAAATTACAGAGCTCCATACTGGAAAGGAAGGGTATTCACAGAAAAGAACTATAAATATCTGCATAGGGATCTATGTGTGTTTGTTGCTGAACATTATGCATAGAATGAAACAATATGAGGCGAGGCAAATAATGACTGAGGAGCCATAAGGTGGAGATTATACATTGGAGAGTTGCAATTAAGAGTCATGTCATTCAGTAGAGACCAAGGGAATGTCTTGCTCTAGTAGGGAGGCTAAATTAGCAGTAGAATAAAAGGGTATGCTAGAACCACTCTAGTAAGCTTAAAAGGAAAACTCAAAAGGATCAGGCTGTTGCACTAGTAACATAATTGCCTGCCATAAAATATAAAAGTGTTTTAAGACAACATAACAAAAGCTAGCACTCAACAAAGTAAAATTCCCATGTCCTTGAAAAAGAATAGACATGAAGAAGAAGAAAAATATGACCCATAAGCAGGAGAAAGACCAGTCAATAACGACAGAACCTGAAAACACAGACATGATGGGATACACAATAGAAATTTTAAAATGGCTATTATAAATATGCTAAATGATAAAAGAGAATAATAAACACCATTAAAAGATAAATGGAAGATAGAAAAAGAACCAAATGGGACTTTGTAGATGAAAAACACAATATCTAAAATAAAGGTATATTGAATAGGCTTAAATAAAGACAATATAGGAGAAAAGCTCAATGAATTTGAAGACAAAGCAATAGAAACTTTTCAAATTGAAGCACGGAGAGGAAAAAAAAAACCGAAAAATCTGAACTGAGCCTTAGGGACACATGGAAAAATATTCGGCAACCAAATATACATGTAATTGGAACTTGCTTTGATATTTTTTTAGAAAAGACCTGTCCAGAGGGACAAAGGTAAAAATAATGCCAGATTGTTGTTCAGAATATCTGCAATCCAGAAGACAATGAATAACATCATCACAGTGCTGAAAGATAGAACACTCTCCAACAAGAGTCTATAGTCAGTGAAAAACATGATGATGAAATACTCTGTCAAAGAAAAATACGCTAAAAGAATTTGCAGCTATCAAATCTTTACTACCAAAATGTTAAAAGAAGTTCTTCAAGCAGAAGGAAATGATACCTGGAGGAAATTTGTTTTCTATAGCAAGAAATGAAGAGCTACAGCAATAATAAATGCGTGGGTAAATGTAAAAGACTATTTTCTCATTTAAAATTTCTTTATAAGATAATTAATTATTCAAAGTAAAAATAATATCAAACTATTGTACCATTTATAATGTATGTTGAAGCGGGAAGCATAATCTTATAATAATCTTATGCATTGTTATATAATAGTATTTGAAGGTAGACTATGAAAATGTAAATGTACATATCATATACTCTAGAGTAAAATATATGGGATATATTGAAAAAAACACGGTGGTAGTTTTAAACCCAACTATATCAATAATTGTGTTAAAGGTAGTCTAAACACTCTAATTAAAAGGTAGTCAGAATTGATTTTTAAAAAGACCTAATGATATGACCTGAAACACGTACTTTAAAGATAAAAATATAGTTCCAATGTAAAAAAAAATGAAAAAGATAACATCATCCAAACATTATTCATAAAATGAATACAGTAGCTATATTAATATCAGGCAAAGTAGATTTCAGGAAAAAAAAATTGCCAGGTAAAAGAATAATATTTCCTAATAATTATAAGTTAATTCATTTAGAGTATATAATAATCCTAAATGTATAAGTACCTAGTTATAGAGCTTTAAATACATATAGAAAAACTGATATAACTGCATGGATAAATAGACAAATCCCAAATTGTCATTGGAAATTTCAAAATTCATTTCTTTGTAATCAATAGAACAAGTAAAAAGAAAATAAGGACGACTATAGAAGACTTAAACAATACAACAAATCAACTTGACTGAAGTGAAAATGTATAGAATACCTACCCAACAAGAGAACACACGTTTGTTTCAAGTTCACATGAAAAAGCCATAAATTGAGCCAGAAAACTTCAATTCATTACAAAGTAGTGAAATCATAGAGACAATCTTTTCTGACCATACTAGAATTAAATTATAGATCAACAGCAGAAATATATTCCCAGTCAACCCAACAGGAGACAGCTAAATTTTTATGGGCTTCACGTGTCAGAGGACAGAGCTGGAGACAAGCAGAGTGGCTGGAAATTAGGAGTTAATCTTAAAAACAAGGAAATTGCAGAGAGAAAGAGCTAAAACTCTGCCCAAATCAAGAAATGACTGCAAAATTATCCATGTACAAAAGACAAGTTGGAGGGGCCAAGCTGAAAAGAAGTACTCATGGAAGGCTTTAAGAATACAGCAACAGTGTTTTGTACATATTTTGTTTTGAGAGTGGATATTCTTACCTTCTTTCTCATCTTAGAGGGAAATAATCCGAATATTAGCTGTAGATTTGTCCATAGTTGTCCTTTACAGCTTGAGGAAGTTCCCTTCTTTTTCTATTTTTTCATCACGAGCGGATATTGAGTTGTTGTTGTTTTATTGTATTTGTTTTGCTTTGTTTTTGTTTTGCCTGTTCTCAAATTGCCAACTTTTTCTCACCCACAGTATACAGTGGCTGATATCTCTGCTCCATTATTAAACAAAAAGTTAACTGTAAAATGGCCTCAGGCAGGTCCTTTAGGAGGATTCCAAAAGGAAACATTGTTATCATAGGAGATGACAGACAGCTCCACGTGTGTTATTTTGCCTCTGAAGGTCCTCCAGTGGGACAAGATGTGGAGGTGTAAGTCAGAGATATTGGTGATCCTGACCTGATATAGACCTCAGCTAATATGTGTGTCTGTGTCTTAGTTTTTAACAAGAAAGTTTTAAAACTAAAAATAAAATTAAAACAAAAAAAGCTTATATAATAAAGATATTAAAAGTATTTTGTATAGTACGTTTTTATGTTTTAAGCAAAAGTATTATTACAAAAAAGTCAAACAGTTAAAAATGTATACATTCATAAAGCAAAAGGGTTATAGTAAGCTAATGTTAATTTATTATTGAAGAAAGGATTTTTATAAATTTAGCGTAGCTTAAGAGTACAGTGTTTATGAAGTCTACAGTACTATACAGTAATGTCCTAGGCCTTTACGTTTACTCACCATTCACTCTGACTCACCCAGAACAACTTCTTGTCCTGCAACTGCCATTTCTGGTAAATTTTCCTTATACACATATACTATTTTTAATCTTTTATATTGTATTTTTATTATACCTTTACTATGTTTGCCATACTGAATACTGTAGGCAATTGTAGCAATACAATTGTAGTAGGCTATGCCATCTAGGTTTGTGAGAGCACACTCTATGATGTTCATACAACAGGCAAATCACCTAAAGACACATTTCTCAGAGCATAGTCCCATCATTAAAGGACACATCTGTACATATAGAATAAAAAAATGAATGCTAAATCTTACCTCACACCATACACAAAAATTAACATGAAATGGCTCATAGGGCTAAAGATAAAAGCTAAAGCTATAAATCTTTGGGAACAGGGGTAGATAAAACAAACATGGCCCCTAGACCACATGTGGCCTACTGTTGGTGTTGGCAGGCACTTAAGCTAAGGAATTTTTAAATATTTTTAAAAGAGAAGAGGAGAGGAAAATATGCAACAGAGACCATATGTAAACCTCAAAGCCTAAAATATTTGTTATCTGGTCCTTCACAGAAAAATTTTTCTGACCAAATTACAGAAGGCAACAAAGGAGAACTTCTTTCCAACCTATAGATGGTCAAAGGGTTCATACATAATACACAAAAGGCACAAATCGTAAATGAAAACATCAATAAAGTGTACATCATACAAATTAAAAACTAACTTCAGCTCTTTGAAATACTGTTATTAATATGAAAAAGCAAGTAATTGATTGGAAGAAAAGATTCACAATTCACATACCTGTTGTGGGACTTGTATTCAGAGTATATAAATACTTCTTACAATTCAATAATTTACAAAGCACAACAAACACATTGGGAAGAGTTTTGAGAAGACACTTCATGGTAGAAGATATGAGTGTGGACAATAAGCCCATGAAAAGATGTAAACCATCATTAGTCACTCAGGAAATGAAAATTAAATGTACAATGGTGAAATTTATCATGGCTAAGATTTTTTAAAGATTTAAAATACCAAGTCATGGAGATGATGTGGTACAATCAAAACCCTTGTACCCTGCTGTTGGAGATGTAAAATGGTATATAATTTTGGAAAAATTTTGGTTGCCTGTGGCCAGGTTTAGAGAGAACAGACTAGAAAGGGAGCTTAAGGGAATATTTTGGGTTATGGAAATATTGTACATTTTTATTATTGTGATGGTTACACATGCATACATACATGTCAAAACTCGTTGAACTGTCATTTAAAATGGATATACCTTATTGTATATAAATTGTAACTCAAGAATTCTTTTAACTTAAATGCATATGAGAAAAGCAAGTAAAGTAATATAGGTGAAATAAAGACAAAATTTCAGGGCCTTGTTTTAGGCCTACTTTCGAAGCGAGATATTTCCCTGAAACCTTCGCAGGACTCACAACAAGGGTACCTCATTTACTCAGCCTGCCACTCTAAACTCCTCATAGGAGGGAGCACATGAGTAAAGGAGGTGGGAACTGGAGTGCACAAGCTCTGGAACTGGCAAGCCGCTTCTGCACTGGCAGGCGCGAACTCTGTGTGGGCCCCGCGGCAGCATCCAGATGGTAGTGCCTGCGACCCCCACATCCCCAGAGGGCGTGTTACAGTGCTTTTTTAGCTCTGCCATCCAGGGACAGCATAAGTGTTCACAGCTCAGTGGGCCCTTTGCCTTTTCACGTGAGGTGGCTGTCCGCCAGCAAGGGCAAAGAGCCAGTTTGACAGCCTTTTGTATCCACACTTGTGGCTCACAAGCTCTTGTCCAGCATCCAGGAAAAATGAGGTCACATGAACAAACTGAAGGATGGTAAATGCAGGGGATTTTATTGCCAATGAAAGTGGCTCTCAGTGGGAAGGGGAGCAGAAAAGGGGATAGGGAGGTAGGTAATCTGCCCCTAAAGTCCAACCATCTCCAGCCATCAAGCTGTCCCTCTGAAGTTAAGCCGCTTCTCTCCAACATCCAGCCACAGTCCCTGACGTTCAGCTGCTTTTCCTCTCTTCTGGCTGAGTCTGGAGCTTTTATAGGCACAGGACTAGGGGTGGGACAGGCCATGGGTAGTATAGGAAAAGGCAACATTCGAGTAGGAAAACAAGGATAGAAGTTCTCACTTTGGGCCATGGGCTTCAGGCTTTTTGGCTTGAAGGTGGGGTTTTGTCGGGGACCCACCCTTTTCTGCCTAAACTTTCTTGGCCCCCTGTCTCTATCACCTTCAAAAGTAATATAGGAAATTCTCAAAGGAAACTCCATTAGCAAAAATTAAGTGAAGAAGCTGCCAGGAATATCTTCATAGAAGTTTCTCAGGAAGAAGTCTAGAGGAAGCTGGTTCCTAAATAAAGGAGACACTGTTGACTGTCTAGTAGTTATTAATCCCTTATTACTTGGTGCTTAAACCACAATTTATTCATGAGTCTGATCTCTCTACCATGGACTCACGGGTAATTCCTGAGTATTTTAATGTAATCACGGTGATCTCTTAAATATGGCCAATGCTTGGTTTATAAGTGGGCATGTGATTCATTTCTGGCCAATGAGGCATAAACAGAGGTCTATTGGAGGTTTATGGTAAAGAAATTTTTCTTCTTATACAGACATAAAGAAGAAAAAAATATCCCTCTTTTTCCATTGGGCATTGTCCTTTCTGGGCAGCCATCTTGTGGCCAAGAGGGAAAATAGCCCAAGGCCAATACTGTCACACTGAAGGTATCAGAGCAGAAAAATGGCAAAGAATCTGGATCCTTCATGATATTATTGAGTCAATTAAATGACCTACACAGGATATGCCTATTCTCAATTTCTTATAATGGGGGAAATAAATTTCTTCACTGTTTATACCACTTTTGTCTAGGTTTTTTGGGGATTGAAGAAGATGAAGACATTGCAACTAATAATGACACTGCTACTACGGTTGTAGGAAGGAACGCACTAAGGAATAACCAGGTAGCTTGGCGGCCGGAACTATCCATACAGCAAACAACATTTCAAAAAAAACTTATTGACATCAAGTTAAGAATGGAAGATTAACTACTATAAAGATCTAGAGTAGACTAAACCTAAATAGGCTCCACTTGACAAAAACACAGCTTAAATGAAAAGAAAAACAATACTTTGTGTTAAGTATTTGTGCACCCAGGCTGAGATGGAAAATTGAGATAATTATAAAAACAATTTTCCTTTTCTTGAATTACTTGGGCCTTTCTTGAAAAAACTGTGAGTTGCATATAAGTACATTTTGAGAGCAAAAATAAGCGTACATGTGAAATGCATACATTAATGAAATTATTTTTATGTGAAATGGATTTCTCAATTATAAGTGCTACATTTAACTTCCTAAAGTATTTAAATGAACTTATTCGGTCACTTGATTTTGCATATGTAGACAGAGATATAAAGTTTCAGCTTTAATTATAAGTAATACAAACAACATGGACCTCCTCTAGCACTTGTAAAATTTAGCTGTGCTAAATAATGATAATCCTTACTATGTTTCAAATACTCCCTGAGGTACGTATACAGTAACATTATTCTATCTGCTTTGCAGGGAGAGTAAACAGAGAAGGTCACAAAAAAAGAACAATTAAGTGACTCACCCTAGATTATTTAACAGAAATGACCAGATGGAATTGGGAACAGAATTAGAATCAGAATTCAGTCATGGATTGATCTTCAGCCTTTTAACAAGAATACCAAACTTCATACTTTCCAGAAAAGAAAGAAATGACAACATGCAATACTTTGAAAAGCAGGGTTAGTTTATTTGCAACTGTGAAAAATACATCAGTTTGTTTTCCAACATACATCTCCAAAGCAAAGAAAATGAGGCCAGATAAGCAGGAGGGCATTGTACTTCTTCAGTTGCAGGAAATAAACTGGTTGAATATCAGCCTTTGAACATTGACGTATTCCCTGAACAATACATTAAAAAAGAAGAAAGTAAGGTATTCTAATCAATGGGCTAAGTAAGCAGCTGAGACAAGGAAGAATTACAATTCATAATTAAATAATTGCATTGACTTATTTATGTGGGACATACGGCAAACTAATTTTATTTGCAGAAACGGATGAAGAAGATGATACAGAGCCACGCTGCAGGGCTATTTTGATAAAGAAGGAAAAAAGCGGCCAGACGCGGTAGGTGATGCCTGTAATCCCAGCACTTTGGAGGCCGAGGCGGGCGGATCACGAAGTCAGGAGATCGAGACCATCCTGGCTAACACGGTGAAACGCCGTCTCTACTAAAAATACAAAAAGAAGTTAGCCCGGTGTGGTGGCACTTGCCTGTAGTCCCAGCTACTCGGGAGGCTGAGGCAGGAGAATGGCGTGAACCCGGGAGGCGGAGCTTGCAGTGAGCAGAGAACGCGCCACTGCACTCCAGCCTGGGTGATAGAGCGAGACTCCGCCTCAAAAAAAAAAAAAAAAAAAAAAAAAAGAAAGAAAAAGAAAAAGGAAAAAAGCAAACATAATGAAAAGCAATGTTTTATCAAAAGAAAATCAGAAGTAAAGAATTTAAAGTCCTAAACTCTTTGTTTCCATTGGGCATTGTTCTTGTGGTAAGGACAGGACAGACAAATTTAGAGTTCTACCCAGTAAGACAGCACATGTAAATAAATAGTCTATCCTCTCTGTTTGAAAGATAATTCCAAAAACAAACACACTATCCAAGATACACATGCACATTTACAGAATACATATTTCTGTCATGTCTATACATAACTGAAGTTTATTTAAATGACTGAAACAGACTAAAATAAATGTCTATTTCTAATTAAAAGTTATTTTCTATGCTAGAAAAATATCCTAGGATACTAACTATATTTAATCAACATTTATTCCTTAATGTCTATTTCATACTCTGAGTTAACATTTTTTCTATTATTTGAAACTGTTCCTCAAGCCCTGTTTCCTCACACATAAAAATTTTCATAACTCAGGCCCTTGCTCTGTCCTGTAGTAATTCATCCTATAGTTTTCTGCTACTAATGGGATACTTTGTTACTCTTCCCCTCCTCTCTATTCTCCACATAGGAGTCCAATTTGAATAGAAGTTTCTAGGTGCACTCAACATTTGACAAAGCTTAGAAACCATGGAAAGTGCACTTAATATTAGCCTGTCAAAGCCCCAGCTTGTTCATGACTAATAGGCCCTTAGATGAGTAAATAAACCTCACTGAGCATTCATTTTCTCTAGCTATGAAAGCTGTGTAACAGTACCTCCAGCCTAAGGTTGTTAGAATTCCATGAGAGGAAGTATATAAAAGTATTGTACTTTGAAAATGGTAATGTACTACCATTAGTATAGATGTAGGGCACTATTGTTCCTCTGCAAGTCAGGAAGACTAACTCCAATTAGGGATGAGAATTCAAAGGTCTGAATTGTAGCCAGTGGGACAAACAGGTGTGAGACACCTCTCACATTATACTACACATGGGGCCACCAGGCATTGCATCAGGCCTAATAAATCCTGTCCTACAATGCAGATTGTAGAAGAACATGTTTATGGGAATTTAAAAAAGTGGCTTTTTAGCTCTCTATCCTATTTGTATTGAAAATAACCTCAACTAAATATATCTTGCAGAGAAGTTATTCACATGAGTTTCAGATACCACCTGCATGCATGAAAAATGCATAGGTCTGTGTGGGCGTATGTATGTCGATGTATTAGGACTGGAATTTTGGTGCTGCCATAGTATTTCGGTGATGCCTGAAGTGGCTGTTTAATATCCTAGAAATATGTGATAGAGATGGCATAGAACTATTTTCTATTCTTAGTTAAGTATATTTTTCAGATTGTATTAGTTCTACTCTTTACATTTTAGTGAACAATTGTATTTTTTTGTTAATTATTAACTTTCAATTGAGACCTCAAATTCACGAATTTGACTTCTTTCCTGATAGTGATCCCCTGAAATTATTGCGTTCCATTTTTAAAAAGCTTTGTTGACATATAATTCACATACTTTTAAACTGTACATTTCAGTGGTTTATAATATATTCACAGTTGTGCAATCATCACCACAATCTAATTTTAGAAGATTTTCTTTTCTTTTTTTTTTTTTTGAGACGGAATATCACCCTGTCACTCAGGCCACAGTGCAGTGGCATGATCATGGCTTACCGTAGCCTCAACCTTCCAGGCTCAAGTGATCCTCCACCGCAGCCTCCCAAGTAGCTGGGACTACAGACACACCACCATGCCTAGCTAATTTTTATGTTTTTGGAAAGGACAGGGTCTCATCATGTTGGCCAGGCTGTTCTTAAACTCCTGATCTCAGGTGATCCACCCACCTCGGCCTCCCAAAGTGCTGGGATTACAGGCGTGAGCCACTGTGTCCGGAAGTAGAACATTTTCATCACCCACAAAAAAACTCTGTGCCCATTAGTAGACACTCTACATTCCCTTACGGCATCCCAGCACTCAGTCCTAGGCAACCAATACACAAATATCTGTCTCTATAGCTTTGCCTAATCTGAACATTTAGCGTAAATGGAACCACATAATATATATTCTTTTGTCACTGTCCTCTTTCACTTAGCATACAATTTTCACACATTTTCCATGTTGTTTCATATATCCTTACTTCATTTCATTGCCCAATAAGATTCCATTATAGGGATATACCTCACTTTGCTTATACATTTATCTACTTATCAGTTTACGGACATTTGGATTTTTTCCTATGTTGGGGCCATCATAAATTATGCTGCCATGAATACTCGTGTGCATGTTTTTGTGTAGTCATGTGTTTTCATTTCTCTTGGGTATATATCTGTTAAAAGTAATGGCAAAAACTGCAATTACTTTTGCACCAACCTAATTGAAAACGAATTGCTGAGTCATATGATAATTTTATGTTAACTTTTTGAGGAACCAGCAAACTGATTTCCACAGTGGCTGCACCATTTTACATTCCCAGCAGCAATGTGTGAGGGTTCCAATTCTTTTACATCCTCAGCAACATTTGCTGTTGTCTTTCTTTCTGATTACAGCCATCCTAGTGGGTGTGAAGTGGCATCTCATTGGGATTTGCAATTGGAAACTGGATTTGCAATTGATAGCATTTCCCTGATGGCTTATAGTGTTCAGCATCTTGTGTTTATTGGCCATCTGTTTATCTTCTTTAGAAAAAAATGTCTATTCAGATGCTTTGCCCATTTTTACAATTGGGTTATTTGTCTTGTTATCACTTCATTGTAAGATTTCCTTATATATTCTGGATACTAGACGATTTTAAGATGCATAACTTGTAAATACTTTCTCCCATTCTGTGGATTTTCTTTTCATTTTTTGATCATTTCCATTGCACAAAAGTTTTTAATTTTGATGAAGTCTAAATTATCTATTTTTTGTTCTGTTGCTGTGCTTAAATGTCATATTTAAGAAACCATTCCCTACCTATTGTAACAAACCTGCTCATCCTGCACATGTACACCTGAACTTAAAATAAAAGTTGAAGAAGGAAAAAAAAAAAGATTTTTGATGGAGAATCTCATAGTCACTGGTTCATACACTGCAAAGTTTAGGATTATTGAATGTTACCATCTGCTGTTTGTTTGACAATTTATAAAAAATAAAGTGTTCATTGCAGTTTAAAAAAAAAAGAAAAGAAACCGTTGCCTAACCCAATATCACAGCTCCCACTCATGTCTCTTAAACTTTGCTTTTTTAAAAAACATAACAGCTTTATTGATATAATTCACATACCACATATTTCACAATTTAAAATGTACAATTCAGTGGTTTTAAGTCTATTTAACTTTTTTCCCATTTTTAAAATTGGGTTTTCTTTTTGTTGATGGGTTTTAAGAGTTCACTGTATTGTCTGGATACTAGATCCTTATCAGCTTTGTGATTTATAAATATTTCTCTAATTTTATAGGTTGTCTTTTCACTTTCCTGATAATGAAAAGTTTTTAATTCTGATGAAGTCCAAATTCTCATCTAAATATTTAAATCAATAATAGGTGAGACTCATGGTATGGTCCATCCTGGGGCAAAATTCCTCTCTTCATCTGTGAAACTGTGAAGCCAGAAAACAAGTTATCTTGTTTCAAAATACAATGGTTGGATAGCCATGAGATAGATATTCCTGTTCCAAAAGAACAGGGAGAAAGAGCAAGAAAAGAAATATCCACAGGTCCAAAGCAAGCCCACAACCCAACAGGAATAATTTCATTAGATTTGAAGGCCTGAGAATATTCCTCTGTGGCTTGATGCTCTATTCTCTGCATCTATGGCTCTGCCTTTAGAGTAATTTTTTTCTTCACTTTGTCCTATTTCTTTCTCAATCAGTCCAGGCTGGCAACATTTTTTGTTAGTATAAAATTATTTTAAAATGTATTGGTCTCCTGTCCAACTTATGGTGATTCAAGCCATTAGAAAAGAGGGTTCCCCACAGATACTTCCTGAATAAATACGTCTCTGTTCATGATTTCTACTGAAATTGTTGATTAAATCCATAAGACACCTAATCTCTTAGTAAGTGGTTGTCCAACCACACACCATTTCTAGAGCCACTATCTGGATGGGCTGAGAATTTTCCAAATGATCAGGTGCTAGTGAAGTAGTCTCATTGCCTGGGGTAATACCCGAGGTTTGTTGTCTCACAGCCATGGAGATCAAGGATGTGGACACACAAAGAGTGAGGTTAAGAGTGGAAGTTTAATAGGTGAAAGAAACAGAATAGCTCTTTGCTATAGAGAGGGGTCCAGGAAAAATGGGTTGCCAGATCCCCAGTGAAATGCAGGGTGTTTTATAGATGAACTGGTGGGAAGAGAGTGTCTGATCCTCATAGGGTGCAAAAAACTGGTTAGGACCATGTGTGCCATTTGCATAGGGTGGGAATCTCTGGCATCCCCCACCCTAATCTTCTATTATGCAGGCAGTTTCCCACCTGAGCTGCGCTGTGTTGCCCATTTCTTTCTTACTGTACACATGCTGACAAAAAGGGTAGATGGAACCTCCATGTTGAACATGCCTGGCCCCCAGGTACCCCTTTTCTATTGGCACAGCTGCCAGCATTCCCCTGTGCAAGCTTCCAGCTTGCTTATATATGCTTGCAGCTCAATTTCAAGCTGCTCTTTGTTAGGAAAAGAATAATTTATTGTGCTGGTTTTTTGTTAGAAGGGAAGCTCTGCTGAGGGCTCTTTTGCCCTCACTAACTGCCTAAATAATTTCTTTCTGCCTCCTGTATTACTGGTTCCATCGTGCTTAACAGTTCATCCACCAATTTATATCTTTCCTCTTGCATTTTACTATAAGCAGTGAAAAGAAACTGAGTGGCACCTTCCACATTTTGTTTAGAAATCTTGTTGGCTAAACATCCAAGCTCATTGCTTACAAATTTCACTTTCCTCCCAGTGATAGAATATAAGTCAGTTAAGACTCTGTCACCTTATAATAAGAATCACCTTTCCTCCAGTGTCCAATAACATGGTCATTATTTGAAGTCCTCACCAGAAGTACATTTAATGCTTATATTTCTACCAGTTCTTCAAAGCATTTGATGAATTTTCTGTTAAACACTTCAAACTTCTTCCAGGCTCTACCCATACCCAATTAAAAAGTCAACTCCACATTTTTAGTGTATGTTACAGCAACATCCTACTCTCTAATACCAAAATTTGCATTAGATGCCTATGTCTGTCTTAACAAATTACCACTAACTGTGTGGCTTAGAACAATAGAGATTTATTCTGTCACAGTTCTGGAGTCTAGAAGTCCGAAACTAAGGTGTTGGCAGCGCTATGCTTTCTCCACAGGCCCTAGGGAACAGTTCTTCCTTTTCCCCTCCAGCTTCTGGTAGTTCCTGGCAAAATTTGGCATTCTTTTCCTTATATATACACCTTCAATCTGTGTGTCTGTTGTCATATGACATTCCATTGCATATCTGTATCACTTTACCTCCTTTTAAAGGACATAAGGCATATTGTATTAAAGGCCAACCCTACTCCAGTATGACCTCATATTAACCAATTACATTTGCAATGGTCCTGTTTCAAAAAAAAAAATGTTATGTTCTGAAGTACTGATGGGGGACATAATTCAATCCATAACATATATGGAGCTGTGTGTGTATGGGTGTGTATATATTCCTTGGGACCTTATATATATATATAGGATTATGTTATCTGCAAATGTATATAGTTTAACTTTTTTTCTTCCAATTTGGGTGCCTTTTATTTCTTTTATTGCCTAATTGCTCTAGCTAAAACCTCCACTACAGTGTTGAATAGCAGTGATAAAAGTGGGTATCCACATCTTATTCTTAATTTTCAAAGGAAAACTTTCAGGCTTTCACCATTAAATATTATTTTAGCTATGGGTTTTTCATAATTGCTGTTTATCATGTTGAAGAAGTCCCCTTCTATTCTTAGTGTGTTGAGTGTCCCTACCATGAAAGGGTATTGAATTTTGTAAGATGCTTTTATTGCATCAATTAATTAAGACATTTTTTCTTCCTTCTATTAATGTGGTATATTGCATTGATTGCTTTTCTCATGTTGAACTACCCTTACATTACTGAGATAAGTCTCACTTGGTCATGGTGTATAAGCCTTTCACTATGCTGGGGGATTCTGTTTGAAAGTAGTTTGTTAAGAATTTGGCACCTATATTCATAAGGCACGTTTGCTTATGGTTTTCTTATGGTGTCTGTCTGACCTTGGTATAAGGGTAATTTTGGCTTCAAAAAATAAGTTAGAAAATGTTTCTTACCCTTTTATTTTTTGGAAGTGATTGAAATGATTGGTATTAGTAATAATTTAATTTTTGGTATAAATAAATTAAATTCACCAGTGAAGTCATCTGGTCCCAGGTTTCTCTCTGATGAAAGGTTTTTGGTTGTTGATTCAATCTTTTTATTTTATATAGTTAGGTATGTTAAGTTTTCTATTTCATCTTGGTTCAATTTTGATAAATTATATGTTTCTAAAAAATTTTCTGCTTCATCTAGGCTTTATAATTTTTTCAGGTACAATTGTTCTAGTACTCTCTAATAATCATTTGTAATTCTTTAGGTCAGTGACAATATTTCCATTTCATTTCTAATTTTAGTTATTTGCATCTTTTCTTTTTTCCCTTGTAAGTCTAGCTAATGGCATGACATTTTTTTGGTCTTTTCAAAGAACCAACTTTTGGTCTCACTGAATTTCTCTACTTTTTTTTACTCTCCATTTCATTTATCTCAGCTCTAATTTTTATTGTTTTCTTCCTTCAGCTAGATTTGGGTTTGCATTGCTCTTCCTTTTCTAGTTCATTAAAGTGTAAAGTTAAATTATCGACTTGAGATTTTTTTCTTTTTTAATGTAGACAACTTTAAATTTCCCACTGGTCACTGCTGTTACTGCACTCTTTAAGTTTTGGTATATTTAGGTATATTTTGTTGTTTAGTTCTGTTCCTCAACAAAATACTAGCAAGCTGAATTCAACAGCATATTAAAAGGATCATTCACTGTCACAAAATGGAATTTATTTCTGCAGTGCAAGGATGGTTCAACACACAAAAATCAATAAATGTTATATACCACATTAACAGACTGAAGGATAAAAATCATATGATTGTCTCAATAGATGCAGAAAAGGCATTTGACATAATTAAATATCCTTTCATAATAAAAAAATCTTCAACAAATTAGGTAGGAAAGGAATATACCTCAAGACAGTAAACACCATATATGAGAAGTCCACTGCTCACATTACACTCAATGGTCAAAAGCTGAAAGCTTTTCCTCTAAGATCAAAGAAGACAATTATGCCTACTCTTGCCACTTCTATTCAACATACTACTGGAAGTCCTAGCCAAAGCAATTAGGCAAGAAAAAGAAATGAAAAGCATGTAAATTGGAAAGGAAGAAGTAACAGTCTCTATTTGTGGATGACATAGTCTTGTTTACACAAAACCCTGAAGACTCCACCAAAAACCTGTTAGAACTAATAAGCGAAATCAGTAAAGTTGTATGCAGGATACAAAGGCAACATACAAATATCAGTTGTGTTTCTAGCCAAGAAATAAATTAATAAATAAATCCCATTTACAATAGCATAAAAAATAAACTGCATAAAAATAAATTTAGCTAAGGAGGCAAAACATCTATACATTTTAAACTATAGAACATTGTTAAAAGAAATTGAAGAAAACACAAATAAATGGAATGATATCCTGTGTTCATGGATTGAAAGAATGTTGCTAAAGTGTCCATAACACCCTTAGTGATCTACAGATTCAACACATCTCTATCAAAGTTCCAATGGCATTTTTTTACAGAAATAGAAAAAATAATATTAAAATTTATATGGAGCCACATAAGACCTTAATAGCCAGTGTAATTTTGAGAAAGAAGAACACAGCTCAAGTTATCAATCTTCCTGATTTTAAATTCAATTACAAAGCTATAGTAATTAAAACAGGATGGTACTACCATAAAAACAGACACATGACCAATGGAACAGAATAGAAAGCCCAGAAATAAAACTAAGGAAAAAGCTATCCACTAATCTTTGACAAGGGTACTAAAAATACACAATGGGAAGAGGATAGTTACTTCAATAAATAGTGTTGAGAAAACTGGATATCCACATGCATAAGAATGAAATTGGACCCTTATTTTACACCATACACAAAATTCAACTTAAAATGGATTATAGGCCTAAACGTTAGACCTAAAATCATAAAATTCATAAAAGTAAACATAGGGAAAAAAACTTCTTGTTATTGGTCTTAGCAATGATTTCTTGGCTAAGACACCAAAAGCATGGCATTAAAAGCAAAAATAAGAAGTGAGACTACATCAAACTATAAAGCTTCTGAACAACAATCAACAACAAAAAGGGCAGCCTATGTAATTGGAGAAAGTCTTTACAAATCATTTCTCTGATAAGGGCTCAATATCAAAAATATATAAGGAACTTACACAACTCCATAGCAAAAAAAAAAAATCCAAGCCAATTAAAATGTAGACAAAAGACTTGTATAGACATTTCCACGAAGAAAACGTACAAATAGCCAAGAGGTATAAAAAAAGGTGCATGACCTCATTAGTCATCAGGGAAATGCAAATCAAAACCACAATGAAATATCACCTTACATCTGTTAGGATGGCTATTGTTTAAAAAAAAAATAGATAATAAGTGTTCATGAGGATGTTGAGAAAAGGGAACCCCTGTACACTGTTAGTAAGAATGTAAACTGGTACAACCATTATGGAGAATAGTATGGAGGTTCCTCAAAAAATTAAAAATAGAACTATCATGTGACCCAGAAATCCCTCAGCTGGGCATATACACAAAGAAATTGAAATCAGTATCCTGAGATATCTGCACTCCCTTGTTTATTGTAGCATTATTCACAGTAGCAAACCTATGAAAACAACCTAAATGTCTACTGATGCATTAATAAATAAATGAAATGTAAGATAGAGAGATAGAGACATAGATAGAGATACAGATAAAATGGAATATTACTTAGCCTTAAAAAATGAAATCCTAGGCCTGGTATGGTGGCTCATGCCTATAATCCTAGCACTTTGGGAAGCCAAGGCAGGAGGATTGCTTGAGCCCAGGAGTTTGAGACCAACCTGGGCAACACAGCGAGATTTTATCTCTGTGAAAAACAGAAATTAGCGAGGCCTGGTGGCGTCTGCTTGTGGTCCCAACTACTCCAGATGCTAAGGTGGGAGGGTTGCTTAAGCCTGGAGGTTGAGGTCGCAGTGAACTGTGATTACATCACTGGACTCTAGCCTGGGTGACAAAGTGAGACCCTGTGTCAAAACATAAAGATAAAAAATTGAAATCCTGCCGTTTGTGACAAAATGTATGAAGCTGGGGGGCATTATGCTTAGTAAAATATTCCAGACACAGAAAGATAGCTATGATCTCACTTATATGTTAAATCTAAAATTGTCAAACTCATCGTCGCAGAGAGTAAAATTGTGGTTGCCACAGGCGGGGGAAAGGGAGAAATAGGGAGATGATGATCAAAGGAGAGAAAGTTTCAATTATGCAAGATAAAAAAGTTCTAGAGATCCACTATACAGCGTAGTGCCTATAGCTAACAATACTGTGCTGTATATTTGAAATTTGCTAAGAGCATAGATCTTAATCTTACTACAAAAATAATAATAAAACCAATGGGAGGTGATGGACGTGTTTATGGTCTCAATGGTGGTGACGGTTTCACAGGCATATACTTACCCCAAACTCATCAAGCCGTATGCATTAAATATGTACTGCTATTTATATTTTAATCATACCTCAATAAAAAGATTTTTAAGAATAAAATAAAATATTGAAAAAGAGTAATGCCTGGCACAGAGTAGATATCAATAAATATTCATTGAATAAAAAAGTCATTTTAATGAGTTTTAATTAAATAATGACAAAGCTATCTTTAAAACTCAGTACATTAGCCTTATTTATGATTTATCACTGTCAACAGCAGGAAATACCATGGCCTACCTAGGAGTGTCCTATCTTGGAGGTCAGTAGGTAAACATTTATAATATACTGATTTGCACTTATTTTTATCTCATATCTTTTTGAGAATTAAATAAATGCTAAGATAAAATGTAACAACTTAAAAAGGGTAAAATGTTAAAAGTTATTCATTCAAGAAGAGATGTATTAACAAAGAACAGATAAGCCATAAACTAGATAATGAGATACACAATAAAAGGTAATAGAAAGGATACTATCAAACATTCAGAATAGAAATGGAGCTTATAAGAGGGAAACAGGACAAACTAAGGGGAAAAAGTGATATCTAAAGAAGTCTAGAACTCTCCAAGCATGGGATGGAGATATATGTATATATTATAAAATATAAATATTTTAATTTTGTGAGTACATAGTAGGTGTATATATTTATGGGGTACATAGATATTTTGATACAGACATGCAATAGATAATAATCACATCAGGGTAAACAAGGTATCAATCACCTCAAGCATTTATCCTTTTTGTTTCAAATAATACAATTATACTCATTGAGATTTTTTTCAATGAAAAAATATTAGTTTTTACTATAGTCACCCTGTTGTGCTAGCAAACACTAGGTCTTATTTATTATTCCTATTTTTTGCACTCATTAACCATTGCCCCTTTCCACTCACACTTACCCCCTGACTACCCTTCCCAGCCTCTGGTAACCATCTTTCTACTCTCTGTCTCCATGAATTCAACTGTTTTAATTTTTAGCTCCCACAAATAAGTGGGAACATGCAATGTTTGTCTTTCTGTGCCTAGCTTATTTCACTTAACATACTGACCTCCAGTTCTGTCACTGTTGTTGCAAATGACAAGATCTCATTCTTTTTTATGGCTGAATAGCACTCCATTGTGTATATGTACCACATTTTCTGTATCCATTCATCTGTTGATGGACACTTAGTTCACTTCGAAATCTTGGCTATTGTGAATAGTGCTGCAATAAACATAGGACTGAGAGTTATCCCTTTGATATACATATTTCCTTTCTTTTGGATATATACCTAGGAGTGAGATTGCTAGATCAAATAATATCTCTATTTTTCATTTCTTTTAGGAACCTCCAAACTATTCTCCATAGTGGTTGTACTATTAATAATTTACATTCCCACCAACAGTGTATGAGCATTCCCTTTTCTCCACATCCTCGCCAGCATTTGTTATTGCCTGTTTTTTGGATAAAAGCCATTTTTAACTGGGGTAAGATGGTATCACATTGTAGTTTTGATTTTCATTTCTCTGATGATCCATGATATTGAGCACCTTTTCAAATGTCTTTTTGCCACTTGTATGTCTTCTTTTGATAAATGTCTATTGAAATCTTTAGCCAATTTTTTAAATCAGATTATTAGATTTTTTTTCCAAAGAGTTGTTTTAACTCTTTATATATTCTGGTTATTAATGCCTTGTCAGATTGTTAGTTTTCAAATATTTTCTGCTATTCTGTGGGTTGTCTCTTCACTTTGTTGATTGTTTCCTTTCTTGTGCAGAAGCTTTTTAACTTGCTGTGATCCCATTTGTCCATTTTTGCTTTGGTTACCAGTGCTTGTGTAGTATTATTGCTCAAGAAATCTTTGCCTAGACCAATGTCCTGGAGAGTTTCCCCAATATTTTCTCGTAGTAGTTTCATATTTTGAAGTCTAAGATTTAATCTTTAATCCATTTTTATTTGATTTTTGTTTATGGTGAGAGATAGGGGTCTAGTTTCATTTTTCTGAATATGGATATCCAGTTTTGGGATAGATATCTTGATACTGTACAATAGAGGGAGATTTTGATACAAGTCTGTCTTGGATGAGTTGAGTGAGGGGAATGATCTAGGCATGTATGGGCAGATAATTTGTTTAGATAGCAAATCTGACCTCATTGCTCCAATTGTTTATTTAAGATTAAATCAAAGTGCTTCTTGGAATATATTCTTTCAAACACACCTTATTATGAAAAGGCCTAGTTTTCTAATCTTATATCAGTATAACATTCAGATGAATCATAAAGCAGAAATAGTGGGAGAAATGGTTTACAAAAGTAAAAGAAACTTTTCTGGGCTTCATGTCTATGGTTTATTCTAAGATCATTAAACATTACTTATGAAAACTATTTCATTTTAAAAATAAGTATAGGGATATGCATCCAAATAGAACCTCCTTGACACATAAATCTCACGAGGCCTATAAAACAATAACACAATGTAAAAAACAAAGTATCAAGGTAACAACTAACATGATGAATAGAACAGTACTTCACGTCTCAATAATAATATTGAATGTAAATGGCCTAAATGCTCCATTTAAAAGATACGGAATGACAGAATGGATAAAAAAAATGAACCAAATATCTGCTGCTTCAAGAGACTCACCTAACACATAAGGACTCATATAAACCTAAGGTAAAGGGATAGAAAAAGATACTTCATGCAAATGGAAACCAAAGCAAGCAGGAGTACCTACTGTTATATCAGACAAAACAGAACTTAAAGCAACAAGAGTAAAAAAAGACTAAGTAGGGCATTATATAATGATAAAAACATCATTCCAAAAAGAAGATATTACAATGCTAAATTTATATGCACCTAACACTGGAGCTCACAGATTTATGAAATAATTACTACTAGACCTAAGAAATGAGATAGACAGCAATACCATGATAGTGGGAGACATCGATATTCCACTGACAGCACTAGATGGATCATCAAGACAAAAAGTCAACAGTCAAAAAAAGAAAAATGGGCTTAAACTATACCCTAGAACAAATTGAATTAACAAATATTTACAGAATATTTTCCCCACAACTGCAGAATATACAGTCTTCTCATCAGTCCATGGAACATTCTCCGAGATAGGCCATATCATAAGCCACAAAACAAGTTTCAATAAATTTAAGAAAATCGAAATTATATCAACTATATTCTCAGATCACAGTGGAATAAAACTGCAAATCAACTCCAAAAGGAAACCTCAAACTATACAAACATATGAAAATTAAACAATGTTCTCTTGAATGATTTTGGGGTTAATGATAAAATCAAGATAGACATTTAAAAATTCTTCAAATGAATGATAATAGTGACATAATTTATCAAAACCTCTGGGATACAACAGAAGCAGTACTAAGAGGAAAGTTCATAGTCTTAAATGTCTACATCAAAAAGTCTGAAAGACAATAGGATGTCACACCTCAAGGAACTAGAGAAATAAGAAATGAAACCTAATTCCAGTAGAAGATAATAACAAAGATCAGAGCAGAACTAAATGAAATTGAAAGAAAAAATATAAAAGATAAATGAAACAGAAAGCTGGTTCTTTCAAAAGATAAACAAAATTGTTAAAACATTAGTGAGATTAACCAAGAAAAGAAGAGAGATCTAAATAAACTCAATTACAAATGAAACCAGATATATTATAACCGAGACCACAGAAATACAAAGATCATGAAAGGCCGCTATGAACACCTTTATATGCACAAACTAGAAAATCTAGAGAAAATGGATAAATTCCTGGAAATTTACACCCTCCTAGATTAAATCAGGATGCAATAGAAACCCTAAACTGACCAATAACAGTGTGATTGAAATGGTAATTAAAAAGTTACCAACAACAACAAAAAAAAAGTCCAGGAGCAGACAGATTCACAGGTGAATTATATCAGACATTCAAAGAATTGGTACCAATCCTATTGACACTATTCCAAAAGATAAAGAGGGAATCCTCCCTAAATTATTCTATGAAGCCAGTATCAACTAATACCAAAACCAAGAAAGGTTTTGTTATGACAAAAAAAGGTTGTGACAAACAAAGGTTTTGTTATGAAAAAAAAAGAAAACTACAGACCAATATCCTTGATGAACATAGATGCAAAAATCCTCAAAAAAATACTAGCTAATCGAATGAAATAGTACATGAAAAAGATAATACACCATGATCCAGTGGGTTTCATCCCTGGGATGCGGGGATGGTTTAACATACACAAGTCAATAAATGTGATACATCACAAAAACAGACTTACAAACAAAAATCATATGATCATCTCAATAGATGCAGAAAAAAGCATTTGACAAAATCCAGCATTGCTTTGTGATAAAAACCGTCAACAAAATAAGCATAGAAATGACTTACCTCAAAGTAATAAAAGCCATATATTAGTTTGCTGAGAATGATAGTTTCCAGCTACATCCATGTCCCTGCAAAGGACATGAACTCATCCTTTTTTATGGCTGCATGGTATTCCATGGTGTATATGTGCCACTTTTCTTTATCCAGTCTATCACTGATGGGCATTTGGGTTGGTTCCAAGTATTTGCTATTGTGAACAGTGCTGCAATAAACATACGTGTGCATGTGTCTTTATAGTAGAATGATTTATAATCCTTTGGCTATATACCCAGTAATGGGATTGCTGGGTCAAATGGTATTTCTAGTTCTAGATCCTTGAGGAATCGCCACACTGTCTTCCACAGTGGTTGAACTAAATTACACTCCCACCAACAGGATAAAAGCATTCCTATTTCTCCACAACCTCTCCAGCATCTGTTGTTTCCTGACTTTTTAATGATCACCATTCTAACTGGCGTGAGATGGTATCTCATTGTGGTTTTGATTTGCATTTCTCTAATGACCAGTGATGATGAGCTTTTTTCGTATGTTTGTTGGCCGCATAAATGTTTTCTTTTGAAAAGTGTCTGTTCATATACTTCGCCCACTTTTTGCTGGGGTTGTTTGGTTTTTTCCTGTAAATTTGTTTAAGTTCCTTGTAGATTCTGGATATTTGCCTTTTGTCAGATGGATAGATTGCAAAAATTTTCTCCCATTCTGTAGGTTGCCTGTTCACACTGATGATAGTTTCTTTTGCTGTGCAGAAGCTCTTTAGTTTAATTAGATCCCATTTGTCAATTTTGGCTTTTTCTGCCATTGCTTTTCGTGTTTTAGTCATGAAGTCTCTGCCCAGGCCTATGTCCTGAATGATATTTCCTAGGAAACCATCATTCTTAGCAAACTAACACAGGAACAGAAAACAAAACACCACATGTTCTCACTCTTAAGTGGGAGTTGAACAATGAGAACACATGGACACAGGGAGGGGAACATCACACACTGGGGCCTGTTGCAGGTTAGGGGCCTGGCGGGGGATAGCATTAGGAGAAAGACCTAATGTAGATGACAGGTTGATGGGTGCAGCAAACCACCATGGCACGTGTATACCTATGTAACAAACCTACACATTCTGCACATGTATCCCAGAACTTAAAGTATAATAATAATTTTTTAAAAGCCGTATATAACAAACCCATAGACAACAACATAGTGAATGGGGTAAAGTTGAAAGCATTCCCCCTAAGAAGTGGAACAAAACAAGGATGCCTATCTTCACCACTCCTATTCAACACAGTTCTGCATGTCCTAATCAGAGCAATCAGACAAGAGAAAGAAATAAAGAGCATCCAAATTGGAAAAGAGGAAAACTGTCTCTTTGCCGATATGATTGTATACCTAAAAAAACCCTAAAGTCTCATTCAAAAAAGCTCCTAGATTTAATGAACAAGTTCAGTAATGTCTCAGGATACAAAATCAATGTAAAAAATTAGTAGCACTGCTATACACCAACAATGACCAAACTAAGAATGAAATCAAGAACATAATCCCTTTTAAAACATCTGGAAAAAGTAAAATAAAATAATTAGGAACATGCTTAACCAAGGAGGTGAAAGATCTCTACAAGGAAAACTACAAAACACTGCTGAAAGAAATAATAGATGACAAAAACACATGGAAACATATCCCATAGTCATGGATGGAAAGAATCAATATTGTGAAAAAAAACATACTGCCCAAAGCAATCTACAAATTTAATGCAATTCCCTTCAAAATACCATTATCATTCTTCAAGAAATAGAAAAAACAATCCTAAAATTCATATGGAACAAAAGAAGTGCCCACATATTCAAAGCAATACTAAGCAAAAAGAACAAATCTGGATGTGTCACATTACCTGACTTCAAATTATACTACAAGGCTATACCTACCTAAAGAGCGTAGTACTGTTATAAAAAATAGGCATGTAGACCAATGTAACAGAATAGAGAACCCAGAAATAAAGTTAAATATTTATAGCCAACTACTCTTTGACAAAGCATACAAAAACATAAATTGGGGAAAGAACACCCTATTCGTTAAATAGTGCTGGGAAAACTGGCCAGCCAGATGTAGAAGAATGAAACTGGATCCCCATCTCCACCTTATACTAAAATCAACTCAAGATGGATCAAATAATTAAATCTGAAACCATAACCATTCTATAACAAAACCTAGGAAAACTCCTCTGGACGTTGGCTTAGGCAAAGAATTCATGACTAAGACCCCATAAGCAAATGCGATGAAAACAAAAATAAATAAATAAATGAGACCTAATTTAATTTAAAAGCTTCTGCATAGCAAAAGAAATAATGAGCCAACTAAACAGACAACTTACAGAATGGGAAAGAAAATTTGCATACTATGCGTTCAACAAAGAACTAGTATCGAGAATCTACAAGGAACTCAAATGAATCAGCAAGAAAAAACAAATAATCCCATCAAAAAGTGGGCAAAGAACATGAATAGACATTTCTCAATAGAATATATACAAACAGCCAATAAACATAAGAAAAAATTATTAACATCAGTAATCAATAATGCAAATTAAAACCACAATGAGATACCACCTTACTCCTGCAAGAATGCCTATTGTTAAAAAGTCAAAAAACAATAAATGTTGGCATGGATGTGGGGAAAAGAGAACACTTTTACACTGCTGGTGGGAATGTAAATTCATACAACCACTATGGAAAACAGTATGGAGATTCCTTAAAGAACTAAAAGTTGAACTACCATTCAATCCAGCAATCCCACTACTGGGTATCTACCCAAAGGAAAAGAAGTCATTATATGAAAAAGACACATGCATATGCATGTTTAGAGCAGCACAATTCACAATTGCAAAGATATGTAACCAACCTAAGTGCCCATCAACCAACGAGTGGATAAAGAAAATGTGGTATGTATACACCATGGAATACTACTCAGCCATAAAAAGGAATGAAATAATGGCATTCACAGCAACCTGGATGGAGTTGGAAACAATTATCCTAAGTGAAGTAACTCAGGAATGGAAAACCAAATATTGTATGCTCTCACTTATAAATGGGAGCTAGGCTATTAGTACACAAAGGCGTAAGAATGATGTAATGGACTTTGGGGACTTGGGGAAAAGTTGGGAGTGGGTGAGGAATAAAAGACTACATATTGGGTACAGTCTACACTGCTTGGGCAATGGATTTATTAAAATCTCAGAAATCACCACTAAAGAACATATCCATGTAAACAAAAACCACCTGTACCTCAAAAACTATTGAAATGTTTTTTAAAACATTCAAAAAAATAAAAATGAAAAAATAAGTATAGGCATATGTGTGTCACTCTGACCTTCCTATACTTTGCAATCCTAATTTATAGATAAAAGGGCTTTTAGTTCAGGAATATGTTGTGGAATTTTTAATATAGGCCCCAAAACTCAGGACAAATTTACATATTATCTGACAGGTTTTTTTTCTTTTGTTTTGTTTTGTTAACAAATGAGAATAGCAATGTCTAAAATGCATTAGAGCTTCCATAGAAAGTGTAGTTTGATAAGCCAAAGGGGACAAATTGATTTTTTTCTGAATTATGAATAAGCTATAAAAATCCCCTTTGTGCAGGTAGAGATAGTCTGCGTAGTATACTTAAGTTCTAAAACCCACTGCAAATCAGGATATTCTGGAAATTTCTGACACTAACTGGACATCAATGCTCATTGTTAATATAAATTCCTTTTCTTTCCTTCATCTATAGATGACTCAGTTTCACTGTGCTCTTCCTTTTACCTGTGTCTCTTTGTATCATTTTCATCCAAACTTACATTTAAAAGCAACTCTTCCCCTTTGATCAATTTTGACATTGCATTTATTTCTATGTCATTCTTATTCTGAGAATTCTTTTTCCCTTTCCTTTTTCATTTTGTAGAGCTCCTGGTTTATAGCAATCTGATGAAATAGAGCTCAATCTTTTTTGTTTCAACTATATAAATACTCATGGCTTATCTTATTAAAACACTGCTTTCCACTACAAGGTAAAGTATTTCATGAGAAAATGGTGATAAAAAGCAGCAAGAGCTCAGGCAAAGAAACTACTGTATTATGCTAAATATTCATCAAATTCTGAAGCTTTAACATCCTATTTTTGACATTCAAATGTTTTTAGCATTTCATTGTTAGTACAGTCTATTCATGCAAAAGACATTACACTCAAAATGTTTTTAATTTTGTTGTGCCTAGCCTTACAGTCCTTTAATTGTTTCTTTCATTTCTTATTCATTTCAATCTATATGTATTCAGTGAAAACTTAAAACTCAGCTCCCTTTTTTGTCTCTCCACTCTAGAATAACTCACTTTTATCATAAATTGATCAAAACCAAGATGATTACTTTTCTCACTACTTCCTTATGAAAGACTAGAGTGATTGTTTTTGACCGACATTCTACATTTTAATTCATTCATTATTGTTTGCTTCTTTATACTGATGTTAAGCATTCTTTCAAACTTTTAAGAGTTTTACCACCCCCTCCACTAACTAAATTATTTTTCTGATAATGGGCTTGGTATTCCATGACTTGAAGTGCATATTTCATTTCCTCATTTCATTCATTCATTCATTTATATCTTTGTTATTCTAAAACTGTATTCGATTCACTATTTTCATCACTATTTATCATCTATAGCAATATCTCTTTTTCTGTAGAGCACATGCTGCATTTCCAGGCCTCTGGTGCTTACACTGATTGACTTTAGCAATATTACATTTTAAGCGGAAAATAGAATGAAACCAGATGATATTCATATTAGCATAGATATTAGCACAAATACTAATAATCAGTGTATTAAGTTCAGCTATTAGCACAAATACTAATAACCAGTGTATTAAGTTCAGCTAAATTTGTTTAGGCAGCACCACCTATATTAAATTTTTCTCCAAAAGGACACAAAAGGACCCTGACCTAAATATGATCTAAACTTTTGTGTCCATGTATGCATGGTCTTTTATGCCATATCAATTGTTTAGTACCCACTGAACACAGAAAATGTTATTTGGAATGTCTGTTGCCAAAACTGGCATAGTCTCAAAATTTATTGCCTCTGGCAATATCCAAAGAAAAATAAGCTAATCAATATAAAAAATATGTCAAAAATTCAACTCTTTAGAGAAATCTGTATGCTCAGAACCATAGTAAAAACATCTTATTAATTGATTGCATCCTTCCCTTTCCATTAAATTGCATGATGTGCAGACATACATAGCAGGCTGATGTATAATCAGCTTGACACACTTTTGTGTACAAATGCAGTCTCATACTCATATTTGACTCCAGATCTTTCCTAATAACAAGACAACTCATATATTGACTACCACACACTTTGCCTGTCTGCTGCTGTTATTTATCAGACAACTGTACTCATACTTCACTGTTGCAAGTTGTGATTCAGTTAAATCCAAGCAAAAGTGAATTCCTCTAGTTTCCCTTGCTTTCTGTTGCCAGCTGCATGCTATGCTCTGGAATTCATTCACTGCCACGACTGACTACCCCTTGAGTTTCAAGAAACACATGGCACAGTTTCTGTGCCCATTTCAAAGCCTTTTGAAAATCCTCAGCTGCAAATAAAGTCAAAGTGTAAAATTGTTTTCTGTATTTTTCTACAGTGAAAACTTGCAGTGTGCTGAACTCTTTTGAAGAGACTGCTCTCCCATATTTTGTTTTGTTTTACTTTTACCTTCCTAAAAGATGTAGTATCCTCCCTGTTTGTGCAAATTCAGGTTACATCTAAGTCTTATCCTTTCCTGATTATTCACAAATAAATCATCCTCAAAATAAAGGAAAAAGTCACACAATCCTTCCTACAGCATTAAATTTGTAATCACACAAGACAAGTCATGAAATTCAGGATTATGGTTCCCACGGTAACCCTGCCCTTTTCTTACTGTGGATGCTCTACAACACTTTCTTTACATTTAAAATGCTTTTTTTACACTGTATTCTAACTCTCAGCATCAGAATCTTGCAAGAGGTATCTGATTAAGTATTCACCTTGCAATATGAACAATGATTTATTAATTTTTGAAATCCAACTAAAATTAAATAAATCAAAATAGCTAATAGGCATTCTGGCTAGAAGAGAAAATAAGATTTCACATTATAACCAGTTCTATAAATCTAACTTGTATTTCCTAATTTAGCCACTAGTTGTCATCTACTCTTTGAGGAATCATCTCCTGAGGGAGGTGGAAACTCATATCCCAATTGGAAATGAAATTAGATTATCCTTTATGCTTCAAATATTTTGTGGCATCATAAAATAGATATTAAGTGTTCATAACTTTTCTCTTTTTCCAGAACAGAGTATGTGTATAGCATTTTGCAATTTTTAGTTTTGATTGTAAATTATCATGCTTGATTGTACAATTATCTTAACTGAATTGTTAAATATAAGAAATATTCTTTATTTATATAGGAGTATGATGATACAATGTCAAAAGACTAACAGTTTCTCTTTAGTATGGTATCTCTGGTTGTTAGATATTCAATAGAAAACTAACTGGCCTTGTGATTTCTGTGTAATGACCTAAAATAACATTTAAGGTGTGTTTAATCCCCTAAGCCTTATTTGACATTCAAGACTCAAGTTATTCTCTAGTCTGATTATTTTATGTAACCTGCTTGCTCCAAAAAACGGAACCAAAGTTGCTGAGTTTCTGTCCTTAGTCTTTTATAGTGACTTTTGCTGTGTAACACATAACCTAGGACTTCTATTCAAGAGACACGGGATCTCTTTCAACAACATTGTTCAAAAGCCCCTTCAAAAGCAAGCAATCACCACATTTTGATTCTTCTTCCGTTGTACGCATGGATTTGTCCTTCAGAGCATTTCTCTATAGTGGCCACCTTTCCTTCATGTTTTCATCACCTCATAATTGGATTACTATAATATACTCATAATTAAAATTTTCTTCTGGTCTACAAACAATTAAAATCCACTTTGAGTTTAGATATCTAATAAAATACAAGATGTCCAGTTAAATCTGAATTTAAGAGAAATGAAAAATAAGTTTTATATAAGTATGTCCTAAATATTACATGGGATATATTTATACTAAAAAGTATTTATTCTATGAAATTCAAATTTGCATTGGAGTCATGCATTTATATTTGCTAAACTTGGCATCTCAGTGAGCCAGGAATTAATCTTTATTGTATCACAAATGGTAAGAATCCATCCTTTCCACAGAAATCCAGAGAGCAGTAATAAATTCAGTGTGAATAGAAGAGATAGGAGCCTCTGAAGTAATATGAAAACTATCCAATTTCTTATGACCTTTGCATCTGGTAAGGAAGTGCTGATAGCACCATAAAGCTAGGCTGTCCATAAAGGTAGGGGAAGTATGTAATTATGTACTTTTTGCTATTTGAGAAGCTCTTAGAAATCTTACCTACTCTGTAATATTCTCCCAATCTCCTCTCCATGCATCCCCTTTGAAAAATGCGAATATTTCTGGGAAGGTTAATATTTTATATACCTGAAAAAAAAGACTTCTGAGAGGAATAACATAATATACACCTTAGAGAGAATATATTTCATCAGGTGCTTTTTTATTAGACTAAAAGTACAGGGAAGCAGTAAAGCATGGGATACTGGGCTGGGCAAGTGGGGTGAGAACATCTAGGAAAGGTAAGAAATGGTAGAGCAAGATAAGATAAAACTGAGAAAGGCATAAACTTAGACAAGCCCAAGCTGTGGTCCTGTCATCAAACCAAGTCAAAAAAACACATAGCTTTGTTTTATGAGAGGCAGTACCTCAGTAATAAAGAGTGTAGACTCTGAAACCACACTACCTAGGATTGAATCTCAAATCTGCCTCTATTATAAAACAAGAATAATATTAGTACCCATCATATGGGGTTTTGTGACTGTGAGATAAGATGATAAATGCAAAGTACTTCTAAGAGTGCCTGGCACATAGGACTTACTCTATGAGTTAGTATTTTCATTGCTATTATCATTGCCAAGTAAATTTTAAAAACTCATTGTATCTATTCTTTTTACTTATTTTTTCTAATTATTGATTTCATGAGGGTACACATCTATTCTATTTATTTATTTATTTATTTATTTATTTATTTATTTATTTATTTTTTGATGTGGAGTTTCACTCTTGTTGCCCAGGCCAGAGTGCAATGGCACGATCTTGGCTCACTGCAACCTCCGCCTGCCAGGTTCCACGGATTCTCATGCCTCAGCCTCCAGAGTAGCTAGGATTACAGGCATGCGCCACCACGCCCAGCTAATTTTGTATTTTTAGTAAAGACAGGGTTTCACCATGTTGGTCAGGCTGGTCTCAAACTCCTGACCTTAGGTGATCCGCCTGCCTTTGTCTCCCAAAGTGCTGGGATTATAGGCATGAGCCACTGCCCCCGGCTATTCAGTTAATTTAATGGACTAAAACACCTTATAGTCACTTTGCTGAGAGAAAAGAAGAGTAACAAGGAAAATATTTGCCTCCAGTATCATCTTCAGAGCATTTCATCCCCCAACCTCCAGATCCTCAGAGTTTAGCAGAGATAGTTTGGTGAAGTGAACACTCATACTGGTCACAGTCTCCCAAATTGGTCTCTTTCAATATTCTTAAAAGATACAATGTTGGCATGGCCATTATTAAAACTACAGTGAAAAGCCCTTAGAGCAATCCATTGGGAATAACATCCTTTAGATATATAGCGGAGGTAATCAAAAGAGTTTCTTATCTATGTGCTAGTTTCCTCACCAAACAACAGTGCACACTGGTTTCCTTTGATGACAGAATCCTGCTTCCCGCTCATGCAAAATATTCTGGCCCTGTCCACATTGCCCAGTGTATTCTCTCCTAGTCATCAACATTTCCATCTATAGTTTTCAGTAGTTAAACCTGCATGAGCATCTGCCTCCAGGAGACAAATTCAAAGTCACTGCACAAATATGGATATATATGAAAATTAAATGCAAAGACAATAAAGGAAAGACAAACATATCATTATATGTTCTTTTGAGTTTAGCCTTTCTTGGTAAACTGGTCACGGTTTACATTCCTGGTTGTATGAGATTATGCTTAATGCATTAAAAGAAAAAATAGAGAAAGAGAAATAGGATATCATGGTTTTAAAGCTTAAAAACACTTGACTTATATCCATATCACTTTTTTTCCTTTTGGAGTCATCTTGAAATTTTTATCTTTAGGACAGAAGCTGGGATTCTAAAGCATAGTTAGAATATGTACCACTGCTTTTTTTTTTTTCTTAGAAAAGAAAGATTGTGTCAGAAAACAATAATCTTTTTGACAAATAACAAAGAATTCAGATAAGCACTGCTAACTGCTCTAGGGTGTAGCTGTACTAGACACAGGGTACGTCAAGCAGTCTGTTCTTTAAAATCACCTGCACTTCTGTCTGCATTGTCATTGATATGGCAATAGTCCATGAAGAGTTCCCAGAGAAATAAAAATTTAATATCTTAACCTGCCACTATCTCAGGACGAGGGCCCTGAGAATGACAGCTGTAATATTTCAGGAAAAATGCTCACCAGATTTTACTTCCTAATTCCCTCCTGCTTTCATATAGAACCTCATGTTTGAGATAGAACCGTCTCTGGTTAAATAAAGAGTTGAGAAGCCAGGCTTAAATTTATTTTCTGCTCAATGTGTGTCTTCTTGTACATCTTTGGTCTACTTACATAGCTTCACCGTATTTCATCAGTTTATTGATCTGTAAAAAAGCCATAACGGTGCCTATTCCTCAGTTGTATTTGGAGGTTAATTTCCTGGAGTGCTTACATGGGAAAAAAGTAGTATGATTTCCATCTTCCAAACTATACAGTGACACTTCCTGGTATGCTGTCAACTCTCTGATTCAGTCTTGATAATATGTCTCCCAAGTTGGCACTAGAGAGATATGAAAATTGAAAAGGATTCAAAATCACAACACATACCATGCTCATATAAAACATAATTTCATCCTATTTTATAACCCACCTACCTTTTATCTAAGCCTCATTATCTTTCCATTCCCCCAAAGACTGAATTTTCTACATCCAATCTCCATGCTGCACTAATCATTCTTTGCAACCTACCAAAATACAAAGCATGTTATAATTTGCTATGTAATTCTGCAGTTGATATTTCCTACACAGTTTGTCACCTCTCCCAGGTCTCTGCATCCTCACTCTTTATGTATGGTTTCCATCTGCTGCTCCTCCTTACACCTCATCAATAAAGATCCATGATTTTGGAAGTTATAGGTTCTAGAAATCCCTCATCCCATAAACTCTGCTTTGGTTAAAAAAAAAAGACAATTTGCACACATTGTTCATTGAAGGTCATTATTTTTTATTGAAAATCTACTTTTTGCACACTGTGTTGCCTGAAAGGCACAGAAAAAGCTTATAAGAGAACAGTGATAGATAATCATTTGATATGGCTATCAAATGATTATAAGTTTTGTGCACATTGTAATGAAATTATACGAATATATCTATGTGTCATTTGTTTTTATGGTATCAAAAAACTTTTGAAAAATATATATTATCTACTCCATGACTATGCCCTAAAAGAAGAGAAATGGGTTTTGTAAAGGGATTTGGGGTCTTACTACATATCCAGACTTTCAACCAATCTTCTTGTTTCTATTTACCCCAAACCAGTAAAATCTGCCTTCAGAGTTTCTTAGTCCCTTCAGTTTCTAAACATAAGCCTTCCTAAGCCTTTCTATTGTGTTATAGGAATTTACTTCTCCCTCTGCGGATATTTAAATTTTAACTATTCCTCCTCTGTTACATAAATAACTATACATCCATTTACTTTCTGTCTTCTAAAATGTGTAGATATGTCTAGTCTTCTGAGTTTCCTCTCCCATTCTCTTTGTCCTTGTGGTTTTATACCTTTTTAGTTGCTTGTATTGTCATACTCTTAAGAGCTTCAAGAAGTGGCTTGGATAAACACATGTGTTTACCTAAAAGTCCCATTGAAGTACTTTAGTTAGGGGAGATATATGATCAGATATACATTCCATAAAAGATAACTCAGGCAGTGTTATGGACAGAATGATTTTCAGGAAGGCAAGACTGGAGATAAGAAAAGCTGGAAGAGATGAGTAAAGACTGAACTAAAGTTGTAGCAGTGAGTATACGGAGGAGGCGCCATATATTAAAAATGCTAAGGAGGTAGAATCACTAGGAAGTGATTTTGAAATGAATGTAAAAGTTTATATCTCTATCACAATGGAACTAGCAAAGGGAAAACAAGCTTAGGTATGCAGTTAGAAACACCCAGTAGACAGTGGACTATACATAACAGAAATTCTGTGGAGAGGTATAGGCTGGAAATACAGATTTGGGAGCCATTCAAATAGATATGCTATAACTTGTCAGAAACACACTTCCACCAAATTAATACTAAAAATAGTTATTAACTAGAGATAAGATTTTGTTATAGTTCAGTGACTTTAGATCTTTCTGAAGTGTGACACACACAAACATACACACACACACACACACACACACACACACACATATATATAACGTGCATATCGTCATCATTTTAGGAAAGCATTCTCAAATGCATATAAAATTATTATGCCTATCACACATAATTTTGTATATAAACAACATCATCTAATACTACTCTCAACATATTTTATAATTAGGTGGGTTGGACAGTATCTGACTGTCATGACATTGATCACCAGGTTTGATTCTGGGCATCTAACTTGCTAGGTATAGTTCACGCCTTCCTCATTTCTCTAAATATGTCTCTCCCAAAGATAAGTCCTCACAAAAAATAAATAATCAAGTTGAAATTTAATTATGATTATATGTCAATCTTTTTATGGCAGTAAAATAACTGCATAGTCCTACTGGTCTTTGCTCTAATATTGTTTAAAAAGATTGGGAAAAAGACACATCTTTTATGCTGTATAAATTCCCATTTCTGCCATGCTTATGAAAACATTTTTTTTCCTTCAAGCAGAAACAATAAACAAATTCCATATTTTTCCGACAAGGGGTGGATTCTTCCATTTTACTTATTATTGTTATAAAGCATAAAGCACATTCATGTTCCAAAAAAAAGCTTTTATTTTGTTATAAATAATATGCCATCTTTGAGAGTGAAGAAATATAAATTATACCATTAGAAAATAGTGTAGGCTGGGAGTAGCGGCTCCTGCCTTAATCCCAGCACTTTGGGAGGCTAAGGTGGGAGGATGGCTTGAAACCAAGAGTTCGAGACCAGACTGGGCAAACTGCATTTCTACAAAAAAAATACAAAAATTAGCCAGGTGTGGTGGTGGTGCTCACCTCTAGTCCCAGCTACTCAGGAGGCTGAGGCAGAATGTTCCCTTGAACCCAGGAAGTTGAGGTTGCAGTGAGCCATGATTGCACTCCTGCACTCCAGCCTGGGTGACAGAGCAAAACCTAGTATAGAACCTCCATTAATCTGCAAATTATAAATTTTTATCTCTGAACAGAAATTACCTTCTGGCAAAATTCAGTAACATACATTCATCTCCTATTATTGTCTTTCTTCTCTCAAATAGCCTTTTAAGGAAAAGATCTTTTAATATAAACGGATTCAGTTAAATTATATTAGAATCTGCATAAAGAAAAGTATGCTTATTCACTTTTGATTATAGTCATCGTTAAGTTTTCATGTTGGTGCTTTTGTTTTGGCAAGTTCACTGTCAGGAGCCCCCAGGTTCAGCTGTGCAACAAGCAGCTTCACAACTCACTGTCTCCCATGGAGATTCTATGCAGTAGAGAAAACTAATGGTAATTTGTTATCTTTACAAGCTCAAGAGTAGATGCTTGTGTCAAAGTCTTGGATTCTTGTCTCTGTCAATATTTCATGATAAAAGTAAAGGTGATATTGAGTGTTTCTACAGGGTTAGGATCAAAGTTGTCTCCTGATGATCCTTACTTTCCTGTATATTTTGGCCTCAAAAACATCATTTCCCCAAATTCCAGCATCCTAGCACGTGATAGTAAGTGATTGTTTATACATAAAATACCCAATAAGCATTTTTATCAGGATTATATATTTTTATCCCTTTGGGGGTCTTTTGCTTTTTTCTCCAAGCATGTACTTCAAAGAGACAACTATTCCACCACACTAGGAAACTTTCCTTTTTCCTTCATTTCCTTCCTTCCTCTTTCTTTTCACCTCACGATTTGCCTGTTTGCAATGTTCTATTTGTCCAGCTAACGGAGATTTTAATTACACAAAAGTACCACTTCAACTATGAGTTCCAATTAAAATTATGAATTCCAAACTATCCATGATTCACCAAGTTCATTAACCTGATTGATTTGAAAATAAATGTTTAAAATCATTTCCAAATGGTGCTATGCACGACAAACATAGTCATACTTGGTCGAAACGAATTTGGCAGCATATACAATTCTTGGCACCAACATATTTACTCCCCCAGCCCCCTATTCACTGAAGAACAACAAAATGTTATTTTGCTGCTAAAGGCACAGAATTATTATCTTTCAAGTGTCAAACTGATGTCATAGTTAAGTACTGAGGTATAAATATGAGTATAGTTTACTTACAAGTATGCATAGCTAACAGGTCTTGTTAAGTGCACACTTTACTGTGTTTTCTCTATAAATTTTCTATAAACTCATATATGCAGATCCTAATTAATCCAGAGACTTGTGGATACGTGAATTCATAGTATACTAGCATCACAATTCATAGAAAAGGCACAGGTGAGAAAACATAGCCCAGAAGGCTGAAATTCTTTGGCTAAAGTCCCACTCTCTTGCATGTAAAACTAAATCATTCTCTTTATATATGTTTATTTACTGGGGTGTTATGCTCTAGAGAAAGAAGAAAATAAAATGAAAATCACTTGTTCTGAGTGCAGTGTTGATGATTAAAGTACTAAGATTAAAAGAAGCCTATACCCACAATAGGATCTGCCATTTGTTCATTTTACAAAACCAAATATTATTCCTTTCTTGTTTCTCTAACACCAAACACACAAACACAGGTTGAAAGAGCAGGATTAGTATTTCTGCTGTAAGCACTCATTACAAACCTGAATTTTCATTAAAATGTATGCCTAGGCTGCAATTTAACACCTATAATTATCTTCATCCTTTTGCAGATAAGGCAGGAGGATTTGAAGGGTTTGAAAAAGACCTTTTTTAAAATAGCCAGAAAAAAATTACAGTGAAACACTTCTCTTTCATCAGGGTATAACTGATCAAATATTTTCTAATCCATTTCCTAAAGGAAAGCTACTGCTGCTCATTAGAAAATGTGGTCTTATTTTTTACTCATAGTTGAAAAGTCAAAGACAAGAACTATGAATAGAATTTGAATTAAGACTTACAGATACAAGTAAACAAACTCTGAAAATAATAGCTAGAACTATATACATAGCTGGCCCAAGGCAAAATTGTGAAGTAAGTGAAGCCTAATTTCAGTACTAAAAAAAAATGCGAATGTGTCTGAACCAATGCTTGGCACATAGCAATCACTTGCTAAAATTTCCCCTAGGCTCTTTATTCCTATTCTTTCAGTGTTTTTTGTTTGTTTGTTTGTTTGTTTTTATTCACAGATATCTTTGTACCATCATCCAGGTACCTCCATAGTATCTTTATGCTGAATGCCCTTACCATTCTCCAGCTAATCAAACTCATTCTCACCAGATAATGTCCTGTATTCTTTCTCGGAAAATCTCTTTCCAATAGGTTTTTTGTTGGAAAAGATCTGATCAATTAATTCTCACTTAAGGATTAATAACACTTCATTACTTAATACATTATCCCTCCCAGAGCTATTAGCATCTTTAAGGGTACCATCAAATCTCCACATCAGAAGAGTGATTAATGATTATTGCAAGCACCAGCAGGGAGCTCTTGGGGAGTATAATTGTGTTATTGTAAAGTACATCATTTTAAGTTTCCTCTATCTATGCTCATGGACAGCAATACATTCCAGAGGGCCTTTAAAACATTAAATATGTATCTTAGGATGTACAGATATAGTATCTCTTATCCAAAATACTTGGGACCAGAAGTGTTTCAGATTTCAGATTCTTTTCAAGTTTGGGGATATTCGTATATACGTAATGAGATATCTTGGGGATGGGGCCCAAGTCTAAACACAAAATTTACTTATGTTTTATACTCACCCCATACACATAGACTGAAGGTAATTCTACACAATATTTTAATTAATTTTGTGCACCCATCACATGAGGTCAGGTGTGGAATTTTCCACTTGTGACATCATGTTGGTATTCAAAAACTGTTGGATATGGAACATTTTGGATTTTGGATTGTTGGATTAGAGATGCTCAACCTGTAATAAAAGACTAAACTAACACTGCACAGGTACATTCAAACAGTAAAATATGTCATATATTCCTTCTCCTCATCCTTTGGGGTAAGCAGAGGTAGACTTTAAGTGTTTCTATTCCCTGACTCCTCCCCCACTTCTGAAAGTGCTGTTAACAGTAATCCTGTTAATAGCTGCCTCTGTAGCCAATAAGCTTCCTTATTTAAGATATGTGCAAAAATTTGCTAACTTCATGGTTTGAGGAATGCTCTCAAAGTTGCAGTAACTAAAGTTTCCATTGACCTCACTGAAACATGAGACTCACTAGCTTCACACCACTCTAATTAACACCCACACTATTTCCTGAGAAAACTGATTGTACTTCCAACTTAATCAGGCTTCTGGCAATAGAAATGGTAAACATAAAAAGTAATGTCTAAAAACTGATTTTAAAAGAGCCTCTTTCTTTTTCTCGTGATTTGCCTGCATGAAACAGAAATTATTAGTAACTATTTTTTTTTCCTGGTTCAAGTGACTCCTTTTCATTATATCATTATACCTTTGCTTGGGCTGTTTCTTCCACTGTCAAGGCCTCCTCACTCCCATGACTTAGTCAATTCAGCCTGTCAAAGCACCCAATAACCATGAAGATAACTGCTTACCTGCACCAGCATCTTTCATGCCATACAGATTCTGTGTTCTAAGATAAGCTAAGGTGCCCTTTTAATGCTCACTATATACCATGTTTCTCATTTCTTTGTTACAGCATCCTGTGAGTTACATAATATTATCCTCATTTTACACAGATGGGACTCAAAGAGGTTAAGTCATTGATCAAGGTTATGCAACTAGTAACATGTAGATCCCAGATTAAAACCCTGGATGGTCTAACTCTGTCTGTCTACATGACCTACACAAATGGTCGTTCTCCTACCAGTTGAATCCCCCTAGTCTTTGCTCCATCCTTGTCCACATATTCATCTTTCTCAAATGTTCTCATTCATTTAAATTAGCCAAATCCTGACCCAGCTGGATCTAGAGATAACGTAATGAAGGTAATTTACTTTCCTCGCTGCCCCAAGTGACTTGTAGAGAGTTTTGAAGAGGCACAGACTAAACAGAGGGACCTCAAGAGTTATAACAAAGAGACTCGTTCACTTGCTTTTTTGCTAAGGTGGGCAGTTGAAGTGATATCAATATGGGCAACTGGTACTCCAATGTGCAAGCAGCCTAGAAGGTCAGGAGGAAAAGGGTGTGCAAGGCAGTGAAGCATTTCCCTGGTACTGTCAGACAGATAAATGTGGTTTTCATGGACCAAACACTAAGGCTAAATTGGCCAGAATTTTAACTTTTTATGCGCATAATTTACTATCACATAGATATGTCTCTACACTGGATAAGCCCATGTGCAAGGAAAAAAAAAACTAAGATCCACTTGTTAAAAGTAAAAAGATAACATCTCAAAAATTTTACACCTAAATGAATAAACTAAAGCAGGAATCATCTTTATCACAGGCAATAATATAAAAAGTGGTCTTCTCATTATTAATTTTTCCTTTTGTTCCTTCTTTTCCCTCATGTCTTCTATTTTTCTGAAGATTACACTGAATGCAACAATATCATTCTCAGAATATGCTGTTTTCTAGTTTTAGAGCACTTTTCCAGGAAACCTGTACAACATTGTTCCTGTGTGGCTAATGCATTCACTCTGATGAGGATCTCTCAGCAGCGTTGTCCTCATGACCAGTTGAAAGTAATTTTTCACAAAGTTGGGTTCTAGTCATGTCATTATGGAGAACCCCATATGCAGTCTGATATGGCTTGGATTTGTGTCCTCACCCAAATATCATGTCAAATTATAATCCCCAATGTTGGAAGAGGAGCCTGATGGTAGATGATTGGGTCATGAGGTGGTTTCTAATGGTTTAACACCATCCTACTTGGTGCTGTTCTCATGATAATGAGAGAGTTCTCAAGAGATCTACTTGGTTAAAAGTGTGTAGCACTCCTCCCCCTCTCTCTCTTCCTCCTGTTCCAGCTATGTAAGATGTGCCTGCTTCCCCTTCACCTTCTGCCATGGTTGAAAGTTTCCTGAGGCCTCTCCAGAAGCGGTCATGCTTCCTATACAGCCTGTGAAACCATGAGCAAATTAAACCTCTTTTCTTTATAAATTACCAAGTTTTACACAGATCAGCTGTCCGAATATAGAAAAACAACCTAAAGTTTCTCCACCATTGAAAAACTTCTATATGGCACACTCTTCCTATACAATTTGTTAGACTAAGTAAGAAGAGGTACAAGGCAGCTTAATAAGCAAAAATTAGATTACATAATTTTTGCACTCTATTGGTCTCTGTACTAGCCTCCAAGTCTCCAGAATTGTCATCTGATGCCAGACATCCAACATACCCTTGTAGACTCTTATAGAGTACCACTTCTGTTTTTTACTGAACTATCAACTCAGGTGTGGGGTCACTCATCCTCAATATTCATAAAAGGAGACAAAAGCCTAAGGGTATGGGGACATGGAGAAAGTGCTCATTAAATAAAGTTTCTCTCTGTTTTGACATACGTGGTTAACATTGCTTATTTTGTCCCTCGATTTGACTTGTTACCTTTTCTTTCGGATTATAACTCTACTTCTGCATTCCCTGGTTCTAGGTTTTTGAATAGTGTCTCTTCTTGGCATGCTCTTAACTCTGACCCATTCATTTTCATCAGAACATCAGAACCTGGCCTGCATGTCAGATTATTTATCCTTTTATAGTAAATCTTAAAAGTAGGTAGGGTATATTATTCTGAATTAAGGACAGAAAGAGAAAAAAAATGTTAATAGTTGGAGGGTATGGGTAGGCATGTGGGCAGGTTAAAGGAGACAAGGAAAATTGCAATTGCTTGTGCTGTCAATATGGCAACCATTTTGGAGATAAACAAATGAGAATCATGTTATCTTTCAAATCAATGCCATGGTCAAAATGTATAGGTGCCTTAGCAACAGAATTTTCCTTCAACTCTTTCAATAATTGCTTCATTGCTGAATTTACCTGTTCATGACTGTCTTCACAGATTATTTTTTCAGCTCAAGGTGGAAACATTGTAAGATCTTTTCTACCTAGAGATGTCTTTTCTTCATTAGACCACTTTATATGAATAACAAATAGTAGATATATGCTTTTTATTTGAGATAATTTTAGTATCAATTCTGAAAATATTATTGTCAATGCTCATATGTTAATCAGTCATATAATTGTCTGATCAGAGAATTATTTTTCTGTAAATGAAAATTCAACATAATAAGCATCTATTGAGTGCTTATTTATATGATAGATACTGTGATACAGACACCATTGTTTCACCACATACACCAGTCAGATGGAGGTAATGTGGAGAGGACATTTATATCCATTACACAGAGCAGCTATTTATATGGCTCAAGAGACAGAAGAGTGGCATATTGACTCTATCTTAATATATACTTTTATGATCATTGTACTATAAATATCTCAGGGGAATTATTATTAAAGTAGTGTAGCTACCTCCTTTTACCATGTATAGAGTAAGATAATCAGTTTGGAAAATGAAAACTTTAAAAAGCAGATGCTCATAGATATGTGAGTTAAACAAGGTCATATGACCTGCACAAGGTCATGAGAAAAGCTTGACTGAATGAAAATTAGGGAAGTTATATATGCTTCTCACACATCCTAAAGCACAAGACTAGAATGTCTCAAAGTTCTGTCATCACTTTAAAAATTTACTTACCCTTTTCTAACGCCATTTCTTTTGGGGAAACATATGTTCCTTAAACTTTGGGCAAATGATTAAAGAGGTTAGCTTTTTGGGGTATTATGTTGTTTTTATTTTATTTTATTTTGAGACAGAGTCTTGCTCTGTTGCCAGGCTGGAGTGCAGTGGCGCAATCTCGGCTCACTGCAACCTCCGCCTCCCGGGTTCAAGCGATTCTCCTGCCTCAGCCTCCCAAGTAGCTGGGACTGCAGGCGCACGCCACCACACCCAGCTAGTTTTTGTATTTTTAGTAGAGACAGTGTTTCACCATGTTGGCTAGAATGGTCTCAATCTCTTGACCTCATGATCCGCCCACCTCGGCCTCCCAAAGTGCTGGGATTATAGGCGTGAGCCAACATGCCGGGCCAAGAGGTTAGTTTTATTAAATGCAAACATAAATTAGTCAGGTTTTCTAAGTGAAAACCAATGTAATATATTATTCTTTTACTTAATTTCATCATAATTCAGTTTTAGTATATTATTTAATGGAAATAATTAAACACAATAGCAGACCCATCTATCATAGGCTGCCTCAGAAAACATTTAGTTGTAATGGAGACCTGTAGGGGCTATTAAAATGCTCCACAAACAGATGGAAAGAGTAAAAGGTGCAGCCAAAAGATAAAGTACCATTAATAAGATCTTCAGTGGGATAAATATTGACGGGAAGATGATTCCAGCAAATCCTGATAGTAAAATAAAAAAATACATTCCTACTCAAGAAAATTAATCAGTATTATGTTGGTGATATATTCACTAGGCCCTGATATTCTTCCCCCCTCCTTTTTTAAAAGCAAAATCAAAAGCCAGGCAATTTTGACTTCAAATTCTTAAGTTATGTATAATGAATCTACTTTGCAATTATTCAAAAGTGTTACACATAAGGTCACAAAATCCCCCCAGAAAAATCTGCAAACACTACTTAATTGGGTGAATCAGTGTTGTCCACCTACTTCAAACAGCTTCATATATATTCAAATACTACTTCCTTTTCTTGTAATAAAAATAAGAAAATTAAGGAAGATTTCAGAGTAAGCTGGAAAGAGTGTAAGCTAAAGTAAAATTGAAAAACAAAGACATATAAAAACTGATTATGTGGCTCCTATATTATGAATACTATCAGAACCCAAGGTATCATATGCTATTTGATATAAATTACAATAATCATTGCTACAATAGATAAGAGATTACAGAATAAAATAAAACCTATCTAAAAAAAAAGGCTACAGCTATATAACACCAGACATTGTAAATTTCCTTATAGGTAATGAAGTAAATGAGAATGGTGGGATTCTGACTGTGCTACCAGAATTTGTTTTGAAGTTGCTCAGTTTAATTAAACAGTGACTAGGTGTTGAGTATCACTGTGAGCAAAAAAGCCCTGAGCTACATATTGTGACAGACACTACTAAAGATGAATAAATTAGTGTCTGCTTTCAAAGATCTTTTATTGTTAGACTGGATCAAGGTGAAAAAGATAAGAAATATACACAAATAATTACATAATTAAGCAAATCAGAATTAATGGCCAAGAATAGCTACAAAATACTTTTGCAAATGTAAATATACAAAACGAGTTGACATCCTACCATACATTAAAATGTGTTATTGTACTGGGTAGTTATTCCTGAATAGTAAGCAACCATAAAAATCTTAGTGGCATTTATTTAGCTCACATTTCTGTGAGTCAGTTAGTGTTTATCTAATCTAGACTAGTCTAGGCTATTTTACTTTGTGAATATTGACTGGGATTTCTTAAATATTTGTGGGTTGACTAAGAGTCAGATAACCTAGGCTAAGCCTAGCTGGGGTGGCTTGGCTAAGATAGCTCTTCTCTATATGTCTTTCATCCTCCTCCTGGGTCTAGTAGGGTACCCTAAGCAAGTTTTTCTTATAGCAATTGCTGAACTGAAAGAGAGTAAGCCCAACTCTGGAAGCACTTTTCAAATCTCTGTTTGCACCACATTTTGTAAAATCATGTTGGCCAAAGCAAGTCACATGGCCAGCCTAGATATAAGTGGGAAGAGGGCACCGCAAAGTTCATGGCAAAAGATGTGAATAAAAAATCTTATTATTGGGGAGAGACTAAAGATTTGAAATACACCAGTCTACCACATGTATAGCTTTAAAACATAGTGAGATAGGTGAAAAAATTGGCAAGAATATCATTAAAACAGCATGATAGGCCAGAATAAGACACTAAAATATCAACCAAATTTATGATAAAAGTTGTTATTCAAAACCAATATGTAAAGTGAGAGTTATAAATAAAAAATGCTGGGAACTTTTTCTTACAGTGTGTAAAGATATCAAGTTGGATACTTACATCAAAATAATTCCACATGGTTTAAAAAATGAAATACAAAATTGAAACTATAACATTTAGAAGAAAATATAGGTACATAGGTAGTTATATAATTGATCTTGAAAAGGGGAAGGACTTTCTAATTTTCAAACCAAAAAAATAGATTTTAAAACATAAATAAAATGTACATAAATTTGGATGTGGTGGTTCAGGCCTATATTCTCAGCTACTCAGGAGACTAAGACAGGAGGTCACTTGCTGCCAGAAGTTCAAGACTAGCCTGGGAAACATAGTGAGACCCCATCTCTAAAAAAAATAAAATACAAATTCACCAGATGTGGTGGTGTATGCCTGTAGTCCCAGCTTCTTGGAAGACTGGCATATGAGGATCACTTGACCCCAGGAGTTTGACACTGCAGGAAGCTGTGATTAGGCCACTGCATTCCATCCTGGGCAACAAAGCAAGACCCCATCTTTAAAAAAAAAGAAAAAAGTACATTAATAGCAACAAAATTAAACAGCAAACAGAAAACAGGAAAATACTTTAAAATACAAAATTAAGAGAATGAAAGAAAAGAACTGCATAACTATCTCAACTGATGCAGAAAAAGCACTTGACAAAATCCAACACATATTCACGATAAAATACGCAAAAAACTAGGAATAGAAGGAAACTTCCTTAACACAATTAAAGACTATATGAAAAACCCACTGTTATCTTCATGCTAAATGGTGAAAGACTGAAAGATTTTCCTCTAATATCAGGAAGAAGAAAAAGTTGCCCACTTTTGCCACTTCTATTCAACATAGTACAAGAAGTTCTAGCTAGAATTTAGGCAAGAAAAAAAATTAAAAGACATCCATAATGAAAAAGAAAAAGTAAAATCATCTCTATTTGCAGATAACATGATCTTATATGTAGAAAACCCTAAAAATTCCACACCAAAATATCTTTCAGAGCCAAGAAACAAAATCAGCAAAATTACAAGATACAAAATAAAAATGCAAATATCAGCTGCATTTCTTACACTAACAGTGAACAATCTGGAAAAATAAATTTTAAATATAATTTAAGATAAAATCAAAAGGAATAAAATATTTAGAAATTAATTTAACCAAGGAGGTAGAATAGTTCACTAAAAACTACAAAATATTACTGGAAGTACTTAAAGAAGATCTAAATAAATAGAAAGACAACTCATGTTGATGGATTAGAAGATATAATATTGAGATGATGGTACTACCCAAAGTGATCCACAGAGTCAACATAATTCCTATTAAAATCCCAACAACACTTTTTTGAAGAAATAGAAAAACCAATACTAAAATTCATGTAGAATTTCAAGGGACCCTAAATAGCCAAAAGTATCCTGAAAAAGAACAAGTTGGAAAGACTCTCAGTTCCATATTTTAAAACTTACTCCAAAGCTGCCATAATCAAAATAGTGTGGTACTGTTATAAGACATATAGACCAATGGACTAGAATAGAGAACTCAAAAATAAACTCAAATATTCATCTTCAACAAAGGTGCCAAGATCACTCAATAGAGAAAGTACAGTCTTTTCACAAAATAGTACTGGGAAAATTGTATATTCACATGTGAAAGAATGAAGTTAAACCCTTATTTTACATTATATACAAATATTAACTCAAAATGGACCAGAAATTCAATTTTAAGAGCTATAACTATAAAATCTTTAGAAGAAAACTTAGGGAACATTTTCATGACATTGGATCTGGCAATGATTTCTTGGACATGACATCAAAAGCACGTGCAATAAAAGAAAAAAATTAATAAATTGGACTTTATCAAAATTAAAGCCTTTTATTAATCAAAAGACACTGTCAAGAAAATGAAAAGACAACACACAGAATGGGAGAAACAACTAAAACAATCACATATCCTAAAAATAATAATATCCAAAATACATGCTTTGTAAAAACTCCTACAACTCAACAACAACAACAAAAATGAACAACCCAATTCATAAATGGGCAAAACATTTGAATAGACATTTCTCCAAAGAAGATACACAAATGGCCAATAAGCACATAAAAAGATACTCAACATTGTTAGTTATTAGGGAAATGAGAAATCAAAACCACAATCAGATACAACTTCATAACCATTAGGATGGCTATTACCAAAAAACAGAAAAAAAACAAGTGTTGGTGAGGATGAGGAGAAATTTGAACACTCATTTATTGCTGGTGGGAATGTAAATGATGTAGCAGCTGTAAAAAAGATTTTGGTTCCTCAAAAAGCTAAGCATAGAATTACCATGTAATCCAGCAATTCTACTCTAAGGTATATACCCAAAAGTTCTGAAAGCAGGGATTTAGGATTACTCACAATACCCAAAAGGTGGAAACAAACAAATGTCCATCAACAGTTGAATGCATAAGGAAAATGTGGTATATACATATGATGGAATATTATTCAGCCTTAAAAATGAATGAAATTCTGATACATGCTATAACGTGAACGAACCTTGAAAATGTTATGCTAAGTGATATAAGCAATACAAAAAAAGAACAAATATTGTATGATTCCAAATATATGAGGTACTTAAGATAGGAAAATCCACAAAGACAGAAAATAGATTAGAGGTTACTAGTGGCTGTGGGGAAGTGAGGTGGGGGAGAATGGAATATTATTGCTTAATGTTCAGAGTTTCCATTTGGGTGATGAAAAATATTTGCAAACAGATGCTGGATAGTATAGTGGTGCTGGTGGTGTAACATATGAATGTAATTAATGTAATTTAATTTCGCACTTAAAATAGTTAAAATGGTAAATTTTATGTTACATGTACTTCAGCTTAATTTTTAAGATAATAATGTGATAGATATATCAACAAGCCATTGAATTATACTCTTTAAACATGTTAATTTTATGGCATGTAAATTATATTTCAATAATGCTATTTAAAAAATCAATTCACAGAATATATGTAAAGACCAATAAACATAGACTAACAGATTTATAATTTCTAGAAACCAATAAAAGGCAAATTAAAACAGAATATATATAAAGACCAATAAACATAGACTAACAGATTCATAATTTCTAGGAACCAATAACAGGCAAATTAAAACAAGAAATTATTTTACATTCATCAAACTCGTCAACAATTTTTTAACTTACTGCACTCAATATTGACAAGGGCTGAATGAATGCCCGCATAAACTACTACAAGGTGTATAAATTAGTGTAATGATCTATAAGGTAAGTCCAACAATAAGAAGGAACTTCTTTTTTTTAGGAGACTTAAAATGTCTCTCTTCACAGAAAGATAAATCATTTGACTTCCTCTTTTCCTCTCTTTGTATCCTTCAGGATACAAAATCGATGTACAAAAATCAGCAGCATTTCTATACAGCAATAACACCCAAGCTGAGAGCTAAATCAGGAATGCTACCATATTCACAACAGTCAGAAAAAGAATAAAATACTGAGAAATACAGCTCACAAGGAAGGTAAAAGATCGTTACAAAATTTACAAAACACTGCTGAAAGAAACCAGAGATGATACAAACAAAATAACATTCAGTGCTCATGAATAGGAAGAATCAATATTTTTAATATGGCCATACTGCCCAAAGCAATTTACAGATCCAATGCTATTCCTATTAAACTACCAACAACATTTTTCACAGAATTAGAAAAAAATTATTGTAAAATTAATATGGAATCAAAAAAGAGACTGCATAGCCAAAGCTACCCAAAGCTAAAAGAACAAAGCTTCAGGCATCACATACCCAACTTCAAGCTATGCTACAAGGCCACAGTAACCAAAACAGCATGGTACTGGCACAAAAACAGACATATAGACTAATGCAAAAGAATAGAGAACTCAGAAATAAAGCTGCACACCTACTAACATTCAATGCTCATGAATAGGAAGAATCAATATTGTTAAAATGGCCAATTTGACCAATTTGATGAAATAAAACTGCACACTTACTACCACGTGATCTTCAACAAAGTTGATGAAAACAAACGATGGTGAAAGGACTCCCTGTTCAATAAATGGTGCTGGGATAACCAGCTACCCATATGCAGAACATTGAAACTGGACCCCTTCCTTTCATCATATTCAAAAATCAACTCAAGATAGATTAAGACTTAAACTAAAACGTAAGACTATAAAAACTCTAGAAGATAACCTAGGAAATACCATTCTGGATATAGGCCCTGGCAATGATTTCATGACCAAGACTAAAAGCAATTACAACAAAAATAAAAATTGACAAGTAGGACCTAATTAAACTGAAGAGCTTCTGCACAGCAAAAAAAAAAAAAAAAAAAAAAAAACCATCAAGAGAGTGAACAGACAACCTACAAAATGGGAGAAAATATTTGCAAGCTATGCATCCCACAAAGGTCTACTATCTAGAATCTATAAGGAACTTAAATCAACAAGCAAAAAAAAAAAATAAAACAACTCCACATATATGGGGAACTTGAGGCTCAGGCAAGGGTAAAAAAAAATGAGCAAGTGACAGGAACAGACACTTATCAAAAGAAGAAATACCTGTGGATAACAAGCATTTGAAAAAATGTTCAACATCACTAATCATTAAAGAAGTGCAAATCAAAACTTCAGTGCAATACCATCTCCCACCAGTCAGAATGGCTATTACTAAAACATCAAAAAATCACAGATGCTGGCAAGGTTGCAAATAAAAGAGAACACTTGTACACTGCTGGTGGGAATGCAAATCAGTTCAGCTACCATGGAAAGCAGTTTGATGATTTCTTAAAGAACTTAGAACTATCATCCCACTCAGCAATCCCATTACAGGAATATAAATCATTCTACCATAAAGACACATGCAAACGTGTTCATCACAGCACTATTCATAACAGCAAAGACATGAATTCAACTCAGATGCCCATCAGCAGTGGACTGAATAAAGAAAATGTGGTACATATATGCCATAGAATACTACACAGCCATAGAAAATAATGAAATCATATCCTTTGCAGCAATATGGATGGAGCCAGAGGCCATTATCCTAAGCAAATTAATGCAGTAACAGAAAACCAAATACAACCTGCTCTCACTTATAAGTAGGAGGTAACCATTGAACACATGGACACAAAGAAGGGGACAATAGACACCCGGGCCTACCTGAGGATGGAGGGTGGGAGGAGGGTGAGGATCGAAAAACTACCTATCGGGTAGTATGCTCACTACCTGGGTGATGAAATAAGGTACATCAAACCACTGTGACAGGCAATTTACCCATATAGCAAACCTGCACATGTACCCCTGAACCTAAAATAAACGTTGGAAAGAAAAAAAAAGAAAGAAAAGTATTGTCTTGAAGGGAAATAAAGATATTTGATTAAGTATCCAAGTTACAGGTATTATATTAAAACACTTTGCATTCTGGTGAAAATAAGAGTAAGAATCCCTGATGTTTAGTTGATTTAGTGATAGTTGATTCTCTAAATTACTTGGATAATGTCAGAAAGACACTGCTCAAAAATTAGATGGAGGAATTGCTTCTTCCTAGAATATGTACTTTATTTTGATCCTTGAGAATTTTCCCTCAGCTTATATCCTAGAATAAACCTTTTCGAATGTCCTTTGTCCCTGGACTTTTCATTTATTTTACAACAGATTTCAAAAACTTTATTTCAAGTTTTTTAACATTAAATTATATTTTCAATAAACAACTCTGTTAGAGTTCTCCAGAGATACAGAACCAACAGGAGTGGTGTGTGAGTGTGTGTGTGTGTGTGTGTGTGTGTGTGTGTATGCATGGGAGTCAGCCTTTTTGTTCTATTCAGGCCCTCAAATGATTGGATGAAACCTGGTCACATTAGAGAGGACAATCTGTTTTAATCGGTCTACCTATTCAAATTTTAATCTTATCCAAAAATACCTTCGCAGACACACACAAAATAATGTTTGACAATATATCTAAGCACTCCATGGCCCAGTCCAACTGAGACATAAAATTAACTATCATAATCACAGAACATCATGTTGAGAATAAAAAAGAAGTATAGAATAAATAAAAAGGTTTTATCTTTATCAAATACTTTCTGTTTCAAAACTAGTTAAATATGGCTTGTTCTCTGTAATGCCAAACATTCCAACTTTTTTCTTTTTATTATTTTTGAAAGCATGACATATAATTTTTCATCAAGGCCAAAAGTTCCAATCTTCTGCCTGCCAAACATGCTGCTTTTTTAAAATGAGAAGCTCTTGCCAACAAAATTTTTGTTTATTTCTATCTCCTCTAACCCAACCACAGTCACTAAGCAACAAGGACAACAAATTAAAGGGTGAAGAAAGGGAGAAATGAGGAAGGAGAAAGATATGGGAATGAGGCCATAAACATAAAGAGGACCAATTTTTGATCACAGAATTCATTTCTTTTACTAGTGATTCAATTTCCTCCCAGAAAATTTACTGTGTATTTCCAAAACACTGTGCCAAGTTTGTTCCACAAATACTCAGCAGGTCATTCTAAGGGAAAGGGCATTTTAAAATAAGCAAGTCCCCTATTTTTTCAAAGGGAATAAAGCAAATAAACAAGGGAAAAATGGAAGCCTACGTTTCAGTCATACTTCATCTATATCTACTTTTGAACTGCAGTTGCACGAGTGTGTCCTTATTTGTAGATTAGAACAATCTCTCCACAGGCGATTGCTGTAATGTCTAAGAGACTGCACAGAGTTACCTCTTGTGAAGAGATGAAGTTTTACCTCAGTCTGAATTGATTTAAATTACATTCAGTTGGGAACTGGGGACATGGAACTCCTAACCACATTGACAAAGTAAAGGATTGTTTCTTTTTCATCCTCCACGTCCATTCTTACATTTGTCAATGTTTACAACAACTATCTACATAATTGCCTCAGTACTCCCCTCTCTTTTAATCAGCATGCTGTACAGTCTTAAGTATAGACACTGATTCCCTGTTTTTTAATTGCTCATCCTAATAAAGAATGAGATATGCAAGCAATCTGTAAAGCTAAAGTGAGTAAAAGGGTCTTCCAGTAATGATGGTGCAGTGGATTCATGAAAAGATGGTATCGACAGAAAAATTAGACAAAATCAGAAAAACATAGCTAGCATCAAACAGAAGATAAACATATTTATGCACCAGAAATAGAACTGGAAGGCAATGAAGTGAGCAAAGCTTTAGGCATAGGACTTCAAGATTTCAAGTCTGAAATCCAACATTGGTTTCCAGGAGTCAAGGCCATGAAGGAATAATGTGAATAAAATTGTTCTAGTCATTATAAAGTGAGAAATATAAAATATTTAGAACTTACTAATGGAAGTACTATTTGTCAAAACTTGTGGGATGCAGCTAAAAGGGTATTTGGGGCATATTTATAGCAGTAACTGCATGTATTAAAATCAATAATGATGTTTAAAAAATAAGCTATAAAAATAAGGGAATAACCCTATAGAAAATTACAGAAAGGGGGCCAGGTGCGGTAGCTCACACCTGTAATCCCAGCACTTTGGGAGGCTGAGGCAAGAAGGTAACTTGAGGCCAGGAGTTCAAGACCAGCCTGGCCAACATGGCTAAACCCTGTCTCTACTAAAAATACAAAAATTAGCTGGGCATGGTGGTGCACACCTGTATTCCCAGCTACTTAGCAGGCTGAGGAATGAGAATTGCTTGAACCTGTGAGGCAAAGGTTGCAATGAACTGAGATCATGCCACTGCCCTCCAGCCTGGGCAACAGAGCAAGATTCTGTCAAAAAAAAAAAAAAAAGAAAAGAAAAGAAGAAAAGAAAAGAAAAAAGAAAATTACAGAAGAAAGGTAAAAAAAAGTCACAGAAGCATTTAATTGAATAGAAAAAAATAATGTAGAGAAATAAAAAAGAAAACCAAAACTGATAAAAGTGTTTAGCAAGACTAATTAAGAAAAAGGTCATATATAAACAATATTAGAAACCAAAAATGAAATATAACTGCAGAGAAAATAGAGAGTTAAATAATAACATATTATGAATAGTACCATACCAACAAATTTTAAACCTTTAATGAAATGAATAATCACCTAGAAAATATAAATTACTAAAACTGACTGATGAAAATTAGAAAGCTTGAAGAAATCAATAACCATTAAATAAATTAAATCAGTAATAAAAAACCTACTTTAAAAAAAGACACTAGGCTCTGATGATTTTAACAGGTGACTTTTATCAAAAATTCAAGGGAATAAGAATCTTTATTTTATGTGAAATATTCAGAGAACAGACAAGTAAGACAAATAACTTTAAGTTACCACTTGTCGAAAAAGTTGTGGAGAAATTGGAACACTTATACTCTACTGATGGGAATATCAATAATTGCTTGTACAGAAAATTGGCAGTCTCTAGTTAATGTGAAGGTGGACATACCCTTTGATCCAACAATGCCAATCCTAGGTACAGAACAAGAGAAATTTTCACAAATTTATTTAATATCCCTATAATATTTTTTCTTTTCTCATAAAGCTGTTAGTAGTACCTAAAAAAAATAGACAGACTCTAAAAATACATCAGCAAGAGAATAGGTGTGCTAGCCCATTCTTGAATTGCTATAAAGAAATACCAGAGATTGGGTAATTTATAAAGAAAAGAGGCTTAGTTGGCTCATGATTCTACAGGCCGTATAGGAAGCATGATGCTGGCATCTTCTCTGCTTCTGAGGAGGCTTCAGGAAACGTACAGTCATGGCAGAAGGTGAATGAAAAGCAGGCATGTCTTACATGGCAGGAGCAGGAGCAAGAGAGAGAGTGATGGAGGAGGTGCTGCACACTTTTAAATAGCCAGAACTCTCAAGAACTCACTCACAATCATGAGGGATGGTGCTAAGCCATTCATGAAAAATCTGCCTCCATGATCCAGTCACCTCCCACTAGTCCCTACCTCCAACATTGGTGATTACAATTTGACATAAGATTTGGTGGGGACACAGATCCAAACCATATCAACAGGCAAACTGTGGAATATTCAAATAATGAAATAGTGTATAGAAATTAAAATTCAAGAAGTAGAGCTACTTGTATCAATATAGATTTAAGCTCAAAAACATTTTTGAGCAAAAAAAATCAGGTTGCAGAATGATACAGTTAGAATAATAATATTTATATGCAATTTATATAGAATTTTAAAACATGCAAATCAATCTTATAAATTGGTATAGATACATGCATATGTAGAAAATGGATGAAAATATATCAAGTGAAGGATGTCAATTGCCTCACGGGAATAAGTGAAGGCAATAGGAACAGGAAGGGTAACTCCAATATTTTATTTCTTTTTAAACATTTCTGAATCAAATATTTAAAAATGATAAACTTTAGTGGTTAGCACAAAGATGTCTGTTTAGTTATCTATTTCTAACAGTTTGATACATATCAGAAATTTTTAAAAGAAGGAGAACACGTTCATATGAGCTCTATATAGATCAAAGCATATTACCTGGTTCATGGGTGTACTCAATGTATTTGACGAACAGATGAATAAATAAATGAATGAACAAATTAACCTATAAAACTCTGCCATATAAATTGAACTTCTGCCACTTACTTGTCTTACCTTTTTCACCCAAAGGTTTAAACTTTAGGTTGTCCCAATGCCAGCTGGAATACACCCTGTCTTTCAGAGGCACTCTAATTGAAGGAATCTGGAAACAAAAGTGAGAATAAGAAATGATTTTTTGTTCTTGTGATAGTTTACTGAGAATGATGATTTCCAATTTCATCCATGTCCCTACAAAGGACATGAACTCATCATTTTTTATGGCTGCATAGTATTCCTATTGCAAGAACAAAAAACCAAACACTGCAAATTCTCACTCATAGGTGGGAATTGAACAATGAGATCACATGGACACAGGAAGGGGAATATCACACTCTGGGGACTGTTGTGGGGTTGGGGGAGGGGGGAGGGATAGCATTGGGAGATATACCTAATGCTAGATGACGAGTTAGTGGGTGCAGCACACTAGCATGGCACATGTATACATATGTACCTAACCTGCACAATGTGCACATGTACCCTAAAACTTAAAGTATAATAAAAAAAAAGAAATAAAAAGCCATAGAATAAGGAAAAAAAAAGAAATGAATGCTTTGCTTTTTGTGTTGAGATAAAGTATCTTCTCCACCATTTCTCCTTTCCTTTAGATTAGGAATTTCCTTTTTTTAAAAAATTTCCTTCTGTATTTTTATATAGATTCCTCTGATTTCGACTTACTCAACACAAGCATTAATGTCTGGAACACATTCTAAACTTCTCTCCAGAAGTGTGGCAAATAAAATGGATGGTCTTTATTGAAGGACATTAATGTTTTGCAGGAAAGAAGATGAATTCATATAAACAGTGAACTTAATTTTTATTAGTAAATTCTGTCAGCTTACTTATTACTGTGCTGCTAAAGAGTTTCCAGTTAAAGGAAGATATAGATATTATATTTCAATACTGAATGGTTTCCAGAACAGAGGACTTCAAAGTGGCTGCTATAATCTGCAAATTAATTGAAAATATTTTTTCTAAAGAGGTCGAAAAATAGTACCTTATAATAAATACTATTGCAGATAGAGGTAGTCTTAAAACAAGAGATCACAGACATTTAAAGAAAAATGGGAAAATAAAGATTCCAAATCTCTTGTTTTTTAAAGATAATATGGAGCCCAGTGAGGGGAAGTGGCTTGCGTTAAATCATCTATCTAGTCAGTGGCAAAGCCAAGGTCAGAGAATTAGTTTCTTGATCCCTGGTTTGATGTGCTTTTCACAAATGTCTTCTGTGTCATTATAACCATTTATTACTATTTTGAAAATTCAGGAGGAGGGGAGGATAGGAAGAGGTTGATCAACAAATTCAAAATTACAGCTATATAAGAGGAATAACTTCTAGTGCTCTATAGCACTATAGAGTGAACATAGTTAACAATTATGTACTGTATATGTTTGAAAGCTAGAAGAAGGGATTTTGAATGTTTCCAACACAAATAAATGATCAATGTTTGAGGTGATGGATATCCTAATTAACCTTATTTGATCAATATACCTTGTATACACGTATCAAAATATTACTCTGTATCCCATACATGTGTACAGTTATTATGTGTCAAAGAAAAAGAAAAAGAAAAAAAGATGAAAGCAGGAAAAAAGAAAAGAAAATTTAGTGAATGAAGAAGGAAGTCAGCAAGTATGTACTGCTGGAAGTAGAGCACTGTATTTCATGTTTAGTTTCAACATAATCCAGGACTCAAATCAGTTCACACTGAATGGAGTTTGAGTATCAATTTTAAAAAACATAACCAGTTAGCTTGCAGAATAGTAGAAACAAACCTGAGCAGTTTTGCAGGCATTTTATTGGAGAAAAAGTTTATTGAGACTATATGACGGAGTGGAATTTTGGCTTATTTCATATCTTTAGAAATACAGCCCATGGTTCATTTTGTTATCTGCTTACTGTTTTCTTATTGTAGCAAATCTACTTTAAGAATATAAAGAAGCTTTTAGTCTTCTCAAGCCTGGGGGAAAAAAACCACACACACATACATACACACACACACACACACAGAGAGAGAGAGAGAGAGAGAGAGAGAGAAAGAGGGAGAGAATTTTCCCATTAGTTGTCTGATATTATGCTGGTAATGATTAGAAAGACATAACTAAATAATCACACTACTAGAAAGCTGTTTCTTATTAGCTTTTGCTTAGTGGGGTAAGTGTATTATCATGCAAGAGGGCTATTATTATACCAAAAATAGGTGATAGACATGAATGAGAATCTTCATAGCAATGGTATTTGCCTCAGATAAAATTTGGAGAGGAAGAGTGTTGGAAATCCCATTACATCAGAGCATCAGAGCCTGAGCGTCTTTGACCGATGCTGAGATGAAAGGAGCCACCTAGTCATGCAGCTGTATTATTCAGGAGCTTCTGATTAGGAAAAACCAAGTAAGGCTCAGTGATCAAACAGCAGCCACCTGAAGCCTCTGGTGTCCAGTCACATCTAGTGTAGAAATCCAAGAATCCTTTTTAAAAAATCCTCTAGAAAATCAGAAAGCTTTACAGATTATTTTTAGCAAAATAGAAATATGAGAATTTAAGGCTGTTTTTAGAAAATCCTTCCTGTAACATGTTCATCCATCACGCACCCTTCACCAAAGCAATGCACTATTCAGTCTACCCTCAGAGTGACATCAACCTAGGAAGCAGAGATACTTCAATGACTCTAAATAGTGACTTATCGGAAAGACACTTGAGTGCGAGTTTTTCCATTAAGGATTCCTCCACACAATGATATCTTCTTCTAGTTCCAAAATACAAGTAAAATTAATTGAGCAATACAAAATTTAGAGTGTTCCATCAGTGAAAGTATTATGAGGGCATAAGTAAACATAATATAGAAGCTGTGACACTGAAAGTCTGGCTAAGTGGGTAAAAATTTCAAAATAGAATCCTGTGGTATACATAAATATCAGCTACCGTAAGTGCACTTTCGAATTCAACTTCCAAGTAAATGACCATGTCACTAGCAATCCCAGCCAAGACCCAGACAAATCACATGTAGTAAGAAGCCATATAAGATGCAGTTAATTGTTTTATTGCAAATACTTCACTGTGGGATTATTATCATTTCCTTGTATGCTTTAATATCATTGTGCAATCACAAGGTCAAAGGAAATTCATTGATATATAAGGGGATTGCTGAAGGAAAGGTTTGACTGAGTTTGTTGGCAAGATACACAGATGTAAAGAAAAAATGCAAAAAATGAAGGGATTATTTAATTGATGCCTATTCATTAAGTCTGTATTTTTATCAGTTCTCAATTAACCCAAATAGATTCATTACTACCTACACACTTTTTAAATTCCCATCATTTTCAATAACTCACATTTTTGTCACTTTGAGGAGCTTTTACCATTATTCACTCTCAGCAAGAGCAGCATACTGTTCTATAATTCCTTATATTATTAGCCACAAACAATGTATTAGAGTTCAGTGTAGAAGATATTTTGACGAATCAACCTTTCTCACATATGTTATGCATTTACTAGCTGTATGTTCTGTCTATAAGTAATAGAACCATCATAACTGATTCACTTATGAGGTGTTACTTTTCTTACTGAATGGCAAACGATCTTCAAAGTAGACACCCAGTAGATTTAACAAGATTATTATGCACAAAGCAAGGACGTTATTTCAGTGTTAGGCTTGTATAAGAACCCTTTAGAGAGTTTAAGACCTGAATTAAGGACTGGCAAGTAAATCCTTGGGTAAACTGTACATAAAGGAAGATAAAGTCATTCTCTTTAAGAAGATTTTTTGGAGTAGTACTATGTGTGTAGTGATACAGTTACAACAAAAGCGTTTTGTGTTCCTGACATTACTGTTCGTAACGGATGCCTTAAAATTTATGTATTGCTGTACATTGTTTCTAGGTAGATGAAGATCTAGCACAAAGCAATTTTTTATTTCTTTTCCAGCAACTCATTCTTCCCCTGATTTATTTTAATAATTAACCAAAACTTCCATTTTAATCGATATCCACATAAAAATAAAGAAGATATGAGATTTTAAAAATAGGTCACTAAAGTTCACCTAAAATTGTTACACTTTTGCACAAACAATAAAACCGATGTTTCCAGATGTCCTAGTCTCCATTGAGTAGAATAGAGGTCCACAACATGAGGCTCCAGGGTGGGCTTCAGAGGATCCACAATTTTCTGGAAATTATATGCAGAGGTGTGTGTGTGTGTGTGTGTGTGTGTGTGTGTGTGTGTGTGTTTGCAGTTTTCTCAACAGTATGTCTATAAATTTCATCAAATTCCCAAAGAGATATATAAGGGGAAGAAAAGGTAAAGATGTATTACTGTATTAACAGTACAGAGATCCAGACCTAGAAAATGCATTTGGTTGTTATTTACGACACATGCAGTTTAAAAGATGGGAACATGAGCTACAGAGTCAGAAGGACCTAGTACAAGGCCCCACTTCACCACTAAGCAATACTGGAAAAGTTACATAATCTCTCTGAGCCTCAATTTCCTATATTTAATATGCAGATACTAATTATACCTATCTTCTAAGTTGTGATGAGGATTAAACAAAATAATGCATGTATAGTCCTATGAGCTGCACATGTAATAAGTGTTCAATAAATAGTTTGTATAATTAGGGAGGCTTTAAAACATTATAATTGAGATGCAGTTAACTGTTTTATTGCAAATATTTTATTCTTGGATTATCACTATTTCGTTGTATGCTTTAATGTCATTGTGCAATCACAAAGTTAAAGGAAATTCATTGATATATAAGGTGATTGCAGAAGTTTGGGCTGAGTTTGAGTTTTTCATATGTCTAAATATTTCAAAGTGGAAATATTGCCATAAATTCAAAGATCAAAATTAAAACTGCCAGTCTTTTCAGTTAATCAGTGTCTTGTTCCCAGTTTCCTTTTACAATACTGGAAAATCAGACATAAATGAAGAATCAGATCTGTTATAAGCCATATTTTCTGAAATACATACATTTCTATCACAAATGATTTGATTAAAAAATCAACATTATACTGTGATTTTTATATAATGATAGCATAAGTAATGCACATACATGGCTTCAAAAATTCAAAAAATTACATCCCTTCCTGCTCTATGAATTGTTTTTTCTTATACAGTTGACCCTTGAACAACATGGGTTTGAACTATGTACATTCACATATGCGGACTTTTTTCAGTAAATATACTGGAAAATTTTTTGGATATTTGGAACAATTTGAGAAAAACTCACAAACTGCATAGCCTAGAAATATTTTTAAAAATTAAGAAAAAAAATTAGGTATGTCATTAATGCATAAAATATACATAGATACTAGTCTATCATTTACTATAATAAAACATACACAAATCTGTGGTAAAAAGTTAAAATATATTAAAACTTGTGCATACAAACACTTACAGATGGTATATGGCACCATTTGCGATTGAGAGAAATGTAAACAAACATAAAGATACACTATTAAATCATAACTACAAACATTAACTCTATATACTGTACTACTGTAGTAATTTCATAGCCATCTCCCGTTGCTTTTGCTGTGAGCCCAAGTGTTGTGAGTATCCACTTAAAATGCCCTGTGACACTAATCATCTCTACATGAGCAGTTGATCTCTCTAGTAAATTTAATATCACACTAAAAAGAGATCTCCCCTGGTTCTTATGTAGTTTTCATCGTGTTTAGTGCAATACCATAAACTGTATAACACCATGGCACCCATATAATGTGCCACCAGTGAAGCTGAAAGTGCTCCCAAGAAGCAGAGAGAAGTTATGACATTATAAGAAAAAGTTGAATGTTTGATACGTACTGTAAACTGCAGCCTGCAGCTGTGGTTGACCACTTTTTCAAGATAAATTAATGCTGGGTAAGAACCATTGTAAAAAAATAAAATAAAAGGGGGGCAATTCATGAAGCTGTCACTGGAGCTATGCAAGCAGGCATGAAGACCCTATACTTTTTGCAAAATACCTTTTTATCTAGTATTAAAAATGAAGCTTTTATGTGGATGAAGGATTGCTACAAGAAAGCCATACCTATAGACTCCAATATGATTCAAGAAAAAGTGAGGTCATTATATGACAATTTAAAGCAAAAGAAAGGTGAAAGATTTAAAGCTGGAGCATTTAATTTCAGCAAAGGATGGTTTGATAACTTCAGAAAGAGGTTTGGCTTAAAAATGTCAAGATAACAGGAGAAGAAGCTTCTGCGGACCAAGAGGCTGCAGATAAGTTCCCAAATGCCATTGAGAAAATCATTGAGAAGAAAGGATATATGCCTGAAAAAGCTTTTAATGCAGATGAAAGTACACCATTCTGGAAAAGAAAAATGCCACAAAGGACATTTATTAGTAAAGAACAGAAGCAAACACCAGGATTTAATGCAGGAAGGGATCATCTAACTCCACTGTTTTGTGAAAATGCCATAGAGTTATAGTCAGGACTGCCTTTGTAGACAACCTGCTAACCCCTGAGTCTTGAAGAGAAAAGATAAACAACATCTTCCACTCTCTTGCTTCTACAACAAGAAGGCCTAGACAATAAGAACTATTTTTTTCTGGATTATTTTCATTGATATTTTGTCCCTGAAGTCAGGAAGTAACTTGCCAGTGATGGGCTGCCTTTTAAAGTTTTCAAAAATGTTGGAAAATGACCCTGGCCACCCAAAACCTCATGTGTTCAATAATGAAGGCATCAACATAGTCTACTTGGCCCAAAATACAATATATTTAATTTAGCCTCTAGATCAGGAGTTTGTAAGGACCTTTAAGGCTCATTACACATGGCAATCTATGGAAGGGATTGTCAACACTATGGAAGAGAACCCCAATAGAGAGGTCATCACAAAAGGCTGGAAGGGTTACAACATTGAAGATGCCATCATTGTTATGGAAAAGCCATCAATCCCAAAACAATAAATTCCTACTACAGAAAACTGTGTCCAGATGTTGTTCTTGATTTCACAGGATGTACAACAGAGCCAATCAAGGAAATTGCAAATGAGATTGTGGATATAAAGAAAAAAGGTGGTAGTGAAGGATTGCAAAATGTAGACCTTGGACAAATCAAGAGCTAAAACATATCACATCAGAGTAATTAACAGAAGATGACTTGATGGAGATAAATGCTTTTGAATCAGTACTAGATGATGAGAAAGAAAATGTAGACGAAGCAGTGCCAGAAAGTAAGATGACATTAGACAACCTGGCAGAGGGTTCCAATTATTCAAGACCACTTTTGACTTCTTTTACAACATGAACCCTTCTATGATAGGAGCACTGAAACTAAAGCAAATGGTGGAAGAAGGATTGGTACCATATAGAAACATTTTTAAAGAAATAAAGAAGCAAAAAAATCAGACAGAAGTTATGATGTACTTCTGTAAAGTTACACCAAGTGTGCCTGCCTCTCTTGCCTCCTCTTCCACCTCCTCCACCTCTTTCGCCTCTGTCACCCTTGAGACAACAGAACCAACTGATTTGGTTTGGCTGTGTCCCCACCCAAATCTCATCTTTGAATTGTAGCTTTCATAATCCCCACGTGTCACGGGAGGGACCCAGTTGGAGGTAATTTAATCAAGGGGGCGCGTCTTTCCCATCCTGTTCTCATGATAGTGAATAAGTCTCACAAGATCTGATATTTTTATTAAAAAAGAGTTACCCTATACAAGCTCTCTCTTTCCTCCTGCCATATAAGATGTGACTTTTCTCCTCATTCGCCTTCAGCCATGATTGTGAGGTCTCCCCAGCCATGTGGAACTGGGAGTCAATTAAACCTCTTTCCTTCATAAATTACCCAGTCTCAGGTATGTCTGTATTAGCAGCATGAGAACAGACTAATACACCAACTTCTCCCCTTCTTCTTCTTCCTTGGCCTACTCAATGTGAAGACAATGAGGATGTAGACCTTTATGATGAACCACTTCCACTTAATGATTAGAAAACATATTTTCTCTTCCTTGTGATTTTCTCAATAATGTTTTCATTTCTCAAGCTTACTTTATTGGTAGAATACAGTATATAATAAATATAACATATAAAATATGTGTTAATCAACTGTTGATATTATCGGTAAGGCTTCTAGTCAACCACAGGCTATTAGTAGTTAAGTTTTTGGCAAGTCAAAAGTTATACATAGATTTTGGACTGTATAAGGGATCAGTGCCCTTAACCCCTCCATTCTTCAAGGGTCAACTGTGATTTGCCCATTTTTTTGGATTGTTTGCCTTTTATTTTTAATTTTTATTGGGGTCTCTGTTCATTAGGAATAGCAGTCTACTAAAGTATTGCAAATATTTTGTCAGTTTGTTGTCTTTCAACCATATTTATGGCTTTCATTTTATTTTTGCAGCACATGATTTTTCAATGTTTACCTAGAAAAATTTGTGAAAATTTTACTTATGACATCTATAGTTCCCCTCTTGCTTGAGATTTAAAAGTTAAACTTTCTTCTAATAATAATATATTTTATTTTTGATATTTATATCATTCCATTTTGAATTTATTTTTGTAGATAAAAATATTGGGAGGTAAATATATTTATTTATTTTCCTCCATATTGATAGCAAATTATGCCAGCACCATTAAATTTTTAAAATGTCATTTTCACACAGAATTAAAGGGCAATACTTGTGAAACATTAGGTTCCTATATATGTACATACTCAGTTCTATTACTGTACTTAATTATGTCCTTGTTATATGTATCTATCTATCGTCTACTGTATTTTCAGATTTCTTAAATATTCTCACGTATTAGTTCTTCTATTTGAACTCAAACAATTTCACCTTGTTCTAATAAAATATTGAGGATGTTTTTTGAGATTTTCCTTTCAGTTGTTTACATGTGTATAGGATATTGGGATGTATCAACATTTTTAGAATAGTGCTTTATACAGAGACATGGTGCAAGTGCCCAACAGTTTCTTCCTGCCTGTTGTACAGACAAAGTCTATTCACTGAGACTGTGGCATTGCAGCAAAGAAAGAGTTTGTTTGATGCAAGACTTGTCATGCAGGAGAACTGAAGCTATCACTCGAATCAGTCTCCCCAAAGGCTCAGAGGTTAGAGTTTTTATGGACAATTTGGTGGACAGGGGACTAGGGAATGGGTACTGCTGATTGGTTGGAGATGAAATCATAGGCTTGTGGAAAACAGTCCTTGTACACTGAGTCCACTCCTGGGTGGTGCCACAGGACCAAATGAGTCATGAGTCACAAGTGTGGATGGTGTCAGTCTGAAAAAGATCTCAAAAGAACCAATCGTATGTTCTACAATAGTGATGTTATCTATAGGAGCAATTAGGGAAGTCTCAAATCTTGTGACCTCTGGCCACATGACTCCTGAGCAGTAAGGGACTATAGAAATAATGCCTACATCTTAGCAGAGTTCAGGCCCCTCCCATAATCTTGTTCTTGTGGCCTATCATTAGTCTTATAAAGGCAGTTTTTGGTCCTTGAGCAAGGAGGGGGTTAGTTTTAGGGAGAGAATATTATCATCTTTGCTTTGAAGTTAAACTATAAATTTCTCCCAAAGTTAGCTTGACCTATACACCCAGGAATGACCAAGAACACCCTGGAGGTCAGAAGCAAGATGGAGTTAACTGAGTCAGATTTCTCTTACTGTTATAATTTTGCGAAGGTGGTTTCAATGGAATGGCTCCCCATTTTGAGAAACATATTTTACATTTTTAAAGAAAATGTTATAGCTATCTTCACATGGGTCTTATATTCCCTTTATTACATTTAATTTCAGGTATTTCATATTTTCGTATTTATTACAGATATATTTTCCATTTGGTTTTCTAATTGTTTACTCCTAGTATAAAGAAAGGCTATTTATTTTCTATATTTATAGTTTATCCATTTACCTTATGAAATTATCTTGTACAAGCTAATATTTATTATAGCCTTTTGGAGTCTCTAGGTATACAGTTGCATGTCTCTTTATTTCCAAAATGTATACCATTTGTCAATTGTCTTAGTGCATTACCCAGACCGCCAAAATATTTACTTGACTTGATCCTGCCTTTAATGTAAATTTAATGATTTCATTATGCCTCACTTTATAATGTTTCTATAGTTTTTGATAAGTAATTTTATCGTGGTAATTGGTTTCTAGTCCAAACTTATTCAGAGATTTTCCTAAAAATGCTTGCTAATAACATTTATGAATCTACTGATAAAGCTATATGGTCTTTCTCCTTCCATTTTTTAGGGTAATGAATTATATTAGTAAATTCCCTAATGATGAACCATCTTTATAATCCTAGAATAAACTCTATATAATTGTGGAGTGTTATTCCTTTAATGAACTACTTGATTCAATTTGCTAGTATTTCATTTAGAATCTGGTATTATATGAATAAGTAACATTGGTCTGTAGTATATTAGAAACACTAAGTTCCAGGCCATATCCCAAATCAAATAAATCAGAAACTCTTGGATGAGGTTTAGGCATGAGCATTTTTCAAAGGCTCTTCAAATAGTTATATTGTGCACCCAGGATTGAGAACCACTGGTCTATTTTTCTTTTAGGTATGTTTATCAGATTTTGATAATATGATTATGTTATCTGCATTACATGAATTGTAGAAATTTTACCTTTTTGAAATAATGTAGGAATTATTTGTAAAATAGGGAAACTCCTACCTTTATGAAATAACATAGGAATTGTTTCTAACAACCATCTGGACCTGTTGCCTTTGGGCTACAGTTACAGACACCCTGTGATGGACCTACAGATAGATACCCTGCCATGGGGCTAGATTTATGGGATGTCTCCCCAGGACTATTTCTCTATTGCAATTAAATACATACACATTGGGTCAGCAGCACCCCACTGGTAGAGACAGTGCCAGAGCCAGACCCTAATCCAAGAGAACTAGGCGGCCACTTGGGCTGGCATCTGGATCTGCCACCGAAGGGGGGCTGTGAAACCATGGACAGGTAGCCACAATAACAATCCCCAATGAGTCCCCAAATTTGTAACTGCCCAAAGGGTTCACCTTGCCCACTGCCTAGATAGCAGATTTATCAAGACAGGGGAATTGCAATGAAGAAAGAGTAATTCACACAGAGCCAGCTGTGTGGGAGACCAGAATTTTATTATTATGCAAATAAGTCTCCCCAAGCATTCTGGGACCAGAGTTTTTAAGGATAATTTGGAGGCTAAGGGCTCGGTAAGCGGAGAGTGCTGACTGGTCAGGTTGGAGATGGAATCATAGCAGAGGTCAAAGTTAGTTTTATTTAATTTTTTTATTTTTATTTTTATTTTTTTTTTTTGCTATCTTCTGTTCCTGCGTGAGATCACAGAACTGGGTGAGCCAGATTACCTGTCTGGGTGCTGTCAGGTGAGAGATCAATCCAGTGCAGGGTCTGCAAAATATCTCAAGCACTGATATTAGGTTTGACAATAGTGATGTCATGCCCAGGAGAAATCTGGAGAGGTTCAGACTCTTGAAGCCACAGGCTGCATGACCCCTAAACTGTAATTTCTAATCTTGTAGCTAATTTGTTAGTCCTGGAAAGGCAGACTGGCCCCCAGGCAAGAAGGGTTTTTTTGTTTGTTTGTTTGTTTGTTTGTTTTTGTTTGTTTTTTGTTTTTTGTTTTTTTCAGGAAAGGGCTATTATCAATTTTGTTTCAGACTTAAACTGTAAACTACATTCCTTCCCAAGGTTAGTTCAGCCTATGCCCAGGAAGGAACAAGGACAGTTTAAAGGTTAGAAGCAAGATGAAGTCAGTTAGGTCTGATCTCTTTCACTGTCATAATTCCCTCAGTTACAATTTTTGCAAAGGTGGTTTCAGTGACCCTTATGATGGATGAGAAAAGGTATTGTTCCCATACCGACCAGGTTTGGCTGAATGTTCTTGCGGCCCAATAACGAGAAGCAGATGAACTGGGAAAGAAGAGAGTTTGTTTCTGTAACTGGGTACAGGGAGAAGGCTGGAGATAATTCACCAGACAAACTCCAGATTCTAAAGTTTCTAAAAGCACTTGCCCCGGCTCCTGCACCTGCTCACCTGAATCCTCCCCCTCCTATAAAGGGTTTGAGTGCACAGTGGCAAAATAAAGAAGCCACACCCCTGCTGCACATCCTGCGAGGGGGTCAGGGAACTCTCATTTCATTATGATGTGTATGTTTACATATATATGATAATAAGTTTATATGGTAATCTAATTAAATACAAGAGATGTCATTTCCTTAAATACTTTTCATTCACTCGAGAATAGACCATGTTAAATCATTCATCAAAACTACCAATATTAGTTATTTTATTTCCATATATTGCAAAACGATTTTATTTTTACACAACAAACTTCATTTTATTTTTTAAAGTTATGTCATTGGCTCTTACCTGTTATGTTTGTTTAGACAAAGTGACTTTCATTTCTTAGTGCATTTAATTTCCCAGCCACTAACATCAAGGTAGTGTATAATCTTCTTTGTTTAATCTTTTTAAATTAAATAATTATCTATGTAACAAAACCAGGAACACTTCCATGGCAATCCTGGCTCTAATCAGCATAGTGCCTTGACAAAGGCACTACAAGCAAGAATAAATAAGGAACAATTTTGCAATTCACACTTTATTGTGCAAGTAATCTAGACTATAGCTATTCTTCAGCAAATCAGGCAATTAGAGTAGTTCCTAGTCAAAATGAAGATCACATCATCAAATGATTTTATATACCCTTAAAATTATTTTCCCATAAATTTCTTCTAGTGAATTCTGTATGTAATGAGAGGTAGTACCAGGCACAATGTTTCCTTTCTCCCTTTATTCTATCTTCATCAAACCTGCTCTAATTCACAGGTATTATTTGTTAATAAGACACATTAAAATGTTGTACCAGTCATCTGTCAATGCAAACGGAGGACTCAGAACAAGTCCTCTTGATTTGGGTGCTGTATCCAGATGGAACCAGAAACTGACCTAAGCTATAGATCTGTCTCATATTTATCATTTACAATCTCTTCTCTGGTTCTCAAATCAACTGTCCTCACAAGGCCACAGAGCCACAGAGTATAGTGCCATTTCCATTATACTCTGCTGCTATAAAATATCAATAATTAGAACTGGCAACCAATTTCTTCTATTATCATTTGGTTTCATTACTTAGCAATGTATGTAAGATTTGGGGCAAATGCCCTATTTTACTTCATTTGAGCACTAATAATTTAAGCTTCTTAAGAGCACACACACCTGAGAAAGTGCCTGTGGGCAGAAGAAACCTGAACTCTACTTGCAAGTATCATGGCAAGTTTTCATTACCCTCTTTTTATGGGGTTAAGAAAAAGAGAAAAATTTTGTGACTTCTCTGTGCTTTAGTTTCCTCTTCTAATCGCATAGCTGTCTATATGTAAACCAGAAATAAAATTCCAAGGTTGCCCAACCACCTGAATGGACCCCTTCTCTCATCCAAAGGCATTCCACAGTTAACCAGAAAAACTATTTCAGGCCATGATGGAAGAGGGAATTGGACTTGCTTCACTATACCCCTCCAGCATTAACATCAACACAGATCTTAAGTCTGATAAGAAACATTTACAATCTATTCTCCTCAACCCCTATGGTAACCCAGACATTCCTTTCTACTGATAATAACTCTTCAACCAGTTGCAAGTGAGAAAATTTTTAAATCTACCTACGACCTGGAAGTCAACCCCCTACCTCCCTCTTCGAATTGTCCTGCCCTTCAAGATTCAACCAATGTAAGACTTAAATGTATCGATTGATGTATTATGTCTCCCTAAAATATATGACAGCTGTACCCCAACCACCTTGGACACATGTTCTCAGGACCTCCTGAGGTTGTGTCATGGGTGCATACTTAACCTTGGCAAAATAAACATCCTAAATTGATTGAGACTTGTCTCAGATATTTTGGCTTTATACATACTTTGTTGAACCTAAGCATCAAAATGGACAATTCCTCCTGTATCTTTGGGTCTTCATTCTGAAGCCTCATATGTATGCGTGTTAAATAAATTTGTATGCCTTTTCTCTTAATAATCAATCTGCCTCATATCAGTGATTTTCAGGGAACCTCCAGGGGACCAAGGCCTTGCACCCCATAATCTCTCACAGTGCCTGGAGCATAGGAATCAATAATGCACTGGGAAGTATATATCCTACTTGCAAGGACATACTGGTAGTGATCACCACTGGCAGAATTATCTTATCTAAGAAATATAGGGGTGTGTGTAGGTGTTAATTCAAATATTTTTCCAGGAAAACCTCAAATTCTTCAGAGCAAAAAAAAAATGTGACAACAAAAATTATTGCTGTAAAATTTTAAACAAGTGGTTAAATACAAACAATGCATGGCAGTTTATCATGTTCATACAATTAGAGAGTGGTGGTGAACACTATGGAATGATACTTCCATAATAAAAGATATCTATGTATCCCCTACCTACATCAACTTACACATGTTGAACAATGATGAACAATTCTATACTCAATAAAATAATCTTTGGAAATTTCCATCAGTTACAGTACACCTAGTGGGCTGGGTACAGATCTATATGATAATATGGCTACTGTACTATCTTCTTCAAAGAAAATGAGTAATGAAATCAGAGCCTGATGAAAATCGAAATGTGCAGGATACAATGCCATTCATACAAAGGTTTAATTCTAAAACTGAAATCCTATTCAGATGACTAATGACTACAACAATTCTTTAAGATACAGAACTTATAATAACATTACTTGCTATAGTTCTCCCTCTCACCCTCTGTCCCCACCCCACCCAATCCCATCTTCCCCTGCAAAAAGACTACAGCTACTATAGAGCTACCTTGACGTTTCCCATTCAGGCTAAGATTGTTTTCGTCCCTGTGCTTCAGAATTCTATTTTCAATAACTCCCAATCAAAGTATCAGAATCACATTAATTATTTAAATCACAGCTCTAAAAGAGAATTTCTTAGCAGATATAAACCGGCAAGTCAGGATGAGGAGGTTTTTAATACTCCAGAAACACTCCACTTTATAATTGATTTGTCTCTCCTCTACCCTCCCAGCCTAAGCCTGAAGTATTCATGATGTTTCTCTTTCCCCTCCTGACTTTTTATTCTCTTATACTCTTATAAGGCTCATCAGCCTGACTCTGATCTATTGTGTTCCAGATCATGGTTTCAACATTTTGACAGTTCAAAATGCTGGTTAAGAGCAATGGCTTTGGTGCTGAGCAGATTTTGATTTGCATCTCACTGACACCAATTACTAGTTATGAGATTCGAGCAAATTATTTAACCTCTCTAATCCAATTTTGTTAGCTATAAAAAAATAAGACACTGAAAATAAATGATATGATATGTCAGGACTTAGGAAAATGCCCCTGTGAATAGTGGATATCGTTTCCTCAATGCTCATTCTTGTTCTATCTAGAGCTTATTGCCTGACACCTAGAAACTCCTGGTACTTGATGATTTCCTTTAATCTTTCTCATTCTGAGCTCCTCCCTGATTCTGGCCTCTTCTTCTGACAGTGACATGATAAGTAACAAGTAATCCTTTCAAGCACATTAGATGGTAATAAAGTATGATTACCTCAAAACACATATCCAACTCATGGTGAAGTTACCCAGCTAATCCAAGTTATACAGCTAATTTATCCAGCTAATCCAAAATAGCTAACAAATCACTCAGTTGAGAACTTCAGAACTACTGCTTCCTAGTACATTTGGTTTTGCTTAAAAATTTATCCAAAACTCTGTCCTACCAATAGCACATAATTTATTCCATAACATGAGTTTAGACTTTTATTAACTGTTTGGAACTGCGGTTCTTGCAAACCCTCTAGCAAGGCTGTGGCCTAAACTCAGGGATGTGTGTGTATTTTCATGGATCAATGACATTCGCAAAAGTTAACATTCAAGAATCAGAGTTTTCATGTCATTGATATAGTAAGTGCTCTGAAACTGCAGGGCTCTGAACACAGTACACAATTCTGTTATATGTTTGCATAATTCCCTTCTGCAAGTATCTTCTTGAGATAAAACAAGCTTTGAAAGCATTTCTACCACTAAACTGTGAGTTCCCTGAGAACAGGAAGTGTGTCTGCTTTTATTTTTACCCTCAGGATTTTGCATGCTCAGTAAATATTTAATTCATTTAATTTATTTATTGGATTCTGGCTGAACCTGGAGATTGAATTTTTAGACATCCTCATCAAAAAGTAACAATAATTCCAAGAGGAGATCTTCCTGGCAGGCTGCAGCAAAAGTCTCTGTCAGCAATTCCTAAGAGCTAACCTGAGATCGTTTGCTTGCTTTCCTGCTTTCTTTCATAAAATAAGATACAGAATAATACTACTATGAAGGTCTTCGTATTTTAAATTTTATTAGTTTTTTTGCCAGAAAGAAGCCCTAACAATCTGCAATTTTCTTGGTATTTCTGGTCCCCATCTTATGATTACATTGTCATGTTTTTTCAATAATTTTTTATAAATGAATTTATTCATATTAGTGGAGGGGGGCTTTTAACAAATCTTTTATATCTCACTATTGACAGAAAGGTTCAGAGGTTAGTTATTAAGTGTCTTGTGATAGGGTATGAGCAATTATTCCAAATGGTAAAGTCTCCTTTGACTTAGATCAACTCCTGAAACAGGGTGGTTATTCATATGAACCTCACATGGCAGCAGACAGCCTTACATGTTGAATTAAACCAGATCGTTCAATCCTAGTGATGCCTCATTTCCTGGTCCATATCTGCATCTTGCTTCATGTTTCTAATCTTCTGAACCTTGTGATTTCTAGTGTTTACTCTCAGCTTAAACTGATAAATTACATCCTGTGATGTCCACTGATAATCCAGTTAAAGGATCTTTCAATTGTCCAGGGAGTCTAATTGCATTCCAGGTCATTTTTATCCAACTCTCATTTGTTTATACCACCAGCATATTAAACTCAAGATGCCCAGAGCGGATTTCATCTTCCAGCCTAAACTTTCTCCTCTCTTCATTCCATTCCATATTTTCCTTACAGGTATCTACATCCTGTCATCATCTTGGCTTAAAATACCAGAGCCAGCTTTGATCTCTCTCTTTCCCTAACTTCCCTCATTCAATCAGTTACTAAGCCCTGTTTATTTTACCTCTTTCGTATTCTTCGAATTGAAATTTACTTTACATTCCTAATGGTACTATAATCCACTCAATTAACTAATATACATATTTATTAGGTACTCGCTTATGGCAGGTGCCTTAGTAGGGGCTGAGGATACAAAGGTGAATGTAATCTCTCTCCACTCTCAATTATCTTCAAGTGTTGTGGATACTAGTATAGAAATCTGAGAGTAAAGCAACGCATACTTGAGGGAATGGTCAGAACAGTCTTCATAAAGGTTGTTGAGAAAAGTCTTCATAAAGGACATAAAATACAATTGAGTGTGTATAGTATTATTCAAGTAAAAGTTTAAATATAGATCTGAAGGTGGAAAAAGGTATTTAAGGCAGAGGAAAAAAGGTAGAATAACTTGTGATAGAAAGGAAATGGTAAATTCAGTAGGCTATTCAGTAGAGATAAAGCTAGGGAGAGGTAGGCAGGATGCAGATCATGGAAGCCTTTGCATGCTAAGAAGATTCTACTTCATCTACTTGGTAATGTAAAATCATTGAAGAATTTTAAATGAGATAGCATTCCTTTCAGAAATAAACAGATTTCCATTTCAGAAATATAACCATGGTGACAGATTAATGGATGGATTAGAGATGTGGCAAGATCTGAGGCAGAAAGATTAGTTAGAAATAAATGAAGTAGTGCCAAAGAATGATTATTAGGGCCTAAAGTGAAGCTTTAATAGTGAAGATTCAGAAGAGGGGACAGATAAAATTGAGGGAATAGCCCCATAACTCCCGTCTCTGGATAATATTCACTGAGGTTAGAAACATAGGAAGGGAGTTAGAGAAAATTACTTCATCTTTAAGCATCTTTAAACACATTGAATTTGAGATGTGCATGGGCATATGTGTGGGTAAGTTAGGTAGGAAATACTGATTCTCATGAAGTTTAGAAGAAAGAGATATAGATGAGTCATTGTTTTATAAGAAATGTTATAAGCTGTAAAAGCAGTTAACATCACCCAATATATTAACTAAGAGTAGGTTTAGCTAAAAGTGACCAAAAATACAAAATAGGAGTAGCTTAAACAAAGAAAAAATTTACTTCTTTTTTCAAAGACAAAGTTCAGGGCAGCTAGGTTGGCTTCTCAAAGTCACGAGGAATGCAGGCTTCTTCCATGTGCTGCTGCATTATTCTCAAGCTATGGCATTCACTTCATGGTCAAAGATAACTGCTTCTGCTTCAGCCATCACTTGCATTTCAGAAAGTATGAAGAAACAAGGGGGAAAGAAATACTCCCTTTTCCTATATGAGTGCTTTCTGAAAATTTCCTATACTATTTCTTCCTGCATTCCATTGGCTAAGCAGTTTCAATGAAGTTATGAGTAAGGAAGTCTGGTTGCAGTGGGTTGAAGAGTAAACATATGGGAGGAAAATGGAGACAAGTGAAGAATACTCTGAATAAAACTAACTTTTAAAGAAAGAAAAGAAAGTGAAAGCCATAGACATAGGAATTTGTTTTAAGTTGGGAGATATTTCTGTACATAAAGTACTCGGGATGAGCCATTAGAAACAAAGAAACAGGAGTTTTGGTTTAGCTGATAGAACAAGGCCATGATTTCAGAGAGAGCAGAAAGAAATGGGAGGAAGATGACAAGTGGAAAAATCCAAACCTGAACAGAAGAAATCTCTCTTTCTAAGACTGGAGGGAAAATTGGGTTCATGTCTAGCATTGCAGAGGTTAAAGACAACTAAGCCATTATCTATGTTAGAGTCCTGGCATACTTTAAAAGTAAAGAAATGCCAAAATGTTATGAAATTGTAAGACTTATATTTTCAAATACTTACTCAATGATTTACTGGTAAGACTATCTTACCTTTAGCCATGGTTCCCAGTATATACCCTGTGCTTCCTCATCTATGTACCTTTGTTGACTTTACTCCCCATCTGGATTTCACCTCAACATCCACTCAAAGTCCAACATCAGACTCAAGTGCCATTTCCTCCATGCTTCCTCTCATCCCTTAGCTAGAGATTCTCTCTTCACCTTCTGAATTTCTTTAGCACTTATATATGCCTCTTTTTCATCACTTTTTTTCTGTCTTAATATACAGTTAATTATGGATAGGATTTATCTTTTATATTAATTGATTTATCAATTCTGGATCCTAGCTGAATTTATTCATTTATGTCCCACAACACAAGAACAGTTCTGGACTCCAAACTGGAAAGAAAACATATTCATAGTTATACAGTTAATGAAGGAGCCATAGTGCTCCCTTCATGAATCTTAATCATTTTCAACCATGATTATTAGGTTCTCCAAAATATTATGCTCACCCCTAGGCTTCCCTGTGAATCTCTAAGGCAAATACCCAAAGTAATTATGTATGTTTTCTCTTTGTCTAAATACAAACAGCTCTTTCTTTAAACAAAATCAAGCCAAAAGCCAAAAGTATATATAACCTTAAGCAAAGGAGTCCAATTTCATTACCAAACCAATTGCTGAATGTTTGGCCTACCCAAGCAATAGCACTAACACTAAGAACTCACTGATGCCCAAAGTCAAGCAATGTAATGCTGCAGTCAACAGAAGAGAACCAGCAGCTGCTGCTGTAAAAAGACCATGCTGTGATGTGACATTCTGAGACACAATGGCTCAGTTAGAATTTACAAGTTCTTGCATCAGTGAAGCCAAAAAGGAGAATAACAACATAGTCCAATAAGTGACACCAAATAAGAACATCAATATACTGCCATTCAAGTATAACGAAAGGGTTTGTGAGTCATAGATGGATCATGCCAATCACTCCCATCTTCATTAAATATACATGAAGAAACCACATGTACGTACAAGGAATCAGGTGATATTTTATCCCTTTTTATACCACAAAAGTATGGGACATTATAACAATGTTGAACTCACAGACAGAATCAGTCAGGAGAAAATATTTGAGAACATGCCAATATTTCTTTTCTACTCTGAGGTAAAAAACAAAACTGCCAAAAACAGGGTGTGGTATTAAAAGCTCTGTTTATAGCAGCATGCTTATACTAATATCACAGTTTATTATAGCTAGATATTTTAAAACCATACATCTAATAATTCTAACAGAAAACGCTAATGTGCACTAGAGTCAAGACTTAGTCCTTGCTGAAGGGAAAGCTGAAATAGTTTAATTACTTTTCATTCTCCTAATAAAAAATTAGTAAAAAAGTAAAGAGTCTATGCAATTAATATAAATATAATAACTAATTTTTTACCTGGAATAAAATATAATTGAAAATTATAAAGCTAAACTCAGGAAATAATTTAGCAATTCCTTTTTAATGTCTATATCTAAAAATACACTTGAACAGTCACAGAATTTTAGAGATTTAATGATTTGATAAATCACTCACTTTATTCATCTCAATCCTTTACATACACTGGCATTCCATAAAAGTTTGTTGAATGAAATGAATGGGTGAATAAATGTATGATCAAAGGAAACTAATCAATACTGACATTTTATGCACGAGGCAAAAAAAGAGTTCTGAAAGAGTTAAATGACTTGGCCAAAATCATAGAGCTACTTAGTATAGTTAGTGAGAAATCTTGAACAAGAAACTATTTTTCCTGAGCACAATGCCTCTTTTAATGTATAATTTTTTTATAGGAGTATAGGGAAGGAGATACAATTCTTAAGCACTTATCTATCAGATAGGTGATGCTAGAGGCTTGTGTGTAGGGAGAGAGTAAGTAAACACACTATACAATCCCAAGTTTATATATACCTTTGCCATACTACTGCGTTTATCTGTCCTTTAGAGCAAAATTGTTGAATAACAGGTGTGGAAAAAAACCTTATTCATTCAATAAACATTTATTGAGCATCTACATTGTACCAGACACTATTCTAGGTGCTGAAGATACATGAGAAGAGAAAAGTGACAAAATTTTGGTCCTCGTGGAATTTACATTCCAGTGAGCTTACAGATGAAAACTTCCTCAGTTTTTTACAGATGAAGAAACTGAACTCCAGACAGGTGAAGTGATTAACTTCTTTTATACAGTGAGCTTGCAAGAGAGCAGAACCTAGAACTCAGGTATCCCAGTGTACTTCACTTTCCACTTTCCACTAAGACGTGACCCCTTACGAGCTTTGAAAAAAATTGAATGTAAAATCAGGCTCATCTCTTTCCTCTCTTTCATGAATTTCATTCATTCATTCGTTCATTCATTCATTCTCTCTCTCTCTTCCCACCCCAACACCTCTCTCTTTCCATCTCTTTGTTTCTTCCTCTCTCTCATCATCCCAGGCCACTATGTATCAGCATCACACTGGCAATCGATTGCCAAGGTTTTGAATTCTTTATGGCAATAGTAGAGAAAACATAGTTAATATAATCATAGCACCTAGCTACTTTTTAATTAATTTTTATTTTTATTTTACATTCTGGGGTACATGTGCAGTATGTGCAGGCTTGTTACATAGGTAAATGTCTGCCATGGTGGTTTGCTGCACCTATCAACCCATCTACTTTAAGACTGTGTCCTTTCATTTCCTTAAATCTGCAGTAAGGAAAGCATAAGGAAGAAAAGAGAGAAGGAAGGAAGGAAGGAAAGGAGAAAAGGAGAGAAATGGGTGGCAGAGAAGGAGGGAAAGAGAAAAAGCAAGCAAGCAATGCCTTAAGAATGCACATGAACTGCACATCAACGTTCAAACACTGCCAAAATATTGACTGCTGTAGTTTAAAGAGGAAAATTACAGTCAGATACAAATTTCGTAGATCTAACTTGAGAACAAAAGGCAGTTAAAATTGTAGAGACACTCAAAAACAATACACTCTTTACCATTTGCATGCTTATAATCCTAGAAGTGTGATTTCAGTGATTTTCTTGTGCTTCTCAGCTAAAATATTTAGAAAAATAGAACATGAATGATACAAATATGGACTTTCCTTAGAACCTCATATTATATACAAATATATATTCTAAATGGCAGAACTGGAAATTGGCTCTTTGAACTCAAATCTGCTGATCAGCAGTTTCAGTTGGCTGCATTTATTTTGTTTGAAACTACTGATGTTCTTACCATGGGGAATAAAATGGATTATATTAAGAGAAGGGGAAATGTGTACAAAACTTGATACACCTTTTCAAATGTGAAAGGAGCTCTTCAATTTCATCCAGGATAATAGCATTGGGGAAAAAAATCTCAAATGGACTGATGTGATTAGGAACAATTAAACCAAACAGTCATCTAGAATAAAATCCACTACAAAGAAAAAAAATCATCTGACTGAATTCAAAAAATATACTTTTGCTTTTGTTTTGCTTTGCTCTTTGTTTTATATCTGCTCAAATCATTTTGTGTTTAACAAGTGTGAATGATGCTGAATGTTTAAAAAAGTTTACTGGAAGTTTTGAAGTATCTTTCTTTTACAAGAATAAGTAATCAACAAATCATAACAGTGCATAAGATTCTTTAAAGTGGTGGCCACAAAGCCTAATGCCTTAATTTTTTAAAAATAATGAAAAACATGTTATTAAGCCTAATTCTTTTTTCCTGATTTACAAAAATCATAGGAAAATACAGTTTTTGTCACACAAAAAGTTTGAGACTCTACAAAATGATTTCTCAAATTTTATCCAGCATTCCAAACACAAAGATGGTTCACTTAGAACATTTCTATAAAAAAATTGCTTCTAATAAAGCGAAGCCTATTTTTCCTCCTTTTTTTTTTTGGTATTGAAAAGCTATGCCCTAGGCTTATAATTGAAACTTTCATTTAATTAATATGTAACCTAAAAGGTTAGATATTAAAACTTAATGTTAAATTTCAACCTATTGAAAAATAGAAATAAAAGATGCCCCTTGTAAATACTATGAATTAATATTGTTCTGAGAATGTTAGCCAATTAAGTAAGATAAGGAGAAAAGAGAAAACATATTAAAAGAAAGAGGCAAGTTTACTATTATTCATAGATAGTATGATTTCCTACATAGAAAATTCATAAGAATCAACTGGATGAAACTATTAAAATCAACATGAGAATTTAGAAAGTGATTTTACTCCAGTCACTTTCTATGTGTGTATATACATATATACACTGAATAAAAACATAATAAAAGGAAATATCCTATTGAAAACAAGAAAAACAAAACGTAACATATTTAATATTGAAACTACTCAATATTAAAATGTCAGGGACAAAACATTCAATATTCTACTAACACATATAAAAGAATATGCACACAAACTCAAAGATGAACTAATCTCCTTAATATATAAGGGACTCTCATAAATCAGTAAGGAAAAAAGAACAAGAGTTCAAAAATGGAAAAAAGACATATAGAAAGATTAAAAGGGAGATATTCAATTACCAATAAACATTTGAAAATTTACCATTCAGGACATAGGCATGGGCAAGGACTTCATGTCTAAAACACCAAAAGCAATGGCAACAAAAGCCAAAATTGACAAATGGGATCTAATTAAACTAAAGAGCTTCTGCACAGCAAAAGAAACTACCATCAGAGTGAACAGGCAACCTACAAAATGGGAGAAAATTTTCGCAACCTACTCATCTGACAAAGGGCTAATATCCAGAATCTACAATGAACTCAAACAAATTTACAAGAAAGAAACAAACAACCCCATCAAAAAGTGGGCGAAGGACATGAACAGACACTTCTCAAAAGAAGACATTTATGCAGCCAAAAAACACATGAAGAAATGCTCATCATCACTGGCCATCAGAGAAATGCAAATCAAAACCACAATGAGATACCATCTCACACCAGTTAGAATGGCAATCATTAAAAAGTCAGGAAACAACAGGTGCTGGAGAGGATGTGGAGAAATAGGAATACTTTTACACTGTTGGTGGGACTGTAAACTAGTTCAACCATTGTGGAAGTCAGTGTGGCAATTCCTCAGGGATCTAGAACTAGAAATACCATTTGACCCAGCCATCCCATTACTGGGTATATACCCAAAGGACTATAAATCATGCTGCTGTAAAGACACATGCACATGTATGTTTATTGCGGCATTATTCACAACAGCAAAGACTTGGAACCAACCCAGATGTCCAACAATGATAGACTGGATTAAGAAAATGTGGCACATATACACCATGGAATACTATGCAGCCATAAAAAATCATGAGTTCATGTCCTTTGTAGGGACATGGATGAAATTGGAAATCATCATTCTCAGTAAACTATCGCAAGAACAAAAAACCAAACACCACATATTCTCACTCATAGGTGGGAATTGAACAATGAGATCACATGGACACAGGAAGGGGAACATCACACTCTGGGGACTGTTGTGGGGTTGGGGGAGGGGGGAGGGATAGCATTGGGAGATATACCTAATGCTAGATGACAAGTTAGTGGGTGCAGCGCACCAGCATGGCACATGTATACATATGTAACTAACCTGCACAATGTGCACATGTACCCTAAAACTTAAAGTATAATAATAAAAGAAAAAAAACTTAAAAAAAAAATAAAAATAATTCACTAGTGATTACAATAAAACATATCTTGATTATTAAATTACAAATAAAAATCATGTTAACATTCAGTGTGCTGAGGGTACACAGATGGTAGTGTAACCACCCAGCGGATTCTTCCTGCCCACTGCACAAACAAAATCAGTTTGCAGAGACCATGGCATTGCAGTAAAGAAAGATTAATTGACATTAGGCCAACCAAGCCACATGGGAGACGAAGTTATAACTCAAATCAATCTCTCTGAGCATTTGGGGGCTAGGGTTTTCCAAGGGTAGTTTGGGGGAAGAGGTGGGGTGGTTAGGCAATGGGTGCATGCTGCCGATTGGTTGGGGATGCAGTCATAAGGGTGTTGAAATGGTCCTCCTGTGCTTCTGGGTGGGACCCCAGGAGTGGCTGGCTGGTCCAGCTGGAGCCATAGGTCCTTGGGTCCAGTGGTTGAGTTTTGGGGGAAAGGCTGTTATCATTGAAACTATAAATTAATTGTCTCCCAAAGTTAGCTTGACCTAGATTGAGCAGTAATTAAGGACAGCTTGAAGGCCAAAGGCAAGAAGGAGTTGGCAAGATCAGGTCTCCTTCACCGCCATAATTTTCTCACTGATATAATTTTTACAAAGGTGGTTTCAGTAATACTATGACTGCAGCTTTCTGGAGGATATTTTGGCAATGAAAACCAAAATTCTTGAAATTCTCCATTCCCTTTTATTCTACCATTCCTCTTTTATGAGTTTCAAGGACATAACCTTATTTATTTGTAAATATATTTATTTACATATAGTTCTTCCCAACATTACTTGAAATTATGAAAAATTATAACCATATTTTATTGGCTAAATAAATTATTGATTTATTTGATAAATACTATGCAGACATTAAAAATTATAAAAGGTGTTCATTCAACTAAGTGTACAAGTATAAAAAATAATTCCATTTTTATTCATGTGCACATTGCACTTTTTTCTTGTCTATTAAATAACGACATTGCACATAAATTTACATTTTCCCAATGCCTGAGTCAGTTTATGTTAATCAATCCACTACTCATTATCATTAGTGATCATATATTAATTACTGTATTATTAATTCTTAATTTGTTAATTACCATACGTGTCTGTAATAAATGACATCTAGGTGACCTTAAAGGTTACTAACGCGCGTAAGTTTATATGACCTCTCAATGAGTGCCATCAGAGTGTTCTATCCCAACTTTCAAAGAATCCGAAACGAGGGCAACAGAGGCTTAGTCTGGAAGCTAGTATCCCAAGCCCAGAGGTGGGCATTACTTACCCAAGGGACACAGTGGCTGGAGCCTATGGTGAAAATTTTTAAAATATCTTGGAAACAAGCTAAATCAATATGTCATGCAAAACCTCCAAATCCAAACAGAGAGAAATTCTGGGCGTAAAATCAAAACGAAGGAAACTGTGGGGTAAACATTCAATGTAAATGAAAACCAAGGCTACAGTGATTTCCTAAGCCAACCATTTGCAGCTGCAGTGGGGACTTTTTATGGTTTCTGTGGCTAAAGATAGGATATAAATTATGACCTAAAGTGTTCAGCTCAGAGACAAACATATACTGCTCTGCTTTGTAAATTCTTAGATTTTGCCACTTTTTTTCTCTCTTCTATTCCACTGTAACCTGTCACCTCTGCTGTCAGTGTGTCTTTCTTTTTTTTCTGAACACCCTTTCTAAATCGTGTATTATCTACCATGAACTAGAATGGCATGTAGCCAAGTATGCTTGAATGCTTTTTGTATAAAAACAAAGTGATGATAAAAATGACAGAGTTAGAAAATCACCACTTTGTAACCATCATATTAATAATTTATTTTAAGAATCATCAATGGGCACTAAAATTATTGGGTGATATATGAGGAACAATATACTATATTTACTGCATTTCTCCACAAATTATGTATTGACTACAGAGAGAAATGGTAACTTTACAGTGGAGAAAATTTGCAGACATTATCTTAAAAACTGATCAAAATTAATATCACTGATAATCAGACACATTAAAGTACTCATCTCCTCTTCAATATTCCTGCAAAAAACACACAACCTAAATATAATCATGAGGAAACCTCAGACAAATACAAATTGATGGACATTCTACAAAATACATGGACTACAATTCTCAATAATATCAATATCATAAAAGAAAAAGATTGGCTGAAATAACATTCTAATTAAAGGAGACTAAAGTCACATGCCAACTGAATGCTATGTGTGATCCTGCATCGCTAGAAAAAATATTACTGGGACATTATTGGGATAATCGGAAAAAAGTGAATATATACTATATGCTAGATAATAGGATTGTGCCTATTATTTGAGAATAATAATGATAAAGGACATGTGGCAAAATGTTAACTTGTGAATATGCATAAAGGATAATGGAAGTTCTCTATATTACTACTACAATGTTTCTGTAAGTTTGAAGTTATTTAAATTAAAGTTAAAAATAATGGTTAAAGTTAACTTATAAATAGGAGCTAAACATTGAGCACACATAGACATAAACATGGGAATAGATACTGAGGACTACTAGAGCAGGGAGGGAAGGAGAGAGGCATGGGTTGAAACGCTACCTATTGGGTACTATACTCACTACCTGACTGACAGGATTTGTACTCCAAACTCCAGCATGATGCAATATACCCATGTAACAAACCTGCATATGTATCCCCTGTATCTAAAATAAAAGTTGAACTTAAAAAAAATGGCGATGATAGAGTACCTACTTTTATTTTCCTCTAAATAAAGTACATGGGCGGCTGGGCGTGGTGGCTCATGCCTGTAATCCCAGCACTTTGGGAAGCCGAGACAGGCGGATCACGAGGTCAGGAGTTCGAGACCAGCCTGGCCAATACGGTGAAACCCTGTCTCTACTAAAAAATACAAAAATTAGCCAGGCATGGTGGCACATGCCTGTAGTCCCAGCTACTCGGGAGGCTGAGGCAGAAGAATTGCTTGAACCCGAGAGGCAGAAGTTGCAGTGAGCCGAGATTGCACCACTGCACTCCAGCTTGGGTGACAGAGTGAGACTCCATCTCAAAAAAAAAAAAAGTACATGGGCATTACTGATACATATTTTGGCTTCCCAGATACCTTCTTGGCTAAACACCCTTTTGCTGATTAAGACAAATATAGAGAAATTAAGTGTTAATAATTTACAAATTCTTTACTATTGTGCACTGGCTTGAATGCATTTATTTTACTAATATTAAATTACCTTTTATTTGTAATATTTATGGGGTACAAGTATAACTTTGTTACATGCATAGATTGTGTAGTGATGAAGTCATGCCTTTTAGGGCATCCGTCATGCAATTAATCTACATTGTACTGTTGAGGGGCCATAGGCTCTTGACCCCTCAAAAGTTTGCTGAAATATTACTGACATAAGGCAGATTGATTAATAGGAGAAAAGACATACAAATTAATTTGACGTGTATATATAGGAGCCTTCATAATGAAGACCCATCCAACAGTAAGATACAGAAGCTCATATACTATTCTGAGGCCATAGTAAAGAATGCAGACTCAGAGCATGCTCAAAAATTGGTTATGTTGATAAGTCAGGTTTAGTAGCAACACCACTTGTGAGAGAGAGGAAAGAAGGAGCTTGACTACCAAAAGTTGGCCTTGTTATGTAGATGAAGTCTCCCTCAGAGAGAATAGATGGTAAATGTTTATTTCCAGGCTTTTAAAGGTGACAGATTCTCAATTTCTCCTGGATCCCAGAAAAGTATAGAAAGTAGGGGTGAGCGCTGCTGCATTATTGAAGGTTCTCTAGTGATGCAATTCTTTCTCCACAAAAGACAACTTAGCAAGTGCACTTCTTTTGCTGGCTCTGTGGCAGCCATTTCAAAATATGCCAAAAATATATATTTGGGGGTAAAATATTCTATTTTCCTTTGGTACTCATTGAGTAATTTCTCATCATCCACCACACTCCCACCTCCTCAACCTTCCAAGGTTCTACTGTCTATCATTCTATTCTCTGTGTTCAGGTGTACACATTATTTAGCTCCTATTTACAAGTGAGAACATGTTGTTATTTGTCTTTCTGTGTCTGACTTGTTTCACTTAAGATAATGGCTTCCGGTTCCATCTATGTTGCTGCAAAGGACAAGTTTTTTTATATATCTTCCTAGGCATAATTCTATATCTTTGCACCATTCGTGATTATGTCCCAGTAATGTACTAAACATTACCTGAAAGAAGGAGAAAATCTGTAGACTATATAGAAACTCAGCAAAATATCTTAACTTTGGACTTCACGTACATAAGTTTATCTATTTTGTACTGAATTATAGGATTCAGTCACAATAAAATAATTGATACTGTTATACGTATGTGGCCATAGTAGTTGCATTGTCTAGTGGTAGGAAGGTAGCAAGATTACAAAATTCAGTATTATAATAAAGAATAACCATGAAAATTATTTATCTAAAATTAAAAGGAAGAAATTATCAGCACTTTTACTGACAACTTAGAGCTACCAACAGTTCTAGAAATAGCCGATTCTATTCAAGCTAAATAAGAAGTGGCTACAGTGCTCTCCATCTCCACTATTGAACAACATCTTTCCAGTGAGGAGAGACAACTACCAATCCATTTTTGTTATGATTCAGACAGAAAATATGAAACATACCTAGACTAGAGAAAATGTGGCTCATATGGATCTGCTATTACTAGACAGAATCATCCAGTTTGAATAAAAGCCTAACTAAAATTCTGGAGATTTAAATTATCCGCTTGATTTTATGTGATAGGAAAGATCTACCATCTAAATGGAAACAATTTTATTACTTTATTTCTGACACTTCCTGTTTTGTTCACACCAATTAATATCTATATGTAAATATCTATTTTAATTGTGCAGTGAACATTACAATTTCACTTTTGCTGACCAGCCCACAAACTTAACCATTATCTCTTTCAAATATAATTTTCACAGAACTTAGTCATCTGTATTCATAATAATAATGATCATGAAAATATATAGTCATCTATATTCATAATAATAATGATCATGTAATATATTCATTATAATAATGATCATGTTAATTGAGCACTTACTACTACTACTAATAATAAACATTTATATAACACTTATGTGCTTGGAATAGTTAAAAGTATTTTACATGTAATTAATTTAATCCTTCTAATGACCCTCTGAGATAAACGATATTATTAGCTCTATTTTTAAAAATACTTGCCCAAATTAATATACCTAGTAAGTGGTAGATCTGAAATTTGAAACCAAGCAGCCTGGTTCTAGAGTTCATTCTTTTAACCACACAAAAATGTCCTCAATTGGTATGTTTATACACTATGCTAAGCACTCTACACACTTCTCTATTCAGTTGTTTATATGGATTAAGATTATTTTGGCTGCAAGTAGTAAAGAATATTATTTAAATTCACTTAACCAATAAGGACACAAGTGAATTCATATAACAGTTCAGAAATAAGACAAGTTTAGAGTAGTTGATTCAGACTTTTACTGACTTGAATGAATTGATGTGTGTCTGATAGAGGCAGGAAGCAGACAAATGCCTATCTAGGGAAGGGTCCCCAGTGAAATCTCACCTTCAAGCCTAAAACAGCCTGAAGGCTGAAAGACCGGACTGCTGGTACGGATGAAACACAAGACCCAGAAAGTGAACTTCTGCCCCTGTTTGCCCTCCCTTTCCTGATTGATTCTTTCTGAATAATGCTTTTAACCAATTGAATGTTGCCCTTTCTGATAGTACCTATAGCTTGCCTGGGCATGCCCGTGTGCCCACTGCAGGAATGGGGTTCAGCCAGCAAGAATTCATGCCTTATGCAGGGGAGGGGCCTGGCCTCTTCAGCTCATGTGGAGTGGCCCTGGTATTCAATTTTTGAGGGGAAAAGCTGCTTACAGGACCCCTCTCCTTGCTGAGAGCTTTCCTTTTGCTTAGTGAATTCCATCCTCCTAACCCTTCAATGTGTCCGTGTGCCTAATTCTCCCTGGCTGTGAGACAAGAACCCAGATTAGCTCAGCTAAAGAGCAAAAAATTCCTGCATATGTCCCCGCAAAATTCCTATGTTGAAAACCTAACCCCCAAAGTGATGGGATTAGGAGGTGGAGCCTTTAAGATGTGATTAGGTCATGAGGGTGGAGATCTCATGAATGGAGATTAGTGCTCTTATGAAAGAGACCCCAGAGAGCTAGCTCGCCCTTTCCACCATGTGAAGACACAGGAGAAGATGCCGTCTATGAACCAGAAAGCAGACCCTCACCAGATACCAAATCACCTGGCATCTTGATCTTGGAGCATCCCAGCCTCTAAAACTCTGAAAAACAAATTTCTATTGTTTATAAACTGTCCAGTTTATGATATTTTTCTGGAGCAACCCAAATAGACTCAGACACTGACATCGACTAGAAACCAGATCTTTCCATTGTTCTATTATTGCCCAATATGTCAGCATCAACCTATAGCTAGTTCTTTTGGGTTATATGAAGGCTTCTAATGGCAACTTAGATTTCATGCTTCTACATTCATGTCTGTGTCACTTTGGATCCTCTGAAAAGCAGAAAGCAAGATCTAATTTTACATGCCAGAGATGCATTTGGAGGAATGTCTGTGAAGGAAAAAGCCGAAACAGGAAGACACAGCAGGAAGATCCTTCCCCATGATGCAAGTCTGACACCTATTTCTGTCTTGGTCTGTTGTATGCTGTTATAACAAAATATTGCAGACTAGGTAATTTATAAAGAACAGAAATTTATTTTTTGAAGACTGGGAAGTCAGAGATCAAGGCACCAACAGGATTGGCTGCCTGGTGAGGGCCGCATCTTCCAGAAGGAAGGAATGCAGTGTCCCCATGTGGCAGAAGGCAGAAGCACAAGCCTGTCTTTCTGTGGTACATATTAAGCTCCACCCATTTCTGTCATGATAGGAGCTATGCACAAACCACTACAATTATATAGGATACTATAATGCCTAAGACAGTGCCTCATAATAAATCTGGCAATTTTCAAATGAATATCACTGAGGTGTTCTTTTCATGAAAATCAACTTGACCACACAGTTTGTTGGGTTTGTAATCTTTACTAGTGCTTACATGAGGTATTCTAGATCAAAGACAAATTTCTAATTAATCACCTTTCTTTAAATAATAAGCACATTCCTCCTTGTGGTTATCCCCAACCTCATCCTTGAGGTAATACAATGAGAGCTATGCCAAATTCCCTGCTCAAGTAATGGGCATTTCATGAATGAATGTTGTAGAACAATGAATTTTCTCCCATTATGTACAGAAGAAAGATGCCAATGGCAGGGGAAAAAACTTTTGCTTCTTTGAGATGGAATGGAAATGATCCTAGATTATCATCCTAACCTTTTGAAATGTAAGTATGTCTCTCTAAGAGTTAGATTAACTCAGATGTCTCCAGCTTCTAAGCTCTAAAGATGTCTCCAAGGTCTGGTAAGTGCCTAGGGAGATAAAGCTCCAGGCTTCCTGGCACCTTGGATCTTAACCTATGGACTTAGTTTGAGTGGTAACTATTTGTCCCTCTTGGGTCACAGCAATTAACTAGAAAAGTGGTGACAGATTGAATTTTCATTGTATGTAAATAGTAAAATGTTCCTAGCGGAAATGAAAGCAAATATCCCCTATATTTAGATTGTATACATGTCTTTATCCTAGAAGGCTAGAGATTTTTGCAGGAAAAATCTACAGAAGTTTTATTTCCCCACAAGTCGTTCATTTAAAATACAAATTAACCCGCCTACCCATTCTGTTCCTAAAGGGCATGACTCTCCGGAATGCATTATTGTACAGTAGTTCTATTTGTGTTAATAGCAAAATGAGGTGACTTACAAAATTTGCATCAATAATTCAAGGAATAATTTGTAGTGTTTCTCTTTCTACAGACAGAAATGAGGTGATATACACACAAACATATAAATGTACAAGCCACATCAGTTTCATTAATTTAGTCCCTTGTTATTCACTGGAGAAGGAGTGCTTAAATCCTATAGGCCACTGCTATTACTGGAGCCATTACAACAACTGTCTTGTTCATTTTCAGTGCCTGGAAAGATAGACTTTTATTCCAATGATTTTTTGTCAGAGAGAGTGATGGGTTAGCAAAATAAGAGTCATGTTGCTTGAATTAACTACATAAGTGGCCAGGGACTTCGGAGTACCTTCAAGCCTTTTATAATAATAACACACTTTCATCCTAGTTGCTCGTGAATGAATGCACTCCATTATTTCATTTAACTCACTACATATCAATAAAGTACAGTAATCAAAACAATAGTTACCACAGCATGCAGCTCTTTGTGGACAGCAGATGGCACTATAAGAAACCCAAAAGTAGCATGCCCAAGAACTAGGAATGCTCCCTCTCAGACTATTTCCCCAAGCTCCTCAAAATGTTTAAGAGGTGATGTTGATCTAGTCTTTTCACATTCACTTCAACAGACTACGATTCTATTTCCATACCTTTGTTTCACCTGGACACAGGGAATCTGCATCCACCTTCCTCATTCATTTTTATTCCTTTGATTCCGATTGTCCATAAAATCTTTTCAATTGAATTATTTTCTATGACTGAAAATTAGACTCATCAGAATGTTTCCAGAACATCCCCAAATTCCTCATCACTGTCAGCATTATTACTGATACTGCCTAGTGGTCTGGGAATCATTTTTGAAACCCCTATATTACCTCTATGAATTTCCTAGACCTACCACTGGTTTTACATTTTCACAGACAAGGCTCTAATCTAAACCCTAATCCATCCACCCTAAGGCAAATGCAATATCCTCCTTTATTCTAGTTTCTCCTCATCAGCCTGCTCTACCCATATTTCTCTAGTCCTTTTGTTAGTGTCTTGAATTTTCTCTTATATCCTCCAAATATAAGACAGTATTGCCCAAATAGCAGGAAGTATATATTATCATTAAATAGACATCTTTCATTCTTCTTCCTTTCAGAGGTCCTGATGCTGGACAAACATAGAAGTATTTGTACAACTCAAGAAAAATTTCACAGCTGAATGTGTTCCTGTGATTGCCTTTCTGAGAATCATTCTATTATTTTCCAAAATGTGTGAATTCTCTTGTTCCACGATCCCAGGCAACCAAAGATAACATGAGGAAATCAGCATAATAAGAGTTCTATCCAAACATATCTATCAGTGGAGAAATGGGAAAGGTGTAGAACCCAATGCTTTTACTAATCTGCATCATGTTTCACAGTAACAAAGAAGCAATGAGACTGGCTGTTGAATCACTGCATGGTAGATATGCAAATTTAATTTTAAAACCTCATACTCATTCAAGAGACCTTGTTAATGGAATGTTGAAAATTAGCCTCCCATCGAATACAACATAAAATGACTGCTATGGATTTTACCAAAATTAAAATCAGAGCATTTCACAGCCAAGATTGAAACCTGCCATGTGTGCTTTAATAAGAACAAGGCAAATTAAAATATTAATTCAAGTGGATGCTCATTGTATTCAGGCATCATGAGACTGCTGATGGTTTTGCTTACAACTTAACAATACATTTCTTCATGTGACTTAAAAATAATTGAGACCTTTCCTTGTGTACTGCCCAGTAGCTTTTTCCAAGTTGCTATGAATTCTTAAAGGCTTCTTGTTCCTTAAAGGAAGAATCTATTTCTAAAATTTCAGCATACTATTTTTTTCTAACACTGAAAGTCAGTCTTCACAAAGCACAGAACTATTAAAGACATTTTATAAAGAGGCTAATGAAAAGAGAAGTTTTCTTTATTTCCAAAGGTAATTGGTAGACCATGATCTGTTGTGCTAATAACATACACTGAGCATTAATGAAGGCACATATTAGGGCTTTCATTTTTGTGACATGTTAAAGGATTGGTAAGACTTTGTTAATTTTAGCTTTGAGATAAAAGACTGGCATTGATTTGGCAGGCATTAATTTGTTGCTTCATAGAGATTCCAAAGTTGATGTACTGATGTCAGGAGCTCTTTTTAAGATTTGCAAAGTATTATTAAAGCACTTGATCTATTCTCATCACAGAAAGGGCTTCATGTAACTTACTCGTTCCTCTGGGCAATAGACATAGCTCAAATTATAAATGAAAACTTATAGTTTTGAGTCTGACTTATTTTCTGTCATGACCAGTATTTTCCAGTTATCATGCAAAAATGTCTACAGGATCAATGATCCCCTTGAAAAAAAATGTTACCTCATCAGATGTCATGGATAGTGATAGAATGAGATTCTGTGAATTCCAGCCCCTAAATGTGTGATAGCAGTTTCAAAACAAACTTCCTATGGAATGCTCTGCCATAATGGGTTAGAAAACATGAGCCTATATCTTCTAACAAGAAAGTATATTCATTCTTTGACATCTGAACTATATCATAACATACTCAAAGCATGCACATTACCCAATCAACTTTGTATTTTATTTTTTAAGTATCTACCACATGCCCAGCATACTTTCTTTTGACTTTTAGGTAACAAATTACCTCCTTTAGACAGGATGTTCTTCTTACTCTTTTGTACACTCTCAAAGCAAACTGCGGTATAACAAATATTAACAAATGATGGGCATATGCATCACTGAAGATGACCAGAGAAATGTTAACATCCTGACAATGTCACATTTACTTGGCCATAAAATAATAACTAAAGTTAGGCAGTGTGATAGACTCATAGAGTCATGACACTGAAAAGAATAAATGCTCATCAAGTCTTTTTCACAGACCATAAGCTGAAACAAATGTAAAATTCCTAATGTATCGATGCTGACTCCTTCCTTTCCCCCTTAACAACCCTTCTCCTCCTGCCTCCTAATTATGAACAGCAAGAGATATCTCTTTAGTCTTCCACTTTCTTTACACATCTACACCTTTTACAATTCACCTATTTTCATGGCTTTAACTGTTACCACTTTTGGGAAGACTCAAAGCTTTAATCTCTCCATTAGTCAGGTCTAGTTTGTAATTTCCAGATGTCCTTTCTACCCAGATTATCTTTAACTACCTCGAACACGCTTTGTGTTAAAAATGGAATGTGTTTTTCCTTCCAAAACCAAATGCCCCTTATAACGTGCCCATTTCATTCATCTGTGCCCCAAGACTTGGAAACTATTTGAGGCTCATAACTAATCAATGACCAACTACCATCAATTCTTTTGGTTTGGTTTTGACACTCATTACTTCCTCCCCATTTCACTACCACTATCCTTTTTCAAATTCTTATCAATTCAAGCATGATTTATTACAGTAGCCTCTTAACTAATCTCCCAACCTCCAGTCTGTGTTCTCTAAAAACCATAATGTACTCTCTTACATTAAAGTTAAAAACTTTAACACCCCACTGTCAACATTAGACAGATCAACGAGACAGAAAGTTCACAAGGATACCCAGGAATTGAACTCAGCTCTGCACCAAGCGGACCTAATAGACATCTACAGAACTCTACACCCCAAATCAACAGAATATACATTGTTTTCAGCACCACACCACACCTATTCCAAAATTGACCACATACTTGGAAGTAAAGCTCTCCTCAGCAAATGTAAAAGAACAGAAATTATAACAAACTGTCTCTCAGACCACAGTGCAATCAAACTAGAACTCAGGATTAAGAATCTCACTCAAAACCGCTCAACTACATGGAAACTCAACAACCTGCTCCTGAATGACTACTGGGTACATAAGGAAATGAAGGCAGAAATAAAGATGTTCTTTGAAACCAATGAGAACAAAGACACAACATACCAGAATCTCTGGGACACATTCAAAGCAGTGTGTAGAGGGAAATTTATAGCACTAAATGCCCACAACAGAAAGCAGGAAAGATCCAAAATTGACACCCTAACATCACAATTAAAAGAACTAGAAAAGCAAGAGCAAACACATTCAAAAGCTAGCAGAAGGCAAGAAATAACTAAAATCAGAGCAGAACTGAAGGAAATAGAGACACAAAAAAACATTCAAAAAATTAATGAATCCAGGAGCTGGTTTTTTGAAAGGATCAACAAAATTGATAGACCACTAGCAAGACTAATAAAGAAGAAAAGAGAGAAGAATCAAATAGATGCAATAAAAAATGATAAAGGGGATATCACCACCGATCCCACAGAAATACAAACTACCATCAGAGAATACTACAAACACCTCTACGCAAATAAACTAGAAAATCTAGAAGAAATGGATAAATTCCTCGACACATACACCCTCCCAAGACTAAACCAGGAAGAAGTTGAATCTCTGAATAGACCAATAACAGGATCTGAAATTGTGGCAATAATCAATAGCTTACCAACCAAAAAGAGTCCAGGACCAGATGGATTCACAGCAGAATTCTACCAGAGGTACAAGGAGGAACTGGTACCGTTCCTTCTGAAACTATTCCAATCAATAGAAAAAGAGGGAATCCTCCCTAACTCATTTTATGAGGCAAGCATCATCCTGATACCAAAGCCTGGCAGAGACACAACCAAAAAAGAGAATTTTAGACCAATATCCTTGATGAACATTGATGCAAAAATCCTCAATAAAATACTGGCAAACCGAATCCAGCAGCACATCAAAAAGCTTATCCACCATGATCAAATGGGCTTCATCCCCGGGATACAAGGCTGGTTCGATATATGCAAATCAATAAATGTAATCCAGTATATAAACAGAACCGAAGACAAAAACCACATGATTATCTCAATAGATGCAGAAAAGGCCTTTGACAAAATTCAACAACTCTTCATGCTAAAAACTCTCAATAAATTAGGTATTGATGGGCTGTATCTCAAAATAATAAGAGCTATCTATGACAAACCCACAGCCAATATCATTCTGGGCAAAAACTGGAAGCATTCTCTTTGAAAACTGGCACAAGACAGGGATGTCCTGTCTCCCCACTCCTATTCAACAGTGTTGGAAGCTCTGGCCAGGGCACTTAGGCAGGAGAAGGAAATAAAGGGTATTCAATTAGGAAAAGAGGAAGTCAAATTGTCCCTGTTTGCAGATGACATGATTGTATATCTAGAAAACCCCATTGTCTCAGCCCAAAATCTCCTTAAGCTGATAAGCAACTTCAGCAAAGTCTCAGGATACAAAATCAATGTACAAAAATTACAAGCATTCTTATACACCAACAACAGACAAACAGAGAGCCAAATCATGAGTGAACTCCCATTCACAATTGCTTCAAAGAGATTAAATAATTAGGAATCCAACTTACAAGGGACGTGAAGGACCTCTTCAAGGAGAAATACAAACCACTGCTCAATGAAATAAAAGAGGATACAAACAAATGGAAGAACATTCCATGCTCATGGTTAGGAAGAATCAATATCGTGAAAATGGCCATACTGCCCAAGGTAATTTATAGATTCGATGCCATCCCCATCAAGCTACCAATGACTTTCTTCACAGAATTGGAAAAAACTACTTTAAAGTTCACATGGAACCAAAAAAGAGCCTGCATCGCCAAGTCAATCCTAAGCCAAAAGAACAAAGCTGGAGGCATCACACTACCTGACTTCAAACTATACTACAAGGCTGCAGTAACCAAAACAGCATGGTACTGGTACCAAAACAGAGATATAGACCAATGGAACAGAACAGAGCCCTCAGAAATAACGCCGCATATCTACAACTATCTGATCTTTGACAAACCTGACAAAAACAAGCAATGGGGAAAGGATTCCCTATTGAATAAATGGTGCTGGGAAAACTGGCTAGCCATATGTAGAAAGCTGAAACTGGATCCCTTCCTTACACCTTATACAAAAATTAATTCAAGATGGATTAAAGACTTAAATGTTAGACCTAAAACCATAAAAACCCTAGAAGAAAACCTAGGCATTACCATTCAGGACATAGGCATGGGCAAGGACTTCATGTCTAAAACACCAAAAGCAATGGCAACAAAAGCCAAAATTGACAAATGGGATCTAATTAAACTCAAGAGCTTCTGCACAGCAGAAGAAACTACCATCAGAGTGAACAGGCAGCCTACAAAATGGGAGAAAATTTTTGTAACCTACTCATCTGACAAAGGGCTAATATCCAGAATCTACAATGAACTCAAGCAAATTTACAAGAAAAAAACAAGCTACCCCATCAAAAAGTGGGCAAAGGATATGAACAGACACTTCTCAAAAGAAGACATTTATGCAGCCAACAGACACATGAAAAAATGCTCATCATCACTGGCCATCAGAGAAATGCAAATCAAAACCACAATGAGATACCATCTCACACCAGTTAGAATGGTAATCATTAAAAAGTCAGGAAACAACAGGTGCTGGAGAGGATGTGGAGAAATAGGAACACTTTTACACTGTTGGTGGGACTGTAAACTAGTTCAACCATTGTGGAAGTCAGTGTGGCGATTCCTCAGGGATCTAGAACTAGAAATACCATTTGACCCAGCCATCCCATTACTGGGTATATACCCAAAGGATTATAAATCATGCTGGTATGAAGACACATGCACACGTATGTTTATTGCGGCAGTATTCACAATTGCAAAGACTTGGAACCAACCCAAATGTCCAAAAATGATAGACTGGATTAAGAAAATGTGGCACATACACACCATGGAATACTATGCAGCCATAAAAAATGATGAGCTCATGTCCTTTGTAGGGACATGGATGAAACTGGAAATCATCATTCTCAGTAAACTATCGCAAGGACAAAAAACCAAACACCGCATGTTCTCACTCATAGATGGGAATTGAACAATGAGAACACATGGACACAGGAAGGGGAACATCACACTCCGGGGACTGTTGTAGGGTGGGGGGAGGGGGGAGGGATAGCACTAGGAGATATACCTAATGCTAAATGACGAGTTAGTGGGTGCAGCACACCAGCATGGCACATGTATACATATGTAACTAAACTGCACATTGTGCACATGTACCCTAAAACTTAAAGTATAATAATAATTTTAAAAAAGTAAAACAAATAAATAAATAAAGTTAAAAAATACTTAGCTTATTGTCATTTAAGCATTTGTCACTTAAACATTAAAGTTGGGATTAGGTAAAGATGAGCTAGGGCAGTGGTTCTCAAATTTGAGCACTTCTCATGAATAGTATTGACCATATAATTTGCGAGACCCAAGGCAAAATGAAAATGTAGGACCCCCTGTTAAAATATTATGTCAAAAACACTTATTAAAAATTATTATGAATTTCAAGAGAGCAGCAGCACAGCATTAAACCAAGCTCAGGGCCCTTCTGATTATGGGGCCTCATGTGACTGTATAGGTTGCAGGCCATGAAACTGGCTATGTATGTAAGACTAATCTAGTTAGCTTGTTTTCAACATGAATTATTCATAGCACCCCTTAGAGATTCAGATTCAGCAAGTCTGAGTAGGACCTGAGAATCTTCATTTTAACATGTACCCTAGGAGATTTGGAAGTTGTCATCAGCAGACTACACTTCAAGAAACACTAACCTAAGGAATTATCACATAGGATTAAAGTTGCTCTGCAGAGAAGGGTCCACAGTTCAAGTTATAATGTCAAAAAGTATATGCCTAATTTTGCCTAATCTGGTGGAGGGAGCATAGTGATCTGGGATAATAATGTGACTCTAAAACAGGGCTGAATCAAGCAGAAGCCAAGTTAATCATCTAAAGGATTAAATCCCTCTTATAGTCTTAAGTCTCAAGGGCTGCTACTACCAGTGCTCCATTCTGATATTAATAACTTATGACCCATTACTTCCCAGCAAGAATCCTTTCCTCCATAGGTGGTTGAATATTCAGGTTTACTGTATGTCAGCAGTGCTTATGCTGCCTTGCCTTCCAAGTATCTACTCCTTTTGCTCTACTATTTAAGACCCAATTCAGACTTCACCTCATATACATAACTTTCCAAAGTTCATAGAACCTAGAATTAGAAGATTGCTTAGAAATCATATAGTACAATGCTTTTGTCTGTAGATGATGAAATCACGGACAAGAAATGTAATGATTTGTTTAAAATTACAGAGTTAGTGGGCAAAAAAGAACCAGAACTCTAAGCCTCCCCCTTGATTGGTAACTCCATGCTCTTGCCACTGCAGCACGCTATTCCCTTTGATATCCCTCTTCTCAAATCCTATATCATATACTCATTCATGTATGTACTTATTCATTCAACAAATATTTATTGGGGACGTACTCTTTTCCAGGTTAGGATCTGGGAAAATATGAAATTGGTGTGGTCCCTGCTATCATGTAGCTTATTTTAACTAATGCTATTATCTTTTCCATTTATTTTACCTACTACTCAGTGTTTTGTACTGCTATGCAATCTTTAATATTTATGCCTTGTATACACAATTAAACTTTGTACTTTAAGACAATGATTTTGGTTTGTTTTTTCTCCTACATTGCCTAGAAAATGCTATTGCCGATTCTTCATTGTGTGGGGCTGTCCTATGACCTGAAGGGTACTTAATAGCTCTGGCCCCCACCTCCTAATTCCAATAGCATCTCAGTCATTGTGACCATTCAAACTGCCCCCACACATTTCTGCACTCTGATATGGGATGCAGATTCACTTCCCCAGCTGGGCAGAATCATCTCTGTATTAGTAAACTCTTCTCAGTTGATAAATATTGCCCTAGTACAATGTTTTGCATATACTATTCATAAAATATTTTCTTGTATCATACTGTTAGAGAAACTCCAGACAAATCTCATAGATGATATAAAAACTCACAGAATGAAGAGTGAGCCAAATATTGAACCTCATGAGAAATAACAGAATATAAAACAATTTGCTTGCTATAGGCTATTGCTAGCAATGCAAGGTATAAGAGTAGTGGTATTCCCACATTTCTTCAGCCTCTTCAAAAATAATTTATAATTTGAATCAGAGCAAATTAGAAGTAAAATAGCCTGCAATGTTCTGTAATTACACCCTCCAAGCTTCTCCTTTAAACTTTATCTTCTTCCTCCCTTCTGTTTCGGAGGAAGTCACATCTAAATCAATTTTCAAGGGGAAGCTACATCTGAACCCTCGACCCTATCCTCTAGAACTTTCTCAATAGAATCACTATACTCTTACTAATAATAACTCTACCAAATAAAAAAGAATCAACATTAATGATCACTTATCACAGTCCTGCACTCTGATGTAGGATGCAGATTAATTTCTAATTATACTTCCACAAATATTATTTTATTTGATTTTTATACCACATTCTATAAGGAGGATATAGTAAACATGATCATTCCTATTTTACAGATGAGGAAAGTTTGGACCAAAACAATGGTAAATGATTTGTGTATAAACATATATCTGGGAAATGGCAGAGACAGCATATAAACACTACTCTCTTGGCTATAAATTCCACGATCTTTCCAACATATTTCCTAATGTATCCCCTTTTTCTTGAATTTCCAGTCAATTTTCCGGTCAAGAAATTTCTTGAATTTCTACAGCATTGGTAACATCCTCTCACCCCCCAAAATATGTTTAAATGTCACTATTTAAAAAACAAAACAAAAGAAACAAATAAACCTATACTCTTCCTGCCTTCTGCTTAAACAGTATCTCTTTACATTACCAAAAACTGAAATAGAAAAAATATTCTATTATTTTACACCACTCAGTCATTTCTAAATCTATTACAACCACCACTCAGTCCCCACAACTCTACTAAAGTTGCTTTCAATAAGGTTGCCAATAATTTTTTAATCATTGAATTTTGTGGACTTTGCATAGTTCTCTTAATACTCAGTCTCTCTACAGCAGTTGACACAAGTAACAACACCATCACCTTTATTGAAATGCTCTCCTCCCTTGGCTATCATGAAACTACACTCTCCTAGTTTTCCTCATACATGTTTTTCCATTAAACTTAGTTTCTTCAGTCCTATCCTCTTCCTCTGCCTAGCCTTCAAATGTAAACAGAATGCAAAGCTCTACCTTTTTTTGTGGTCCACATTCCTTACCTTAGATACACTCATCCTTTCACATGGCTCCTATTATCACCTCTCCACAGATGAATATAGACACTTTGTTGCCTTTTACCTTCAAATATATGTTTCGTATTTCTCCATAAATGGTTAGAAATAAATAATTTTGCAGCTCTTCAAATTTACCTTTCTCTCATCTCATCTCCCACTCTTGTGATGCCTAAGTTATTATTAATCTTATTTCAGATGGGTTTCAAAGTCCCACTGATACTATCCTTGCAATATCTTCATATTTATACACAAATCTACACTCCCACAGTCTTAGTCCAGGCCCTTAAAAACTTTGAACTGTGCTATCTATGACACAATCATACTGTTACTTATCTTGCATGACTACTTTTGGGTCAAACTAAGTGATATATGTGAAAGATCATTAAAATTTACAAAGTAAATGCCACTAAGATTCATAGATTTTTAATGTTCACTTTGATATTTCCCCTATTTTTAATAAAAATTATTTAATAAAAAGCATTATAATTTGTAATTTGGTTGAGGCATGAATTTAAAACAAGTATCCTTGAGAATGAACCCAATGGCCTGTCTGCCATCTGTTTCAAGGTGGTTTTCTTCCCCTTTTACATTATTAACTTTTACTAAATGATTGCAAACTTCATTATGTGCTGGGGTAAAAAAAATCGAAAAGATAGCCAATCACTGTGGTTGTTGGCAAAAAAATTAGGAGATCTAAGAAGTTATTTGATGTCCTATTGTATTAGTCAGGGATCCCTAGAGGGACAGAACCAATAGGAGATAGATGGTAGATAGATAGATAGATAGATAGATAGATAGATAGATAGATAGATACATACATACATACATACATACATACATACATACATAGATAAAAGAGGGTTTATTAAGTACCAACTTACATGATCACGAGGTCCCACAATAGGCTGTCTGCAAGCTTGAGGAGCAAGGAGAACCAGTCTGAGTCTCAAAACTGAAGAACTTGGAGTCTGATGTTTGAGGGCAGGAAGCATCCAGCACGGGAGATAGATATAGGCTGGGAGGCTAGGCCAGTCTCACCTTTTCACATTTTTCTGCCTGCTTTGTATTCCAGCTGTGCTGGCAGCTGATTAGATTGTGCCCACCAGATTAAGAGTGGGTCTTTCTTCTCCAGCCCACTGACTCAAATGTTAATCTCCTTTGGCAACACTGTTACAGACACACCCAGGATCAATACTTTGCATCCTTCAATCCAATCAAGTTGACACTCAGTATTAATCATCATACCTGTGCATGGAAATTTAACAATCACTTAAATGTAATTATTAGGTGAAAGAAATCATAAGGGAGATTAGAATATGTTTATAACTAAATAATAAAGAAACTTCCTTATATTAAAATATGTGGAATGTAAATAAAGTAACACTTAGAATAAATTTATAGCTTTAAATGGTCACATCAGGAAAGAAAAAATACAAAAAGAAGCCCAATCTTAGTAGCAATTATGGAATGCTTATAATAAAACAAAATTACATACATCTTATACTTACCAGATTGAGGAATTTAAGAGTTAGAAAAGACCAAGTATGAAGTTATAAGAACTCTCATATACTGCTGATGGGAATGCAAATTTGTACCCACTGAGAGTGTAGATTGGTACAAACACTTAAAACAGTTTACCATATTCTATTGAAGGTTACCTTGCACAAACTTAGTGGATAAACATTTCTGCACCTACTATATAGAGATACTCTTACACATGTACTACCAGAGAAATATGAGAATGTTCAGTCTTTTGCTTTATTGTACTCCAAAAAGCAAGATGAGTCACCAGAAGTTTACCCACAATAATTCAGTCAGGGTTCTCACTCTTGTCAAGTTTACTCAAACTGGCATGGTTTAATCCAGAAATACGGCCTCAATGTGTGCCACCAGTGTTTCCATCAGTATTTGAAGGATATAGGTTTCATTAAGTTGGACTATTCAAGGAAGATCATTAAGTGATCTTCTTTGAATGAATTATCCAAGGTATATACCCAATGAAAGAAATCATGTTACCTATTTTTGTACATAAAATAAAATATTTTTAAACCCTTCAAAAAATAGACTGCTCAAAGCAGGATTATTTTTGATAGCAAAAAAAAGGAAATATGCCAAATTTTTAGTAACAGCACATTAAACACAAAATTTGTGTATCCAAAGTATGATTTGTTGTATATTTCCAAAGTGAAATACTCTAAAGCATTAAAAGAATGAATCTAATAGGCATAATAGTAGGTGGGAAAATGTCTGAAAAGAATACATTGGATCTCCAATATAGCCAATTAGAATCAGCTGCAGTCCATGGCACTCACAGAGAGGAATGAAAAGGGGCAAGTGAATTCAACACCTTCAACTGAGATATCCAGGTTCTCGCATTGGGACTGACTAGGCAAACAACTCAACCCACAAAAAAATGAAAAAACACAGGGGGTGGGGGGTGGGGCAACCAAAGAAATCCCCAACCCCAGCCAAAGGAAGCAATGAGTGATGGTGCGACCCCACCTGGGAAACCACACTTTGCCCAGGAATCTTTGCAACCCACAGATCAGGAGATCCCCTCATGAACCCATGCCACAAAGGCCTTCTGATACACAGAGCTGTGTGGAGTCTAGGCAGAGCAGCAGCTCAGGCACACACAGAAACCCAGGAATTTTACATACTCCATTCCCAGGATCCCCAGTAAGACAGGAAATCTGTCCATACATATCCCTAGAAAGGGGGCTGAATCCAGAGAGCCAAGAAGCGTCATTCTGTGAGCCCTACTTTCATGTCAGCTCACAAGTTAAGACCCACTGGCTTGGAATTCCAGCCAGTCAACAGCAACAGGCTGGAATCTTCCTGAAACGGGTCTGAGTTCCTGGGGAAAGGGATAGCTGCCATCTCCTCAGTTTGCTAGACTCAGCCATTCCAGCTTGCCTGCTTTGGGAATACAAACGGTTCAGACAAAAAAGGGTCCCCCACAATGCAGCACAGCTGCCTTGCCAGATCATGGACAGACTGCTCCTTTAAGCGGTACCCTGATCCATTCCTCCTCACTGGGTGGGACCTCGCTGTGGGGCTTCAGCCATTCCAGCCAGGCTTCTAAAAATAGACCTCTGATCTTTCCCTGGGAAAGAACTCGGGGGGAAGGGAGGCTGCCATCTCTGTGGGTCAGTCGATTCAACCATTCCAGCCTGCTGGCTTTGGAGAGTACAAACAATCTGGACAAGGAAGGGCCCCTCACAACGCAGCACACCTGCTCTACCAAAGGGAAGTCTGACTGCTGCTTTAAGTGAGTCCTTATCCTGTTCCTCCTGACTGAGTGAGCCTCCAAGCAAGGGTCTCCAGCCACTTCTTACAGGTTTGTTCAGGACAGCAACAGGTCAGTACCCTCCTGGGACAGAGCTTCCAGAGGAAGGAGCAGGCTGCATTTTTGCTGTTCCACAGTCTTCACTGGTGATACCCCTAGGTATGGGAAAAACCAAGACAACTAGTGTTTGGAGCAGACCCCCAGCAAACTACAGCAGTCCTACAATAGAGTGGCCTGACTGTTAAAAATAGGACAAACAGGAAAAAGCAACAACAACATCAACAGAAAAGACCCCACAAAATCCCCATTCAAAGGTCAGCAACCTCAAAGATTGAAGGTAGATAAGTCCACAAAGATGAGAAAGAATTGACGCATAAATGCTGAAAATTCAAAAGGCCAGACTGCTTCTTCTCCTGCAAATGACCGCAACGCATCTCCAGCAAGGGCATAGAACTGGACAACTCACAGTTCTTTGACTGTCTCACAAAGTCTGTAGTGGCAATCCACCTACTTCAAAAGGCGGGCAGATCACCAGAGGTCAGGAGTGCAAGACCAGCCTGACCAACATGGAGAAACCCCGTCTCTACTAAAAATACACAATTAGCCGGGTGTGGTGGTGCATGCTTGTAATCCCAGTTACTCGGGAGGCTGAGGCAGGAAAATCATTTGAACCCGGGAGGCGGAGGTTGTGGTGAGCCGAGATCACGCCACTGCACTCCAGCCTGGGCAACAAGAGTGAAACTCCATCTCAAAAAAAAAAAAAAAAAAGAAAGAAAGAAAAAGAAAAGAGACAATAAAGTTTGCCACATCCACTGACTCCTCTCTTCACAAAAGATTTCTCTGTGATATGCAATTCTGTCTGATAAAATTTTGTTCACAGTAGACCTTCTTTCAAAATTGGTGTCAATCCTCTCAAAGCCTGCTGCTGCTTTATCAACTAATTTTACATAATATTCTAAATCTGTTTTGTCATTTCAACAATATTCACAGCATCTTCACCAAAAACAGACTCCATCTCAATAAACTACTTGCTGCATGCAGGGTTGCTACAAAATTTCACTTTGTATTTTTTAAAAAAGCAATATCTGGGAAGTGCAAAAAAGTGAAGTGCAATAACACAAGATATGGCTGTATACCCAGCAAAACTTTTCTTCAGAAATAAAGAAGAGATAAAGACATTCCCAGGCAAACTAAAGCTGAAGGATTTTATCACCACTAGACCTGCCTTACAAGAAATGAACAAGAGAGTTCTTCCAGTTGAAATGAAAAGACCCTAAACAGCAACATAATACCATAAGAAAGCAAAACACTTGCTGGTATGTTCTCATTCATAAGTGGGAGTTGAACAATTAGAACATATAGACACAGGGAGGGGAACGTCACACACCGGGGCCCGTTAGGGGGTGGGGGACAAAGGGAGGGAGAGCATTAAGACAAATACCTGACGCATATGGGGTTTAAAACCTAGATGATGGGTTGATAGATGCAGCAAATCACCATGGCACATGTATACCTATGTAACAAACCTGAAAATTCTGCACATTTATCCCAGAACTTAAACTAAAATAAATAAATAAATAAAAACATTTGCTGGTAAAGGTAACTATAGACAGTATGTCTGGAACATGTCTGGGTGACTGCATCCCTGCAAAAGGAGCACCCTCCAGGTTCAGGCTTGCACAAGAGACACACTCACAATTCTTCTCTACTTGGAGCATCAATATTCCTACAGATGAAAAGAGGAGTCTGTCTGATCTGAATAGCTGGAGAAATGGGACGAGTGTGTCTACGAGGTGGATGACTTTCCTGATGACCTGGCAGGAGAGTTGAGGTGGCTCCAACTCTTCCCCTTGATAAAACCTCAATATAATAAATGTTATATAGGACAAGCCAACAGTTAACATCATATTCAACAATAAAAAACTGATAACTTTTCCTCTAAAATCAGAGACAAGACAATGGTGTCCACTTTCACCACTTCTATTCAACATACTTACTACTGGATACCCTAGCTGGAGCAATTAGGCAAGAATAAGAAATCAAAGACATCCAAAACAGAAATGAAAAAATTAAAATTGTCTATGTTGGCAGATGAAAAAATTAAAATTGTCTATGTTGGCAGATGACATAATCTTATATATAGAAAATCCTAAAGATTGCCAAAACATACAATAACTAAAAAACGAATTCACTAAAGTTGAAGGATACAAAGGCAACATACAAAAATTAGTAGTTTTTCTGCACACTAACAATGAATTATCCAAAAAAGAATTCAAAAATGAATTCCATTTACAACAGCATCAAAAAGATTAAAATACTTAGGAATAGGTTTACCCAAGCTGATAAAAAATCTGTACACTGAAAAGGATATGCCATTGATGAAAGAAATTGAAGAAGACACAAATAAGTGGAAAGATATCTCATGTTTATGGATTAGAAAAAGTGATATTGTTAAATTGTTCATACTACCCAAAGTGATATACAGATTTAATGCAATCTCTAACAAAATTCTAATGGCATTTTTCACAGAAATAAAAAAATCAATCCTAAAATTCACCTGGAAACACAAGGATCAAGAATAGCCATAGTAATCTTGGGAAAGAAGAACAAAGCTGGAGGCATCACATTTCCTGATTTCAAACTATCCTATAAATCTACTATAGTAATGAAAACAGTATGGCACCAGCATAAAAACAGACACATAGATAAAAGGAATACAATACAGTCCCAAAATAAATCCATGAATATGATCAACTAATCTTTGACAAGGGCACCAAGAATATCCAATGGGGAAAAGGTAGTTATTTCAATAAATGGTATTGGAAAAACTGGATATCCACATGCAAAAGGATGGAACTGGACCCTTTTAACACTATACAAAAAAATCAACTCAAAATGGATTAGACAGATTTAAATTATGAAACTCCTAGAAAAAAAAAAACATAGAAGAAAATTCCTTGATGTTGGTTTTGGCAGTGATTTTTTGGATATGACCTTAAATGCACAAGTAACAAAAGCAAAAATAAACACGTGGGACTACATTAAACTGAAAAGCTTCTGCACAGAAAACAATCAAGAATATTAAAATGGAACCTACAGAATAAAAGAACATATTTTCAAACTATATATCTGATAAAGTGTTAACACCCAAAATGTATAAAGAACTCACACAACCCAAAACAGGAAAACAAAACAAAATGAAAACCTGGTTATAAAAAATGGGCAAAGGACCTGAACAAGCATTTTTCCAAAGAAACCATACAAATGGTCAGCACCTGCTGAAATGTGAAAAGATGCTCAATATCATTAGTCATCAAGGAAATACAAATTAAACCCACAATGAGCTATCACCTCACACCTGTTGGGATGTTTGTTTTCAAAAAGACAAGGCATGACAAGTGGCAATGAGTTGGGAGAAAAGGAAACTTACACACTGTTGGCAGAAATGTAAATGTAAATTGGCAGAACCATAATGGAAACAGTATGAAGGTTCCTCAAAAAATTAAAAATAGAACTCTGATAGGATCCAGCAATCCCAATTCTGAATATATTCCAAAGGAAATGAAATCAGTATCTCAAAGACATATCTGTCCCCCATGTTCATTGCCCCACTAATCACACCAATAGCCAAAATATGGAAACAACCTAAGTGTCTGTCAACACATGAATGGATAAAGAAAATATTGTATGCACACACACACAATGGAATATTATTCGCCCATTAAAAGGAAATCCTGTCACTTTGACAACATGGATGAACCTGGAAATCATCATGCTAAGTGAAATAAGGCAGACATAAACATGAGGTGAAGGTTGCAGTGAGCAGAGATCACACCACTGCACTCCACCCTGGGCCACAGAGTGAGATTCCATCTCAAAAAAAAAAAAAAATCATATTTTGGAGAGGTTGTAAAGCACAGTAACTCTCATATACTGCTAGTGAAAGTGTACACAGTTTGGGAAACACTTTGGCATTGCTTAGTAAATCTGAGAATACATAGCTACAATTCAGCAATTCTACTCTTAGGTATATATTCTGAGGACACACTGCACATGTGCACACACACAAACACACAAAGTTTTAAAATGCTCTTTGCACCTGTCTTAGGCCAGATCCCTTGGAAAATAGAAACTGAGACAAAAGATTTGTGCTCAGGCTTTGCTGGGAGATGCAATCACAGGGAAGCAGAAGTGATAAAAAAAAAAAAAAGTGAAGTGAATTATCTAAAACATACCATATAAAGTGGTTTTCAAAAGTGATGAGACGACGGCAGAACAAGATAGCAGAATAGAAAGCTCCACGGATCATGCCCCACTCAACAAGGACACCAATTTGACAACTATCTACACAGAACAAAATACCTTCATGAGAACCAAAAATCAGGGTAGCTCTCATAGTACCTAGTTTTAACTTCATATCACTGGAAGAGACACTGAGGAGATAGAAAAAGACAGTTCTGAATTGCTGATACCTGCAATGCCTCCCCCAACCCCTGGCAGCAGCAATGTGATGCAGAAAGCATCTCTGGGTGCTAAAGGAGGGAGAACGCGGCAATTGTGAGGCATTGAACTCAGTGCTGTCCTGTTAAAGCAGAAAGGAAAACCTGACCAAACTCAGCTGACACCCGCCCAGGGAAAGAGAATCAAGCCTAAGCCAAAGGTGAATCGCCAATCCCAGCTGTCTGAACTTGAGTCCCTGCAAACCTCACTACCATGTGCAATAGCACTCTCTGTCTCCAAGTAAACTTAAAGGTAGTTTAGGCCGTAAGTACTGAAACTCTTAGGCAAGTCCTAGTGCTGAACTAGGCCCAGGAGACCATGCCCTGGGGTGTGGGGGCAGAGGGGGAACGCAACATTCTGAGACACAAGGTGGGGCAGCCAGCCAAGGGAGTGCTGACATCACTCCTTGCTTAACCCCAGGATGCAAAACTTGCAGCTCCAAAAGAGAACCCTTTCTTCTGCTTGAGCAAAGGACTGGGAAGAGCGGGGAGGACTATGCCTTTCATCTAGGATACCAGCTCAGCCACAGCATGATAGGGCCACAGCATGATAGTCAGAGTCATGAGGCCCCCATTCAAGGCCCTCACTCCCAGAAAACATTTCTAGACACACCGTGAGCAAGAAAAATACCGGCTGCCTGGAAGGAAGGGACCCAGTCCTGGAAGCATTCATCATCTGCTAACTGAAGAGTTCTTGGGCCATGAATAACCACCAGCAATACCCAAGTGCTACATCAAGGGCCTTGGATGAGCCTCTGAGATTTGCTTGCTTCAGGTGAGACTCAACACATTACCAGCTGTGGTGAATATGGGGCAAATCTCCTTCTTCTTGAGAAAAGCAGAGGGAAAAGTAAAGGAGACTTTGCATCACACCTTAAGGACCAGCACAACTACAGGAAGATAGGGCAACAAGTGGGCTCCTGAGGTCCCCAGTTCAATGACTTTACTCTTGGACAGCATTTCTAGGCCTGCTCTGGGCCAGAGGGGAGCCCACTGCCCTGAAGGGCGAGTCCCAGTCCAGGAACACATACCACAAGCTGACTTAAGAGACCTTGGGCCCTAAGGGTACATCATTGGTGGTTTGTGAGTACGCCTAATGGCCCTGGGTGGCAGGGAGTACAAGGTGAGGCTCTTCTGCCTTTGGAAAGGGAAGGGAAGAGTGGGAAGGTCTCCATCTTGTGGTTTGAGTGGAGCTCAGCTGCAATACAATACCAGGTAGACTTCTAAGGGTTTCGACTAGTTCCTGACTCCCAGATGGGACTTCTGGACCCACCCAGAACCTGGTGGACCTTGTTGCCCTTAAGGGAAGAATACAGGGCTGGCTAGCTTGGCCACCAACCAATTGTAGATCCCCAGGGCATTCAGCAAACATAGGTAGTAACGAGGGAGTGATTACAGCAGGCCTTCAGTGAGACTCAATGCTGTGCTGGCTTCAGATATGACCTAGCAGAGTCACACTCATGTTAGCCACAGGGGTGCTCATGCACTCCACTCCAAGCTTTAGGTGTCTCAGAACAAAAGAGAGACTGTATGTTTGGGAGAAAGTAAGAGAAAAGAACAAGAGTCTCTTCCTGGTAATCCAGAGAATTAATTATCCCCCATCTTGTCCAAGACCATCAAGTCAGTACCTCTATGACTTTGCAAGAACCACACCATTACTGGGCTTGGGGTGCTCCCTAAAACAGATATAGCTTAGATCACAATACCCAAGTCCTTGGACATATCTGGAAAGCCTTTCCAAAAAGGTAGGTACAAACAAGCCCAGACAGTGAAGAGTAAAATAAATACCTAAATTTATAATGTCTAGAAACTGAAGAACATCTACAAGCATTAATACCACCCAGAAAAACATAACCTCACCAAATGAAATAAATAAGTCACCAGGGACCAATCCTGGAGAAACAGAGATATGTGACCTTTTAGACAGAAAATTCAAGATAGATGTGTTGAGGAAACTCAGTGAAATTCAAGATCACAAAAAGAAGGAATTAAGAATTATATCAGAGAAATATAACAAAGAAATTGAAATAATTTAAAAAATCAAGCAGAAATTCTGGAGCTGAGAAATGCAATTGGCATACTGAAGAATGCATCAGAGTTCTTTAATAGCAGAATTAATCAAGCATAAGAAAGAATTAGTGAGCTTGAAGACAGACTATTTGAAAACACAGTCAAAGGAAACAAAAGAAAAAAGAATAAACAACAATGAAGCATGCCTACAGGATATAGAAAATAACCTCAGAAGGCCAAATCTAAGAGTTATTGACCTTAAAGAAGAGGAAGAGATAGGGTAACAATAGAGAACTACCCAAACCTGGAGAAGGATATGATTATCCAAATACAAGGTAATAAAACACTAAGCAGATTTAACCCAAAAAATGTATACCACAAGGCATTTAATAATCAAACTCCCAAAGGTCAATGATAAAGAAAATATCCTAAATGCAGCAAGAGAAAAGAAACAAATAACATACAATGGAGCTCCTATATGTCTTGCAGCAGACTTCTCAATGGAAATATTACATGCCAGGAGAGAATGACATGATATATTTAAACTGCTGGAGGGGAAAAAAAACTTTTACTCTAGAATAGTGTATCTGGCAAAACATCCTTCAAACCTGAAGGAGAAATAAAGACCTCCCAGACAAACAAAAACTGAAAGATTGCATCAATACCATACGGATCCCACAAAAAATGCTACAGAGAGTATGTTAACCAGAAAGAAAAAAAACATTAATGAGCAATAAACAATTACCGGCAGTTACAAGTTTCACTGGTAATACTAAGTATACAGAAAAACAGAATATTATAACACTTTAACTGTGGTGTGTAAACTATGCTTATCCTAAGTAGAAAGACTAAATGATAAACAATTCAAAAATAATAACTACAACAAATTTTCAAGACATAGTACAATAAGATATAAACAAAAACAACAAAAAGTTTAAAAGCAGGGGAGAACAAAGTTAAAACCTAGATGTTTATTTGTGGTCTTTTTGGTGGTTATTTGCTTGTTTATGCAAACAGTATTAAGTTGCTATCAGCTTAAAATAATGGGTTATTAGATAGTGTTTGTAAGCCTCATGGTAACCTCAAACCAAAACACTTACAATGGTTACACAAAAAATAAAAATCAAGAAACTAAATCATATCACCCAAGAAAATTACTGTCACTAGAGGAAGACAGGAAGGACAGAAAGAAGAAAGAGAAGACCAGAAAACAAATAAGCAAGTGGTGTAAATGAACTAAACTCTCCAATCAAAAGACACACAGTGGCTAAACGGTTAAAAAAACAAGATCCCATGATTTGATACCTACAAGAAACACACTTTACTTATAAAGACACACATTGACTGAAAATAAAGGAATGGAAAAAGATACGGCATGCCAATTGAAACCATAAAAAAGAAGGAGTCACTATATTTATATCAGATAAAGTCGATTTCAGGACAAAAACTATAAGAGTAGACAAAGAAGTTCACTATATAATGATAAAGGGGTCATTTCAGCAAGAAGATATAACAATTTTAAATATATATGCACCCAACACTAGAACACCCAGTTATATACAGCAAGTATTATTAGAGCTAAAGAGAGAGATAGGCTCCAATACAATAAGAGCTGGAGAATGCCACACCCCACTTTCACCATTGGCAGACCTTTCAGAGAGAAAAATCAACAAAGAAAGATCAAAGTCTGCACTACAGACCACATGGATCTAGTAGATATTTACAGAACATTTTATCCAATGGCTGCAGAATACACATTCTTTTCCTTGGCACATGGATCATTTTCAAAGATAGACCATAGGTTAAGTCATAAACAAGTCTTAAATCATTCCAAAAAATTGCAATAATATCAAGCATCATCTCTGACCACAATAGAATAAAACTAGAAATTAATAACAAGAGGAATTTTGTAAACTATACAAATACATGGAAATTAAACAATATGCTCCTGAATGACAAGTAGGTCAATGAAGAAATTAAGAGGAAAACTGAGAAAAAAAAATTGAAAAAAATGATAATGGAAACAAAACATACCAAAGCCTATGGGATATAGCAAAAGCAGTACTAAGAGGCAAGTTTATAGCTATAAGGGCCTACATCAAAAAAGACAAAAACCTTGAACAATGTAATAATGCATCTTAAAGAACTAGAAAATCAAACACAAACCAAACCCAAAATTAGCAGAAGAAAAAATAATAAAGATCAGAGAAGTAAAGGAAATTGAAATGAGAAAAACCATACTAAAGATCAATTAAACAAAAAGTTGTTTTGTTGAAAAGACAAACAAAACTGACAAACCTTTAGCCAGACTAACCAAGATAAACAGAGAGATGATTCAAACAAACAAAATCAGAAATGAAAAAGGAGACATTACAACTGATAGTGCAGAAATTCAAAGGATCGTTTGTGGCTACTATAAGTGACTGTATGCCAATAAATTGGAAAATCTAGAAGAAATGGACAAATTCCTAGACACATACAACCTACCAAGGTTGAACCAGGAAGAAATCCAAAACCTGAACAGGCAAATAACAACTAATGAGATTGAAGTCATAATAAAAACTCTCCCAGTAAAGAAAAGCCTGGGACCTGATGGCTTCACTACCAAATTCTACAAACATTTAAAGAATAACTAATACCAATCTTACTCAAACGATTCCAAAAAATAGAGAAGAGAATACTTCCAAACTCATTCTACAAGGCCATATTACCCTGATACCAAATCCAAACAAAGATACATTTTAAAAAACTATAGGTCAAGGTACCTGATGAATATTGACACAAAAATTTTCAACAAAATACTAGCAAACTGAATTCAACAATGCATTAGAAAGATCATGCATCATGACCAAGTGCGATTTATCCCTGGGATGAAAAAATGGTTCAACATATGCAAATCAATCAATGTGATACATCATATCAACAGAAATGAAGCATAAACACCATATGATCATTTCAGTTGACGCTGAAAAAACATTTGATAAAAGTCAACATCCTTTCACAATAAAAGCCCTCGAAAAACTGGGAATAGAAGGAACATGCCTCAACATAATTAAAGCCATATATGACAGAACGATACTAAATGGGGAAAACCGAAAGCCTTTCCTCTAAGATCTGAAACACAACCAGAATGCTCACTGTCATCACTGTTATTCAGCATAGTACTGGAAGTCCTAGCTAGAGCAATCAAAGAAGAGAAAGATATAAAGGGCATCCAAATTGGAAATGAAGAAGTCAATTATCCTTCTTTGCAGATAATATGATGTTATGTTTGGAAAAACCTACAGACTCCACAAGAAAACTATTAGAACTAATAAATTCAGTAAAGTTGCAGGATACAAAATCAACATATAAAATTTAGTAACATTTCTATATGCCAACAGTGAACAACATGAAAAAGAAATAAAAGGCTGGACATGGTGGCTCATGCCTGTAATCCCAGCACTTTGGGAGGCTGAGACAGGCAGATCACTTGAGGTCAGGAGTTTGAGACCAGCCTGGCCAATATGGTGAAACCCCATCTCTACTAAAAGTACAAAAAATTGGCCAGGTGTGGTGGTGCGCACTGTAATCCCAGCTACTTGGGAGGCTGAGGCAGGATAATCTCTTGAACCAGTGGGGTGGAGGTTGCAGTGAGCCGAGATCGCACCACTGCACTCCAGCCTTGGTGACAGAAGGAGACTCCATCTCAAAAATAAAATAAAAATAAATAAATAAATAAAAAGTAATACTATTAAATACCTAGGAATTAGCTTAACCAAAGAAGTAAAAGATCTCTATAATGAAAACTACAAAACACTGATGAAAGAAATTGAAGAGGACACCAAAAAAATGGAAAAAATTTCATGTTCATGGATTGGAAGACTCAATATTGTTAAAATGTTCATACTCAAAACAACATACAGATTCAATGCAAGCTCTATCAAAATACAAATGACAGTCTTCACAGAAACAAAAAAAAATTATAAAATGTATATGAAACCACAGAAGACCCATAATAGCCAACACTATCCTAAGTAAAAAAAACAAAACTGGAGAAATCAGATTACTTGACTTCAAATTATACTACAGAGCTATAGCAACCAAAATAGCATGGTACTGGCATAAAAACAGACACATACACCAAAGGGACAGAACAGAGAACCTAGAAACAAATCCACATACTTACAGTGAACTTGTTTTCAACAAAGGGGCCAAGAATATACACTGGAGAAAGACAGTCTCTTCAATAAATTTTGCTGTCAAAACTGGATATCCATATGCAGAAGAAAAAACTAGACCATTATCTCTTGCCATATACAAAAATCAAATTAAAATGAATTAAAGACTTAAATGTAAGACCTCAAACTATGAAACTGCTACAAGAAAACATTGGGGAAAATCTTGAGGACATTGTTCTAGGCAAAGATTTATTGAGCCATAGTGCACAAGCCAGGCAACCAAAGCAAAAATGCACAAATGAGATCACATCAGGTGAAAAAGCTTCTGCACAGCAAAGGAAACAATCAACAAAGTGAAGAGACAACCCACAGAATGGGAGGAAATATTTGCAAACTACCCATCTGATGAGGGATTAATAACTAGAATATATAAGGAGTTCAGACAACTTTATGGGAAAAAAATCTAATAATTCAATCAATAAATGAACAAAAGTTCTGAATAGACGTTTTTCCAGAGAAGACATACAAATGGCAAACAGGCATATGAAAAGGTGCTCAACATCATTAATCATCAGAGAAATGCAAATCAAAACTACAATGAGATATCATCTCACCCCAGTTAAAATAGCTTATATCCAAATGACAGGCAATAACGAATGCTAGCAAGGATGTGGAGAAAGTGGAATGCTTGTACACTGCTTGTGGGATATTAACTTAGTACAACCCTTATGGAGAACAGTTTGGAGATTCCTCTAAAAACTAAAAATTGAGCTACCATACTATCCAGCAATCCCACTTCTGGGTACATACCCAAAAAAAAGAAAATTATTATATCAAAGAAATATCTCCACTCTCTCCACTCCCATATTTGTTACAGCACTTTTTTACAATAGCTTAGATTTGGGAGCAACCTAAGCATCCCTCAACAGATAAATGGATAAAGCAAATGTGGTACATATACACAACAGAGTGCTATTCAGCCATAAGAAAGATTGAGATCCAGTCATTTGCAAGAACATGGATAGAACTGAAAATCATTATGTGAGGTGAAACAAGCCAGACACAGAAAGACAAACATCACATGTTCTCACTTATTTGTGGGATCTAAAAATTAAAACAATTGAATTAATGGACATAGAGAGTAGAAGGATTGTTACCAGAGGCTGGGAAGTGTAGTGGGGGCCTGGGTGGGGGAAAGTTTGGGATGGTTAATAGATACAAAAAATAGAATGAATAAGACCTTCTATTTGATAGTTACAATAGGATGACTATAGTCAATAATAACTTAATTGGACATTTTACAGTACTTAAAGAGTGTGACTGGATTGTTTGTAACTCAAAGGAAAAATGCTTGAGGGGATGGACACCCCATTCTCCATGATGTTATTATTTCACATTGCATGCCTGTATCAAAATATCTCATATACCCCTTAAATATATACACCTACTGTGTACCCACAAAAATGTTTTAAAATAATAAATAATAAAATAGGGGTAATAGCAACAATTTAAAAAAATTACAGTGAGGTAAGAAAGATAGGAGTGCAAATACATTCATGAACTGGCCATAGCTTTTCAACAAACATTAATACATTGTTCAGTCTCATGTAGTGTCTTCAAAGAGGCTATATGAAACTACCTCATCTTAAAAATTGTCTGTTGGAAGAGAGAGAGAGACAAAGAGAGATCAAGGTATCTGTTATCTCCTTCCTCTCTCTCATCTCATCTTGGTGTAAGACTGCGCTGCAGGTAATTGGCTGCAGCCTTCTCCATGTTGTGTCACCTGATTCTTTCAAGTAATCAACATGGAAGCCAGAGCCCTCATGATGTAATCCAGTTGGTGCACAGCATGATAGCCTCTTCTTGCCAGTTAGTGCCACACATGTGTGCTGCTTAGTCTGTGGTATATAAAAACAGCTCCTAGGCTTTATGATCACAAAAACAGTGTGAGCTGTCCCTAGGGAAGCACAGAAGTCGGGAAGGGTTGGGAAAGAGGAACTAACAGATCTGAAGTATGACATACAAACTGAGGCTGGTACAGACTTATTGTCATCATAGGAAAAAAAATACTTGAAACGACCAAATGTCTAAGCATAGTAGACCGGCTAACGAAGTTAGGTATAGTCACATAATAGAATAGTACACAGCTGTAAAAATAAATGAACTACAGCTGTGCATATTAACATTGATGAATTTACAAATTATAAAGTTGAGAAAACAAAGCAAATCACAGAAGAGTATGATTATATTTCTATAAAGTACTGAAATAAGAAAAGTAACATGTCTTTGCAAATACATAGGTAATAAACAATAATTATAATCAAGAGAACTTTTATTAATCAGGGTAGTGGCTACCTCCAGGAGAGGGTCACAATTGGCACAGGGATGTACAGGGGTTTCTAAGGTTCTGGTAACAATCTATGTCTTAAACTTAATAGTGGGTACATGGGTAATAGTTTTAATATTTTTCAACTGAAGATACACATTTATTTCACAAAAAAGTAATCAGAAATAAGTTGGTGGCCCTCAGCCAGAAAAAATGAAGTTTCACAAATGACTTAGGCCTATATTTATAGAAGAATTAAGATTCTAAATTGGTCATTAAATTGTTAAGTTATATTTTACGGTATTTTTCAGAACAAATGATGTCAAAGTGTATTTGTGAATTGGGCTAACAAAAATGTTAAGAATTATTGCCCTCTAATTTCTCTCCCTGACTCCAATGTTTTGCTCGTCCAGCTCATTCTTCCCACTACTCCTGGCTAAGCTATCAAAACAATTATTTATGTTATTCATCCATTCTCAAACTTTCCATGACTTCTCATTATTCTTCTAGCATTCTGGGGGACCCCATACAAATCTCGGCACTTCTGTCCTTTCATTGAGAAAATTATTTCTTTAATTAGGGTGTAGTTTTCTTTAGTTACAAATTCAATCTACAGATATACCCTGATCACCTTGATTAGTCTGAGAGAAACTGGGGAGCTCTTGATTACACTAATGTGTTTTCTAAAACTCTTCCATAACAAATGGTATCTGTACATCACGTCTATAAATAATCCTATCGCTAGGTGCTGAACTGAATTAGTCTGATGCTCAAATGGTAAGCTTTTTCTGACTTTTTACCCTAACATCTCAAGGAAACTTACTATGACTCCTTACTGTGATTACTACCATTCCAATGTATATTTAAAACCTAATTCTCCTGAGAGAATGTTCTAGTTCTACCAGTACCCATGTAATTGCCCCCTAAATAAGCCATCCCTGGGCTGGGCACAGTGGCTCACACCTCTAATTCTAGCACTTCTGTCCTTTCATTGAGATGACAACATTACTGCTGGAGCCCAGGAGTTCAAGACCACTCTGGACATCTTAGTGATGCCTCAGTCTCTTCAAAAAATTAGAAACTTAGCCAGGCATGGTGGCTTGTGCCTGCAGTCCCAGCTACTTGGGAGGCTAAGGTGGGAGGATCACCTGAGCCAAGGAGGTCCAGGCTGCAGTAAGCCAATATCACACCACTGCATTCCAGCCTGGGCAACAGAGAAAAACTCTATCTCAAAAAATAATAATAATAAGCCATTCCTACTTCTGTGACAGAGCTCATCTTTTACCTTGATATGAGATGCCTTCTTCCATTCTTTTTACCTATCAAACTCTTTCAAAAACTTTCTCATGTCCTACCCCCTCCTTAACATCTATATTTAAAGAAGCTTTTCTATGTAACAACCATTGTGCTTGCTGTTTAACATGCATTATTTTATAAAATCCTCAGAACAACCCAATGAAGTAGGCACTAGTATCATCCCTCCTTTACAAATGATAAGGATGAGGCTCAGTGGGGTTATTTAAGATGCCTAAGATTACACAAATAGTAAGTATAGAGCCAAGATTAAAATAAGATGTATTTGATTCCAAAGACTATGCATTGTGAAGCAATTTTTAATCTTCCTTAAAAACAGTGATCTTTTCCCAATTTGGCCTCCTAGAGAATTTAGAGCATTGTTGGATTGATGATGCCACTGTAACATTTACAGTCACATAGAATTTATTAATGTTATATATATTAATCCTCTATCTTATATCCTAAAAATATTATAAGTTCTATTAAGATGGACTTTCTATAGCATACTTTTTCTCTGCCATAGAACCTAATTTACATTGTAAATACAAAAAAAACCCTACTATTATTAATTTAATAACATTGTGACTCTATATTCTATCTTGTTCATTTCTTCTTATATCTGGCAACTTTTGTGTGAAATTGCTCCCTCATTTTTATGCTGTGTTAAGAGTTAATAAATATCAGGAAGTTGAAGATTCTTGGAAAATAGGTTTCAATTTGAATCAATAATTCCACATGCAATGCTAAATATTGGGACCTTCATGAAGTAGATGCACCTCTACATCTATATAAATATGTAGAGGATCTAACCCTCCATCCACAAACTATCTTTGCTTTCCCCTCCAGCTTTTCCTTCCATGTCAATGAAATCTTACCTACTTTCACAAGCAGGAAGTCTTGCTCTGACCTCTAGTGTTGTCACTTATAATGTGTTTTCTATGCTTATTTGGAAGTTAATGGTGAAGAGAAAAGGCTAAAATAAAAGGACATATAAAGAGGAATACATTCATCCATTCTCACACTGCTAAATTACATCCATTCTCACACTTTATAAATTACCTGAGACTGGGTAATTTATAAAGGAAAGAGGCTTGATTGACTCATAGTTCCACGTGCCTGGGGAGGCCTCAGGAAACTTACAATCATGGTGGAAGGGAAGGAAGGCACCTTATTCCCAAGGTCGAGGAAAGAGCCCGTTATAAAACCATCAGATCTCATGAGAACTCACTCACTATCATGAGAACAGCATGGAGGAACCGCCTATATAATTCAATTACCTCCAC